>NC_000002.12:96785484-97112551 GCF_000001405.40 Homo sapiens
AAGTTGGCCAGGCATGATGGCCTGTAATCCAGGCTACTTGGGAGGCTGAGGTGGGAGGATCAGTGGAGTCCAGGAGGCCGAGGCTACAGTGAGCTGTGATCGTGTCACTCTGCACTCCAGCCTGGGCCACAGAATGAGACCTTTGTCTCAAAAAAGAAAACATAAAAAAATTAGCTGGGCGTGGTAGCATGTGCCGGTAGTCCCAGCTATTCTGGAGGCTGAGGTGGGAGGATTATTTGAGCCCAGGAACTCTAGGCTGCAGTGAGCTATGATTGTACCACTGTTGTCCAGCCTGGGCAACAGAGAGAGACCCTGTCTCTAAAAAAAGATAAAAATGCCAGGCGCAGTGGCTCACGCACTTTGGGAGGCTGAAGCGGTGGATCACGAGGTCAGGAGATCCAGACCATCCTAGCTAACATGGTGAAACCCCATCTCTACTAAAAATACAAAAAATTAGCCGGGCATGGTGGCGGGCGCCTATAGTCTCAGCTACTCAGGAGGCTGAGGCAGGAGAATGGTGTGAACCCAGGAGGTGGAGCTTGCAATGAGCTGAGATCACGCCACTGCACTCCAGCCTGGGCAACAGAGTGAGACTCTGTCTCAAATAAAGAAAAAAAAAAGATAAAAATAATTTTTAAAAAGTAAAGATAGGCCTGGCGCGGCAGCTCACGTCTGTAATCCCAGCACTTTGGGAAGCTGAGGTGGGTGGATCACCTGAGGTAGGGAGTTTGAAACCAGCGTGGCCAACATGGCGAAACCCCGTCTCTACTAAAAACACAAAAATTAGCCAGGAATGGTGGCATGCTCCTGTAATCCCAGCTACTCGAGATGAGGCAGGAGAATTGCTTGAACCTGGGAGGCAGAGGCTGCAGTGAGCCAAGATCGTGCTATTGCACTCCAGCCTGGGTGGCAGAGCAAGACTCTGTCTCAAAAAAAAAAAAAAAGTTCTTAAAAAGTAGTGTATTAGAGAAACTTAGAAAAGTGGAAAATGATTAAGAAATGAAAGTCACATGGCCAGGTACGGTGGCTCATGCCTGTAATCCCAGCACTTTGGGAGGCCCAGGTGGGCAGATCACTTGAGGTCAGGAGTTCCAGACCAACCTGGCCAACATGGTGAAACCCCGTCTACTAAAAAATACAAAAAATTAGCTCAGCGTGGTGGCAGGCACCTGTAATCCCAGCTATTTGGGAGGCCGAGGCATGAGAATGGCTTGAACTTGGGAAGCGGAGGTTGCAGTGAGCTGGGATCGCACCACTGCACTCCATCCTGGGTAACAGAGCAAGACTCTGTCTCAAAAAAAAAAAAAAAAAAAAAAAAAAGTCACTCTTATCCCATCATCCAAAATGTGGATATTTTGGTGTATTTTCTTCTACCAAGTCAGCAACAAATGATATTGCTTCTCCCCCAATATGAAAATAGTGTCTAATTAGAAGAGTAAAAATAAAAAATAGCATGTGAAGTATAAAATGCATTAAGCAAAAGTGAAGGAAACCAGCAGTCCTTCCTACTCTACTGTTTTGGAACTTTTTACTTTACACAAATAGTGAATCACCGTCTCTTGAGATAAATTCATGTCTGAGTCAGCCTTTTTAAGAGCCCTGCAATATTGTTACAAATAACATTGGCAGGCCCTCCTGGGCACACCTTGCATGCTGGCCTGGGTGTTTCCTTTGTATTAAGGTCACTTCCTAGGGTTGGGAGAAATGGCAGAGTCCAAGGTCTTGCATATTTTACATTTTGGCACATACTGCCAAATTTCTGAAGTAAAAATTGAACTTCCAACGGTGGGTAGTTCTCCTGCCAACACTGAGAGTACCAATCTCTGAAATCTTGACTAATATGATAGGTAAAAAATGAGTTCATTTTGAAAATTTGTATTTCCTTATATTTTGTTTGTATTTATTGTATTTCTATTTAAAATTAAGCTAGTGGTTTTTCTTAGGGATTTATAAGTCTGGTATAAAACAGTGACTTTGGACCAGTTAGCCCAGTAACTTTCATTGAATAATCTCTCTTTTCTCCTGCAATTTAATATACCAGATTTATTATATACAGTATTCCCAATTTGTTGGAGTTTATTTCTGTCCATAAGCCAGGCATGGTGACTCACGCCTACAGTCCCAGCATTTGGGGAGGCCATGGTGGGAGGATCGCTTGAGCCCAGGAGTTCGAGATCAGCCTGGGCAGCATAGTGAAACCTCATCTCTACAAAATTTTTTTTAAAAATTAGCTGAGCTTAGTGGCATGCCCTATAGTCCCAGCTACTTGGGAGGCTGAGGTAGGAGGTTCACTTGAGCCCAGGAAGTCAAAGTTGCAGTGAGCTGTGATTGTGCCACTGTACTGCAGCCTGGGTGACAGAATGAGACCCTGTCTAAAAAAAATTGAAGTAAAATAAATATTTCTGTCCATTGTTCTCTCCAGTACCGCACTGTTTTTGTTTTGTTTGCTTGTTTTTGAGACAGAGTCTCGCTGTGTTGCCCAGGCTGGAGTGCAGTAGTGCAATCTCAACTCACTACAACTTTAGCCTCCCAGGTTCAAGTGATTCTCCTGCCTCAGCCTGCTGAGTAGCTGGGATTACAGGCCTGTGCCACCATGCCTAACTGATTTTTGTATTTTTAGTAGAGATGGGGCTTCACCATGTTGGCCAGGCTGGTCTTGAACTCCTGACCTCAAGTGATCCGCCCATTTTGGCCTCCCAAAGTGCTGGGATTACAGGCATGAGCCACAGTGCCCTGCCCAGTACTACACTGTTTTAATCGCTGTAATCTTTTTTTTTTTTTTTTTCTGGAGACAGGGTCTCACTCTGTCTCAGAGTCTAGCGAGTATAGAGTGTATGGCCTGCCTGCTGGGCCACCGCAGCCTTCTGGTCTTCTGGCCTTTGCCTGGACTGACTGCCCTGACTGCCAGCTGTGTCTCTGGGAGGAAGGGAGCAACATAGATGAGCCCTGTTTAGGATTATGGATGAACCCAGCTGCCCTCCCCGAGGCTAGAGGGCAGGGGCTTGTCACTCTGGCTGGTTCCTCTCCTGCCCTGGCTCTGCCTTCTTGCTGGGCTGGCTGCCACTCATCCCGGTGGTTGAGGTCAGCACTATTAATAGCCAGCTTAATCCTGCGGGAGCTTGGGTGAAGGGAGGAAAGAGCAGAGAATCGCCAAGAAATCAGGGTGCTCAGCTATCTGCAGGTGTGGACCCAGGGCCCAAGCCTGTGGCTTCCAGTCAGTCCAGCCCGCACCTCTCCCATGGGAGGGCCTGAGAGCGCGGGAACATCCTGGGCCCCTGGGATCTCAGAGGCTGGACCTTCCTGGGAGACTCATTGAGTAAGATGCAGAGGACTCCTTCTTGGGTGGTGGGAGTCCCTGGTCTGCTCTGGGGCCCCTGGCTTTTCCCCATGAGAAAAAGCAGCTGGAGCTGGTGAGTAGGGCCCTCTCATGGCCCCTGTGGACTTTGTAACCCAGCACCTATAATACGGTTTTCTTAAGGACTTCAAGGGGCTGTAAAGTCTTTTTTTATGGAGGGCGGGGAAGGAGGACGCAGCAGTTTGCTAAAATGGGCATTGTGCAGGGTGGGGCCATCCTTTCTGTATCCAGCAGGGGTGTGGAGCACCTGCTGTGCTAGGCATAGTGGGAGGGGTTGGGGTAGCATGGCGAGGAGCGAGGGCACTACTCAGGCCTCGCCAGGCTGCAGCCTGGTCAGTGGGAGATAGACGCCGGTCAGCCGATGGCACAGAGCTGTGAAGGGAAGAAATGGGTCGGGATCCAGGGCCCTAAAAGACAACATGGCTAACACCCAGGGCTAACGTTTGAGCCCAGGGCAGAAGGATAAAGAGGTGACACGGAGGCTGGGGAGCAGGAGGAGCTGTGAGGGACTCAGGCAGGGCTGGGATCCTCCTTGCCCTTGTGCCAGCTGTGAGGGAGGCTGAGGCTGGCACCTGTGGTCTGCCCAGCCCTCCGGGGTTTCTGGAGGCCTCACATGGTGTTCTTTGACTGTGGAGGGCACGGTCCCACCTGGCTGCTGCTGGACAGAGGTCGCTGGAGGGCAGAGTGGGCAAGCATGCCGCCAGGCAAAGCCTGGAGAAGACAGTGGGGACAGCCAGGGTGCCAGGAACCTTCTTTCTGGACCCCCTTTCTTGCAGTGCTTGGAAAGGGCTTGGGGAGGCTCAGGAACCCTGAAGTCCCAGAGGAAGCGGTATTAGAATTTTATTTTATTTTATTAGTTAATTTTTTTTTTTTTTGAGACAGAGTCTGTGTCGCCCAGGCTGGAGTACAGTGGTGCGATCTCGGCTCACTGCAACCTCCGCCTCCTAGGTTCAAGTGATTCTCCTGCCTCAGCCTCCTGAGTAGCTGGGATTACAGGCCCGCGCCACCACGCCTGGCTAATTTTTGTATTTTTAGTAGAGACGGTGTTTCACCATGTTGGTCAGGCTGGTCTTGAACTCCTGACCTCGTGATCCACCCACCCCCCGCCCCCGGCCCTCCAAAATGCTGGGATTACAGGCGTGAGCCAACACACCCGGGCTAGAATTTTTTTTTTTTTTTTTTTTTTTGAGACGGAGTCTTGCTGTTGCCCAGGCTGGAGTGCAGTGGCGTGATCTCGGCTCACTGCAGGCTCCGCCTCCCGGGTTCACGCCATTCTCCTGCCTCAGCCTCCCAAGTAGCTGGGACTACAGGCGTCCACCACCTCACCCGGCTAATTTTTTGTATTTTTAGTAGAGATGGGGTTTCACCGTGTTAGCCAGGATGGTCTCGATCTCCTGACCTCGTGATCCACGCGCCTCGGTCTCCCAAAGTGCTGAGATTACAGGCGTGAGCCACCGCACCCGGCCTAGAATTTTTTTTTAAAGTTAATTTGATGGATGTGTTTTTTTGTTTGTTTATTTATTTGTTTTTTTGAGACAGAGTTTAACTCTTGTTGCCCAGGCTGGAGTGCAATGGCACGATCTCGGCGCACTGCAACCTCCACCTCCCAGATTCAAGCGATTCTCCTGCCTCAGCCTCCCGAGTAGTTGGGATTACAAGCATGTGCCACCATGCTTGGCTAATTTTGTATTTTTAGTAGAGATGGAGTTTCTCCATGTTGGTCAGGCTGGTCTCAAACTCCCCACCTCAGGTGATCCGCCTGCCTCGGCCTCCCAAAGTGCTGGGATTACAGGCATGAGCCACCGCGCCCGGCCTAATGGATGTGTTTTTTTTTTCTCATTATGAGATTAATACTATTGGCTGGGCATGGTGGCTCACCCTTGTAATCCCAGCACTTTGGGAGGCCGAGGTGGGCGGATGGATCACTTGAGGTTGGGAGTTAGAGACCAGCCTAGGGAACATGATAAAATCTCATCTCTACTAAAAATACAAAAATCCAGCTGGGCACAGTGGCTCATGTCTGTAATCCCAGCACTTTGGGAGGTTGAGGCGGGTGGATCACCTGAGGTCAGAAGTTCGAGACCAGCCTGGCCAGTATGGTGAAACCCTGTCTCTATTAAAAATACAAAAATTAGCTGGGCATGGTGGCCTGTGCCTGTAGTCCCAGCTACTCGGGAGGCTGAGAGAGGATAATTGCTTGATCCGGGGAGATGGAGGTTGCAGTAAGCTGAGATCGCACCACTGCACTCCAGCCTGAACAACAGAGTGAGACTCTGTCTCAAAAAAAAAAAAAAAAAAATTAAAATACAAAAATTAGCCAGGCATGGTGGTGCATGCCTATAGTCCCAGCTACTCAGGAGGCTGGTGATCCACCTGCCATGGCCTCCCAAAGTGCTGGGATTTCAGGTGTAAGCCACAGCGCCCAGCCCGTAAAATTGTATTTTAATGAGCTACCTTATGTTATTATTGGTGTCCATTCAATTGGCTGATTAGATTTTGGGGGTGGCATCGGCTGGGTACAGTGGCTCATGCCTGTAATCCCGGCACTTAGGGAGGCTGAGGTGGGTGGATCACCTGAGGTCAGGAGCTCGAGACCAGCCTGGCCAACATGGTGAAATTCCGTCTCTACTAAAAATACAAAAAATTAGCTGGGTGTGGTGGCGGGCGCCTGTAATCCCAGCTAGTCAGGAGGCTGAGGCAGAAGAATCCACTGCACTTGAGCCTGGGCAAAAGAGAAAGACTCCGTCTCAAAAAAAAAAAAAAGAAAGAAACATGGAAATTAAAACAATACATCTACAGCTAAAAATCCACATTTTTCAAAGTAGTCCTTAGTCAATGAAAAATGACTGAGGAAATATAGCAAAATGTTAGTATTTGCTTGAGCCATATAAAATTGCTGATATTCAATTATATTTTACCAAAACCAGCAATTCATGTGGCTTAATCTACATATGGGGGATTCAGGATGGTTTCTATTTTCTGTTTTCTTTTTATATTTTCCTATATAAAAAATTCCAAATTTTTCATAATCAATAGTATTAATTTCTTTTTTTCTTTGAGATGGAGTCACTCGCTCTGTTGCCCAGGCTGGAGTGCAGTGGCATGATCTTGCCTCACTACAACCTCCACCTCCTGGGTTCAAGCAATTCTGCGCCTGAAATCTCAGCACTTTGGGAGGCCGAGGTGGGCTGAACACTTGAGATCAGGAGCAGGAGAGTAGCCTGGCCAACATGGTGAAACCCCATCTCTACTAAAAATACAAAAAATTAGCCGAGTGTGGTGGCAGGTGCCTGTAATCAGGCAGACTGAGGTGGGAGAATCACTGGAACCTGTGAGGTGGAGATTGCAGTGAGCTGAGATCACGCCACTGCACTCCAGCCTGGGTGACAGAGTGAGACTCCAGCTCAAAAAAAAAAAAAAAACCACACACACACAAAAATACAATTTTATTAGAATTTATACAATGAGAATCCTAAATATAAGCCCTAAATTGATCTGCTTATTTTAGATGTTAAATCAGTTAGCAATAATTTCCGAAGTATAGAAACTTCTAAATTAGTAAAATCTAAAATAATTCTTTCCATCTTCGGCCTCCCTTCCCCTTCCCCGCTCCCCTTCCCCTCACTGGTTACTTTTCTCCTCCTGCTAAATGGATGTAGAGGCACAAAGAAAGACAGGAGGGACTGGTCACGGTGGCTCACACCTGTAATCCCAGCACTCTGGGAGGCCGAGGAGGGTGGATCACCTGAGGTCAGGAGTTCGTGACCAGCCTGACCAACATGGTGAAACCCCATCTCTACTAAAAATACAAAAAATTAGCTGGGTGTGGTGGCGGGCGCCTGTAATCCCAGCTACTTGGCAGGCTGAGGCAGGAGAATCCCTTGAACCTGCTAGGTGGAGGTTGCAGTGAGCTGAGATCGCGCCACTGTACTCCAGCCTGGCGACAGAGCAAGACTACATCTCAAAAAAAAAAGAGAGGAGGTCAGGCTCACCGTCCCATGGGCCTGATAACTGGGACAGAGCTGCCCTAAAGGGAGACAGGAGTGTTGGGGGGATGGGCATGAGCTGGGTTTTGGCTGCGTTAATTTCAAGGTATTAGTGACGTCAGGCAGCACTTGGATAGAGGAATCTGGAGGGCACGGGAGAGGACAGGGCTGCAGAGATTTATTTGGGACACTTGTACACTTGTATTTAAAGTTGCTAGGCAAGGGACCAGGTGTACAGACTGAGTTCTGAGT
Source organism: Homo sapiens (assembly GCF_000001405.40). Lineage (NCBI taxonomy): Eukaryota > Metazoa > Chordata > Mammalia > Primates > Hominidae > Homo > Homo sapiens. The sequence goes on from NC_000002.12 coordinate 96,793,078, forward strand.
CTCTCCAGCATTTAAGTGGTCAGGGAGAAGCAGTGACTCCTGAGGTCAGGAGCACTGGGAGGGCTGTGCCCTGGAAGCCCTGGGCAGAAAGGGCTTCCAGGGGAAAGGAGGGAGTCACCGTTGGTCAGCAGGTCATCTGAGAATAACACTCCACCATGAAAGGTCATTGGTGACCTTGACCAGAGGCTCTCTGGCCCGGGGAGGGGAAAATTCTACCAGGACAAAAAGATGTCCCCTCTGGACAGACAAATTAGAAAATAGGAAAAACAGCCCAGGGGCCCAAAGCTCACCCTGCAGAGGGTGACTGACTGGCCCCTTAGGCTGGAACCTCTGTACGGAACCCCAGTTGGCCAGCCATCAGGCAGTGCCCAAAGCTCAGCTTGCAGAGGAGGGGTGAACGTGTACATGGTGCTCAGGGCTGTACACCTACAAGGTGCCTGTCATGCAGCTGGCTGCCACCCGAGGGTGCACACACACAGCAGTGGATCCCGCCAAGGGGTCTCAGAGAGGAGGCGGGGGGCGGAGAATGGTATCAAGACCCTGCTCAGGGAATCAGCTCATTTCATCCGCAGGAGGGCTGTTTCCACTATAAGAGAGGCTGCCAGGCCGGGCGCGGTGGCTGACATCTGTAATCCCAGCACCCTGGGAGGCCAAGGCAGAATGATCACTTGAGGTCAGGAGTTCGAGACCAGCCTGGCCAACCTGGCGAAACCCCGTCTCTACTAAAAATGCAAAATTAGCTGGGTATGGTGGCGCACACCCAGCTACTCAGGAGGCTGAGGCAGGAGAATCGCTTGAACCTGGGAGGTGAAGGTTGCAGTGAGCTGAGATTGTACCACTGTACTCCAGCCTGGGCCACTCCAGCCTAGGCTACACAGTGAGAGTCTGTCTCAAAAAAAATAAAAACAGAGAGAGGCCAGCAGCCTTTCACTGTGAGGGAACCTTTCGTTGGTCAGGATTTGGTCTGAGCCTGTGGAGTAATTAGGGATGTGAATGTAGTGGAGAGGTTGTTTTCTGACTTTGGGGGTCTGAACAAGGTTCTGCTCACTGAACCTTGTCAAAGAACACACCCCCATTCCCTGGGGCTCGATCTGTGGCAGTAAAAAGCACAGAGGGCCCTTGTCCACCCTAGAGACTCTCACCAGTTTCCCTTTGTTCTCCTTAATTTTGTTTTCCCCCTTAATTTTGTCTCAGTTTTGTTTTTAAATTATAAAAGTAAAACATGCCCATCAAATATAACAGTATAGAAGGGTATATAGAGAGGCAAAATAGCCTCCTCCCCAAACTCCAAATACCCCCAAAGGTGACCACTCTTACTACTTCTGGACGCTTCCAGGGCAGTTCAAGCCCACACACGCCTTTGTTTCTGTGAAGGCAGATGGCTCCATGCATTCTGTTCCGTGACTTGCTCTTTCACTAATAGCGTATCTTGGATTTCGTTCCGCGCTTTATTCATCCACCTCTGCCGTGTTCTCCCTTGAGTAGCTGTGGCCCCTTTTGAGTCCCTGTGCCCTATTGCTATTGCTTTAGGTTGTTTCTGGTTTGGGGCTGTTAAAAAGAATGTTGCCAAGAGCCCCCTTCTCTTGTGTCTTTTGTGAAGGTTGCCTCTCCCTAGGGTGAGTTCCTAGAAGTGGACCTTCTAAGTCCAAGGTTAGGAACCCTTGATTTTGTGACATCCTGACCAACTGGCCCCCTGAAATGTACCCTTTTACCTGGCCACCAACCAGATACATGTGAGGGCCTGTTTGTCTTCCCCATCCTCCACCATAACTGGGCATTACCAGGCTTTTTAGAGGGTGCCCATCTGGAAGGGGGTACAGGTTGGGCATCCCGAATCCAAAAATCCAAAATCCCAAATGCTCCAAAATCCAAAACTTTTTGAGTACCAACATGATGCTCAAAAGAAATGCTCATTGGAGCATTTTGTAGTTCAGATTTTCAGATTTGGGATGCCCAATGGCGTGTATTCTGCAAATATTCCAAAATCCAAAAAAATCTGAAATCTGAAACACTTCTGATCCCCAGTGAGGAATAAGGGATACTCAGCCTGTCAAAGCTGCCTTGCTTTAATTCCCATCCCCATGTGGTGACATGGTTTAGCTAGATGCCCAGGCCCTTCCAGGCACTGTCTTTCTGGAGGGCACTCCTGTATGGACAGCCTCCAGCAGGCACAGAGGCCTGGGGGCGGACCCCAGGGTCCCGGCCTGGCCCGCTGCCGCCCTGCTGGAGGGCCTCACAGATCTCTTGAACTTGTTGGCTCATCTCTAGGAAGATACTGGGGTATTTTCAATCGAGTCCAGCCATGGCTTTGTCTAGCAAGACGCTAAATGTTTTTTGACCAGAACCTGTAGTGGGAAATACATATATCATAGCCCCTGGCATGTGTGTGAAAAACTTTCACAATGCAGTACCCCCCCCCCCATCACATGGGGTGTATTGTGAGAATTTTTACTTTAGTCATGAGACCTCACATTCTCTCTGCTCTCCCTAAGAGGCCCTTAGAAGTTCTTAACAGCCCATCTTGGGCTGGGGGATTTTCTGTGGCCTTAAAGACCTGGAAAACATCCTCCACCGAGGGTATTTAGGATGAGTTCTTTAGTCCCTAGAGCGAGGCCCTTGGATTGTGAAGGGGAAGCCATGCAGAAGACCCTGACTTGACCTTCCCAGATTTCCGGGGGCCTTTCTTCCTAGGCTGCTCCAAACCTGTGTTCCTGCGAGTGGGGTATGGCACACAGGACTCATTCCACCTAGACTGTGGACCTAGCCCTTCTTGGCTGGACCCTCTTGCCACTCATGGGGCTGGGGCCATAAGAACAGGGTGTGGCCTTCAAAAAGGGGTCTGGGAAGACCCACCACCCCACAGGGTTTCTGTGGAGGGTCCTGCCCCATGCCAGCCTCCTTCCCTCACTTTGGGTTGAGGGGGTGGCCCCTCTCTAATTGTAGTCTCTGCCCCACCTAATCACAGTGCTCGGCCTCTCTGTGCCCTTGTCAGTTTGGGTCTTTCCCCTCCCCAAGAGTTCCAGAAGCCCCTGATAAGTGATACCAGACAGGGTCTTTTTTTTTTTTTTTTTTTTTTTTTTTTTTTGAGACAGAGTCTTGCTCTGTTGCCCAGGCTGGAGTGCAGTGGCGTGATCTCGGCTCACTGCAACCTCTGCCTCCCGGGTTCAAGCAATTCTCCTGCCTCAGCCTTCCGAGTAGCTGGGACTACAGGTGTGTACTACCACACCTAGCTGATTTTTGTATTTTTAGTAGAGATGGGGTTTTACCGTGTTGGCCAGGCTGGTCTCAAACTCCTGGCCTCAAGCAATCTGCCCGCTTCAGCCCGTCCAAGGTGCTGGGATTACAGATGTGAGCCATTGCTCCCAGCATTGCCATTTTTATCCGATTTAAACAAGTAGTCCTGGCCTGGCGTGGTGGCTCATTCCTGTATTCCCAGCACTTTGGGAGGCTGAGATGGGAGGACTGCTTGAGCCCAGGAGTTTGAGACCAGCTTGAGCAACATAGCGAGATCCATCTCTACAAAAAATAAAAGAGTTAGCCAGGCATGGTGGAGCACACCTGTGGTCTCAGCTACTCGGGAGGCTGAGGTGGGAGGATCTCTTGAGCCCAGAAGTTGGCGGCTGCAGTGAGCTATGATTGCGCCACTGCACTCCAGCCTGGGTAACAGAGCTAGACCCTGTCCTTCCTCCACAAAAACAGAGAAAAACAAAAAAGTGGTCCTTAACGACATGCTTTTAAAAATTACTTTTAGTTTTCCTTTTCATAAAAGCAATGTCTGTTTGCAGTAGAAACGTCAGGAAAGATGGAAAAGATAAAAACCACCATGACCCCATCCTGGTGACTTATGACCCTACGTCTAGAGTTAATGTTTTGGTTGAGGGAGTCTCATGACTGGCCTCTGGGCTCTTGTCTGACTTGCTGCATTGTCCCACAGGGAAGTCCCACCTGGCCATCGTGCAGAAGGTAAACAACGAGGGTGAGGGTGACCCCTTCTACGAGGTCCTGGGCCTGGTCACCCTGGAGGACGTGATCGAGGAGATCATCAAGTCGGAGATCCTGGACGAGTCCGACATGTACAGTGAGTCCAGCCTTCCACAGGGCCCAGGACCCCTTTCCTGCTTGGATCGAAACTTGGTGTCCCTAGCTGGAAGGGCCATAGTGCAGGGACACAGGAGGCCTAGCATCCAGAGGCCCAGTGGCTGGGTGCCCTGCACTGGCCGGGGTGAGCAGGGAGCAGGTTGCTGAGAGCAGTGCCCGGAGGCTGCCTTCACCCTCGGCCTTTGTGCCTCGGCGTCAGCCCAGGACCCTGCCAGCCAGAGCCTGCTGCTCCTGCGTGGGACTAGGGGCTGGAGAGCAGGAGCTGCGGGGCGGGTTCCAGTCTCTTCCTAAGTCCTCAGGGGTCTGTGTTCTCAATTCCACGCTCTTCTTCCGGCAGCTGACAACCGAAGCCGGAAGCGGGTGTCTGAGAAGAACAAGCGTGACTTCTCTGCCTTCAAGGATGCGGACAATGAGCTCAAAGTGAAAATCTCCCCGCAGCTCCTCCTGGCCGCTCATCGCTTCCTAGCCACAGGTAGCATGAGGAGGACCTTCCGGTCTTGGTGGAAATACGGTCACGGGGGAGAAGTCCTGGGTTTCCGGCTGCTTTCCCCCCATAGGACGAGGGCTGCAGCAGGTGAGGGGTGCAGAGACAACACAGCCACCCCTGGAAGGGGCCGGGTATCTGCTCCACCCCTGGGGATCTCCCTGCGATTCATTTGCCATTAATGGGCGGCTACTGCAAACTTCTAGGAAGCATCCAAGTTACTATATTTAATAGTTTGGGAAATAATGACTAGGCACTATGGCTTATACCTGTAATCCCAGCACTTTGGGAGGCCGAGGCAGGAGGATTGCATGAGCCCAGGAGTTCGAGACCAGCCTGAGCAACATGGCGAGACCCCATCTCTACAAAAAATACAAAAGCCAGGCATGGTGGTGCCCTCCTGTAGTCCCAGCTACTTGGGAGGCTATGAGGTGGGACAGTTGCATGTCTGTGGTCCCAGCTACTCAGGAGGCTGATGTGGGAGGACCGCTTGAGCCCAGGAGTTTGAAGCTGCAGTAAGTTGTGAATGCACCACTGCACTCAGCCTGGGCCACAGAACAAGATTCTGTCTCAAAAATAACAAAAAAGAAAATAACCACTGAGGTGGGCCCCTAGGCTGGCCAGGCCCATCAGGGCTTGTGGAATGGGAAGGAGAAGGGACGCTTCCCCTTCTGCAGGCCTGCTGGGTGTGGCTGGACCCCTCGTGTGCTCACCCACTCTGAGGAGCTTGCATCCAGCTCTGCTCTTACTCTCCAGCTCTCCCCTTTGCAGACGTGTGCTGGTTCCCGCAGGAATTCACTTCTAGTTCAGAGACATTTCTCTCTTTTCAGCCCTGATTCAAAGCTCCACTGGGGACTTGGGTGACAGGTTCTGCTCTGCCCGCTCTGTCCCCCTCTTCCCCTGGCCCAATTCATCTTCCTTCCCACCCCTTACTTGCTAAAGGGGTGGCAATTCCCTCTCCATTATTTTTCCTGTGGGATATTGATGCTGATGCAATAATTATAGTCTATATATTTTAGTATATATGGACAGCACATATATACTAAGTGCTGTCCATGTGCTATCCCATTCACCCTCACAACCACCCTGTGAAGCTTTTACCCCCATATTACAGATGAGGAAACTGAGATGCAGGTTAAGTAATTTGCCCAAGGTCATGTGCTGTTCTTGCAGGAGCCACTGTTCAAGCCCAGGCAGGCAGGCAGCCTTGTATCCAACCAGTCAGAAGCCAAGCGTGCTCCCTCCCCAGGGAGGTGCAGAACGAGGGCCGGCCGAGCAGGGCGGGAGTCGTCTGAGCACAGCGTGGCTGCTGTGGTTGGGGTGGAGGCACAGCAGTGATCGAGCTTTAGGGCCACCTGGCCAGCCCCGTGTGAGGTCTCTTCTCTCTCCTCCTACAGAGGTCTCTCAGTTTAGCCCCTCCCTGATATCAGAGAAGATCCTGCTGCGGCTACTCAAGTACCCAGATGTCATTCAGGAACTCAAGTTTGACGAGCACAATAAGTACTACGCCCGCCATTACCTGTACACCCGAAATAAGCCGGCCGACTACTTCATCCTCATCCTGCAGGTGAGCCCGCTCAGCCCTGGGCCTGCCACCTGCTCCCCCTGGCACTGCAGCAACCCCCAGGCCCTCTCTCCCACCTGCTGCGGAGGTGCATGGCTTCCCTGCCTGGGGAGCCTGCTGCCTGCCCTTGAGCCCCGCCTGCCCCACGTGGCCATCCTCTCCCTGAGAGGCCACTCTTGATCTCACAGGTCAGGCCCCTGAGCTCTCCAGGGCTCCAGTACCGGCCCTTCCTCCTGCCCCACTGTCCCTTGTTCCTCACTCCCCATCCTGCCTCATCCTTTGTTTCCTCCCTCACTTGGTCTCTAACTCCAGCCCTGTGTTTTTTCAGGGGAAGGTGGAGGTGGAGGCAGGGAAGGAGAACATGAAGTTTGAGACGGGCGCCTTCTCCTACTATGGGACTATGGCCCTGACCTCGGTCCCCTCCGGTGAGTTGTTGGGCATGGTCTTTGCTGCCCTTTGGCCCCCCTGCAGCTGGGGAGCCATGGACCGACACCAGAACTGAGCATGGGCCCGAGAGCTCATAGCCAGCTGGCTGGGGCAGAGGGAGGCTGGTGAGGCGGGAGCCGCCAGGGCCTGGAGCGGGTGGTGTGGAAGAGCAGAGGGAGCTGCCACTTTGGATGGGGTCCAGAAGCTGGAGGGGAAAAGAGGAGTGAGGGATTTTAGAGTAAAGGCCTGGAGGCAGCGGAGGGCATGTCCAGAGGTTGTGAGGAGACCAGCCTGCTTGGAGAGGAGGCCTGTGGGGAGGAAGGCCCAGGGCCCTGCTCCTGAGGACAGGAGGGGAGTCTGAGCATCCAAAGTGACTGGGGTCAGGAGCCAGGCCAGGGCCTGTTTGCCAGGGCAGGCTGCAGATGGGTTTGGCTTTTCGGAGGACGCGGCTACTGGGTTTTGGTTAGAGGTCAGCTCCGATGGAATAAAGGGCCTTGGGGACAGACAGAAGGGAGACTGGGCACCCTCCGAGAGGTGTTATGGAAGGTCCGGGGATGCGCCACTCTGGCCGCCCCAGTGCCCTCTCCTGTGCTGAGTGGCTCAGGCTTTCCCCGCAGAGCCCCACAGACAAGGCCCCGCAGGCCCAGGTCTCGCCAGCTCATCTCCTCGCTCCTCTCCAGGCTTCGGTCCTGGGGCGAGGTTGCTGCAGGGTAGAGAGAGAAAGTCCACTTTGGTGCTGGAGAACAGGCCACGCCAGTGGGGTACGAGCTGCAGCTCCCAGAGAACCTCTGTGCTGTGCCTCTCACTGTCCTTTGACAAAAAGGACCCCGAGGGGGAACGGGGGTAGGGCACCCATGAATACTGACACCCAGCTTGGCTTATCCACCATGTCCTCGGCCCCTCCACCAGATGAGTGGGGCATGGCAGGCTCCCTGGGCAGGGGACAGACAGGGCCCCAGAGCGGGGCTCTGAGCAGGTTAACCCTATCAGATGCCTCAGGCCTGGGGATGACTTCCTGTGCCTCCAAGAGCAGCTGTTCTCTGTTCAGTTTGAGGAAATCTCATTCAGAAGGGCGGGCAGGCACGGGAGGCTTCCCCCAGGCACTGTTTGTGCAGTGAAGCCTCAGAGGCCCGGTTAGGGCCCAGGCTCTGTCCGTTGACCCATAGTCTCTCTGTTCCCACTTGGTGTGGCCAGAAGAGAGGGGAGATGACTGGGCACACTCAGCCAGCTTCTGCCTGTCTCCGCACAGGGCTCACCGCTGTGCCCTGAGCACCCTTCCCAGCAGAGCCATGTCCCTTTCTCCACTGGGCCCATCTCTGCCCAAAGCAGCCTGGCCCCGTCAGGTCTGCCTCTGTCCTGTGCCTGTGGTTCCGTGTCCTGTCTCCTGACTGCGCCCATCACTGACCTTCTCTTTTGCTCCAGTGCCTTCAGTCCAGGTCGGGTGTCCGCCTGGCAAGCGGAACTCCCTGCTCTGCTGGCTCACAGGTAACGTGGCACAGCTGAGGGTCACGCTGCCACCTGCTGCCTGTGCCTGCACACTGCAGCTGCATTAACCTCCCCACATGGACCCGGACCCCCGCCTGCTCAATGTGGGCCGCCAGACCTCAGTGGCTCTGCTTGGCTGGGGCCCAATTTCTAGGCAGCTTTGCTGCCTCAGCTCTAGAAGGGGCCCCCAAAGATCTCTTGGTGCTTGAGATCACACACTCATAGACACATACACACAGAGACACACAGAGAGATACACATACAGATACACATAGCCATAGATACACGCAGAGACACACACAGTGAGAGACCACATGCAGAGAGACCGCACACACAGAGAGAGACCACACACACACAGAGACCACACACAGAGAGAGACCACACACAGAGATAGCACACACACAGAGAGACCACACACACACAGAGACCACACACAGAGATAGCACACACACAGAGAGACCACACACACAGAGACCACACACAGAGACCACACGCAGAGAGACCACACACATGCAGAGAGACCACACACACACACACACAGAGACCACACGCAGAGAGACCACACACACGCAGAGAGACCACACACATGCAGAGACCACACACACCCAGAGACCACACACCCAGACACACACACAGACAGAGATACTACAGACACCCATAGACAGAGATATCACACACAGAAACACACATGCAGATACACCCATAGACACACAGATGCCACAGAGGCATACACAGAGAAACACCCGTAGACACACCAGGATACACATACACACATAGATACACCACTCATAGACACACAAACACACACCCATAGGCACACACCCATAGGCACACACACAAAGAGACACACACAGACACACACCCATGGACACACACACACACAGAAGCACCCACCCATAGGCACACACACAGACACACACAGATACACATCCATAGACACACAGACACACAGGTATATATACACAGATACACCCATAGACACACAAACACAGAGACACACAGATACCACACACAGACACACACAGATACACCCATAGACACACACACACACAGATACCACACACTGAAACACACATCCATAGACACATACACACAGAAACACAACCACAGACACACACACATGCACACCCAGAGGATAGGCTGGGAGTGGAGGGTTGCTCCTGGCCCAGCCAAGTGAGCACCGGCCAGCCTGCTGCCCTCCACGGCCAAGAGGAGACGCACCCCAGCGGGTAAGCACTTCCTGCTCCAGGCCACCCACACACCGTGTCAGGGTGACTTGTCATCTCATCAGCTTTCTCTAAAAGACTTTCCGATTTTCTTCACAAGCTTTGCTTCCCGTTCAGCTGCTGGCCCAGTAGGCAACTGCGAGGCCATGAGGGGCATGGCCCCGGGTCAGACTGCCTAGTCAAGAGCCACCTCCACAGTTGCTGGCTAAATGATAGTCTTTGTTTCTGCTTTCCCCTCTGTGAAATGGGAACAATGCGTGTACCCCCTTCATAAGAGTTATCAGGAGAGTACGTGAGAGAATTCATGTAAAATGTTGAGTTAGAGCTCAATTATTATTATTTCTGTTTTTTCCTGATTACAATGAAAATGTGGTGTTCCAACCAGAAAGTCTTTCAGGAAAGGCCAGTGCCATATGCTGCTTCTGGCCTTGGATGTGTCATGCTCCTGATGCCTGTCCGGGGAGTCGGTGGGAATAGGGTCAGACTCATTCAGCTTGAGGCTTGCTGGGATTCCCGTGTGCAACCAGGCCGCAGAGGGCACAGGACGGTGCTGGTCTCATCAGGTGTGGCCTGTGCCCATCAGGAGCAGCACCAGCATCTTTCAGCTCCTCACACCCCAACTGCCCTAAAAACCCGTCACCTCAGCCCGGGGATATCCATTTTACATTTGTACAGCTGGGCCTTCTTCCATCTGAACTGTTCCAAGGTATACTCTGCTATTTTGACCCTCTGTTTAATAAATAAATAAGTAGATGAAAAGGTGACTTAGAAGCAGTTACTCCCTGTCCCTTTCAAACCTCCCCAGTGTGACCTCAGCCTCCCTCCCCTCCTCTGGGCTTGCTCTGGTTTCATGGATGGCCGGGAGGTGATGCACCTGTGGTTTGAATCCTGAGAGCAGGTGTGCCCTCATTGATTAATTCTCCACTTTACGCTTTATGCATATTCATGGGGGTCTTTATTATAAACAATACCATGATATAAACTTTTTTATGCAAAAAAGCAAAAAACTTTCCCTGTGTTTAAGGTTATGTCCTTAGGATATCCTTTCAACAATGAAATTACCAGGTCAAAACCTTGCAGTTGGCCGTGCGCGGTGGCTCATGCCTGTAATCCCAACACTTTGGGAGGCCGAGGTGCGTGGATTGCCTGAGGTCGGGAGTTCGAGACCAGCCTTGGCCAACATGGTGAAACCCCATCTCTACTAAAAATACAAAAATTAGCCGGGCGTGGTGGCAGGTGCCTGTAATCCCAGCTACTTGGGAGGCTGAGGCAAGAGAATCGCTTGAACCCAGGAGGCGGAGGTTGCAGTGAGCTGAGATCGTGCCATTGCGCTCTAGCCTGGGCAACAAGAGCGAAACTCTGTCTAAAAAAAAAAAAACCTTGCAGTTTTTGTTTTATTTATTTTTTGCTTTACTCATAAAAGTAAGGTAGCTTATTGGGAAAATAGAAAAAAGTCTTGAAAAAATTAAAAAGTATCATAATTTCATCTCTCAGAGACAAAATGGATTTTGGTGAATTTTTTCTAGGACCTCTGTTTTTTTGTTTGTTTGTTTTAAGAGACACGTTCTTTCTCTGTCACCTAGGCTGGAGAGCAGTGGTGCAATCATAGCTCACTGCAGCCTCAACCTCATGGGCTCAAGTGACCCTCCCACCTCAGCCTCCCAAGTAGCTGGGACTACAGGCAGGTGCCACCATGCTGGGCAATTTTTTTTTTAACTTTTTGTAGAGATGGGGGTCTCACTATGTTGTCCAGGCTGGTCTCAAACTCCTAGACTTCCCCCACCTCAGCCTCTCAAAGCACTGGGATTACAGGCATGAACCACTGCACCTGGCCGGACCTCTAATCTTAATAGGTCACGTCACTAATTTTTTTTTTTTTTTTTTTTTGAGATGGAGTCTTGCTGCGACGCCCAGGCTGGAGTGCAGTGGTGCGATCTTGGCTCCCTGCAACCTCCACTTCCCGGGTTCAAGTGATTCTCCTGCCTCAGCTTCCCGAGTAGCTGGGACTACAGGCGTGCGCCAGGAACCCCCAGCTAAGTTTTGTATTTTTTTTTTTTTGAGATGGAGTCTTGACCCTGTCGCCCAGGCTGGAGTGCAATGGCGCGATTTCAGCTCACTGCAACCTCCACCTCCCAGGTTCAAGTGACTTTCCTGCCTCAGCCTCCTGAGTAGCTGGGATTACAGGCATGCACCACCACCCTTGGCTAATTTTTTGTATCTTTAGTAGAGACGGAGTTTCACCATGTTGGCCAGGCTGGTCTTGAACTCCTGACCTCGTGATCCACCCGCCTCGGCCTCCCAACGTGCTGGGATTACAGGCGTGAGCCACCGTGCCTGGCCAAATTTTGTATTTTTAGTAGAAACAGGGTTTTGCCATATTGGCCAGGCTGGTCTTGAACTCCTGATGTTAGGTGATCCGCCCGCCTCAGCCTCCCAAAGTGCTGGGATTACGGGTGTGAGCCACCGCACTCTGCCCATGTCACTAATTTGTGTTGGTTTTAAATTCAGTCTCTTGGCCAGGCTTGGTGGCTCATTCCTGTAATCCTAGCACTTTGGGAGGCTGAGGCAGGAGGATCGCTTGAGCCCAGGAGTTTCAAACCAGCCGAGGTAACATAGCAAGACCCTTTAAAAAATAATAATAATAAAATAAATTCAGTTGAAAAAGAAAATAAATTGTTTATTTTAAAAATAAAATTCAGTTCCTGTTTCTAGAGTGTTAGCATTAATTAAAAGCATTCCATCATTCAGATAGCTATGTGAAGTATTAAGTAATACCCCTAGTATTTCTGCTTTTCCTAGAACTTAATCAGAGATGTTACTCATTAGATACTTGCACTTGATCCTCTAATGATCCTCTAAAATATTTCCTGTTCTTGCATGGGAATACCACAACCTCATCATAGAATGGCCAGTTTCCTGAGAAACTATAAACTATAAACTGTAAACTAGGAAACTGTAGTTTCCTAGTTTTATAAATAAAAATCAAAGCTTTACTTAAGCACAAAGATAGAGTATTACTCAGTTTAGTCTCTGTTGTTATACCCTGGCTTCTTTTCAGTTTTTTTTTTTTTTTTTTTTTATTATTTTTTTTTAAATTTATTTTTTTATTGATAATTCTTGGGTGTTTCTCACAGAGGGGTATTTGGCAGGGTCATGGGACAATAGTGGAGGGAAGGTCAGCAGATAAACAAGTGAACAAAGGTCTCTGGTTTTCCTAGGCAGAGGACCCTGCGGCCTTCCGCAGTGTTTGTGTCCCTGATTACTTGAGATTAGGGATTGGTGATGACTCTTAACGAGCATGCTGCCTTCAAGCATCTGTTTAACAAAGCACATCTTGCACCGCCCTTAATCCATTTAACCCTGAGTGGACACAGCACATGTTTCAGAGAGCACAGGGTTGGGGGTAAGGTCACAGATCAACAGGATCCCAAGGCAGAGGAATTTTTCTTAGTGTAGAACAAAATGAAAAGTCTCCCATGTCTACTTCTTTCCACACAGACACGGCAACCATCCGATTTCTCAATCTTTTCCCCACCTTTCCCGCCTTTCTATTCCACAAAGCCACCATTGTCATCCTGGCCCGTTCTCAATGAGCTGTTGGGTACACCTCCCAGACGGGGTGGTGGCCGGGCAGAGGGGCTCCTCACTTCCCAGTAGGGGCGGCCGGGCAGAGGCGCCCCTCACCTCCCGGACGGGGCGGCTGGCCGGGCAGGGGGGCTGACCCCCCCCAACCTCCCTCCCGGAGGGGGCGGCTGGCCGGGCGGGGGGCTGACCCCCCCACCGCCCTCCCGGACGGGGCGGCTGGCCGGGCGGGGGGCTGACACCTTCTTTTCAGTTTTATGAAAATAATTAGATGTTTTAGGAACATGAAATTACTAGCTTTCCAGCTAAAATGTTCTCAAATCTACAAAATACAGAGCTACATAAACATGAAACCACTTTTGATAACGTCAGTCATAAAGACTTGAACTCAGACTTCTCTCTCTTTTTTTTTTATTTAATTAGATCTTGGGTTCAGAGTTGAATTAATGATTATCCTCAGTTCACGACCCACTAAGACCTTACCAGGTCCCTCTTTTGTCTCATTTAATTTTTATTTTCCCCTTTGTTCTTCATCTCTACTCTTCTTCCTTCCCTAGCTATCCAACACACACACACACACACACACACACACACGCGCGCGCGCGCGCGCGCCCTTAGTTAAAAATTGTATTGGTCATTGAGTCACTAGATTCAGTATGTTTGTTCTCTTCACTTGGCAATTTGTTAGAATGGCTAACTTAGTAACTTAATAGTTAAATAAGCAAATCAGCTTAGTCCGCTTCCTGTTTGTTTAAAACCATCCTGCATGTCTTCACAATTAACTTCTTTGTGCGTTTCATGGTTTCCTGTGTTCTCAAAAACAAGTTAATGATATACAGTAACGTATATCATTTGAAAAAGCAGTTTCTTTTTCAAAATAAGAAGCCCATTCTTCCTTATTCAAGATTGTTACAACTCTTATTCGAGATTCGAGATTGTTACAACTCTGCCTCATGAGAGGGGAGAAGCGCCTGTCACCCTGACCCGCCCCGGCCAGGCTGGCTGGGTTGCAGGTGGAAGTGGGTAGGACTGTGTTTCACGCTGAGTAGGTTGTGTGCAAAACACACTTTTGACTCCATAAAAGCATTTTCTTTTTTGGGTGTTCGGCGGGTGGACAGAGTGTAGTGGTACAATCTCGGCTCGTTACAACCTCCGCCTCCCAGGCTCAGGTGACCCTCCCACCTCAGCCACCCAAGGAGCTGGGGCCACAGGTAAAAGCCACCACGCCTGGCTAATTTTTGTATTTTTTGTAGAGATGCGGTTTTGCTGTGTTGCCCAGGCTGGTCTTGAACTCCGGCTCAAGCAATCTGCCCGCATCGGCCTCCTAAGGTGCTTACAGGTGTGAGCCACCTCGCCCAGCCCCTGATAAGAGCATTTAAGAGGTGACAGGGCTGGCAGGGCCATAGTGGCTCACACCTGTCTGTAATCCCAGCACTTTGCGAGGTTGAGGCAGGCGGATCACCAGCAGTCATAAGATCGAGACCATCCTGGCTAACACAGTGAAACCCCGTCTCTACTAAAAATACAAAAAAAAAATTAGCTAGGCATGGTGGAATGCGCCTGGGTGACAGAGTAAGACTCCATCTCAAAAAAACAAAAACAAAAACAAAACAAAACCAAAAAAACAAGAAAAAGAAAAAAAATTATCCAGGCGTGGTGTTGGGCACCTGTAATCCCAGCTACTCAGGAGGCTGAGGCAGCAGAATTGCTTAAACCTGGGAGGCGGAGGTTGCAGTGAGCCAAAATCATGCCACTGCACTCCAGCCTGGGTGACAGAGTAAGACTCTGTCTCCAAAGAAAAGGTGTGACGGGGCATCTTATGTGTGGGGTGTGTATTCACAGAGAGAGAGTGCAAACTATACATTCTTCCTTTTAATGCATATTTTTTATTTAAAAGTATGCAGTTTATGTCACTTGATACAAGCTGGTATTGAGACAAGGATGGCAGTTTGCTTGTTTGTTTTGAGACAGAGTCTTGCTCTGTCACCCAAGCTGGAGTGCAGTGGTGCCAGCTTGGCTCACTGCAATATCCACCTCCCAGGTTCAAGCGATTCTCCTGCCTCAGCCTCCCAAGTAGCCGGGATTACAGGTGTTTGCCACCATGCCTGGCTAATTTCTGTATTTTTAGTAGAGATGGGGTTTCACCATGTTGGCCAGCCTAGTCTCCAACTCTGACCTCAGGTCATCCTCCTGCCTCGGCCTCCCAAAGTGCTGGGATTACAAATGTGAACCACTGTGCCCAGCCTAAGAATGGCAGTTTGCCTGTCCTGCTAGGATGATCATTGTGTTGCCCTTGACTGATTGGTTGTTGTGGGAAACGAGAGATTTTGTAGCCATAAACTTTCTAAGTCTGTGGTTTTTATTTTCTGTTTGGTTGATTTGTTTTGGTAGACTTTTTAATACTTGTTGCACAATAGTTCTAAACAAACTAATTCATTTGCTTTAACGAAGTCAGACCTTATGCAGTCAGACCTTCTACATGCTTCTGTTTGTCCCTAAGAATGACTTCCTGTTCCTGGGTGGGGTGTCCCTGGGCTTCCATGGGATGAGGTGAGACATGAGGGTGAGAGTGGGCATCGGAGTGGCCTTTGGCATGACAACCTCTGCTCTCCCTGCAGACCGTTCCCCAGCACACCCCACCCCACTCAGCCGCTCAGCCTCCCTCAGTTACCCAGACCGCACAGACGTCTCAACTGCAGCAACCTTGGCAGGCAGCAGCAACCAGTTTGGCAGCTCTGTCCTGGGCCAGTACATCTCTGACTTCAGCGTCCGGGCACTCGTGGACTTGCAGTACATCAAGGTGAGTGCCTCACTGCCCTGTCTGGGCAGTGCTATCTTCTGCTCAGGAATCAGCTACTACTTTCATCCACCAAACCCAGCATGGTGGGCCCAAACCCGAGATGCCTTTTTCTTCTGGAGATGGGGTCTTGCTCTGTCGCCCAGGCTGGAATGCAGTGGTGTGATCATAGCCCACTTCAGCCTTGAACTCTTGGGTTCAAGGATTCCTCCCACCTCAGCCTCCTGAGTAGCTGGGACTACAGGTGTGCATGTGGCTTCGGGTTTTTTTTTTTTTTCCCCTTATAGAGATGGGGTCTCACTGTGTTGCCCAAGTTGGCTTGAGACTCCTGGGCTCAAGCGATTTGCCCGCCTCAGCCTCCTGAAGTGCTGGGATTACAGGTGTGAGCCACTGTGCCCAGCCCTGAGATGCTTTCTTCTCTTGTTCGTGCACCTTGTTCTTTGTAAGGGCTTCCAGAGACGCTGACTGGTCATGTTCTCTCTCAACTCACAGCCTCAATCCTGGCCCTGTTTCTCCAGGCCTGGTGATAGGGTCTGCCTCCCAGCCCCTCCCTCCATGAACTCATCCCTTCCTCATGCAGATCACTCGGCAGCAGTACCAGAACGGGCTGCTGGCTTCTCGCATGGAGAACAGCCCTCAGTTTCCCATAGACGGGTGCACCACCCACATGGAGAACTTGGCCGAGAAGTCTGAGCTGCCTGTGGTGGACGAGACCACAACTCTTCTCAACGAGCGTAACTCCTTGCTGCACAAAGCCTCCCACGAGAATGCCATCTGACAGGAGGGCCCGGGGCCCCCTGCCCACCCTGCGGGGGCCTCCCCAGTGGGCCCACATGAAGAGAGGGAACCTGTTAGTCCAGAAAGGATACGGATAGATAGCCTGTCTGACTGAACAGCCAGATGGCCCCCAGCCTATGGGGGATCTGGCCTCTGCCAGGGACCTCTGAGTAGCTCTGAGGTGGCACTGTCCAGCCCTGGATAGGGGGGGCAGTGGGCCAGCTACCGTAAGCAAAGGCTGTTTTTTACTGAGAGAATTTCTAAAGTAGGCTCATCACTTTTTTTTAAATATCATTTTGGGAAGGGAAGACAGGGTTAAGGAACTTTATTTAAAAAAAAAATATTTTTTTCCTAAAAACTATAAAAGAGGAAGGGTTTCTTGTCCCGGGAAGCAACGGACATAATCTGTTCCCAGCCATGGCCTTCCAGCTTGTGTCCCTGATTCAGGGAGCTCTCCCTTCCTCCTCCTCCTCCTCCTCCGGAGGTGGGATCCCAGAGCCTGCCAGTGGAGGCTTATCTGTTGGGAGGAAGACAGCTCTTCACAGAAGCAAAGAACAAAATGGCATGGAGATCAGCTGCCTGAGCACCTGCGCTGTAGCTTATCTGACAACGCTGAGGCCACGAGCTCCTGGGTAGCTGTGATCAGGGACATGATAATCTGAGCTATGCAGAGGAGCACATCTGTTGTCAACTGCTGTACCCAGAAATCTAGAACTCTGCCGACAGCCTCTCCTGGTGAGTCGGGACTCAGCTGAGGACACATCCCCACCCTGCCTCCCATCTGGCCCTTTGGACAACTGGCCCTTTGTGACAGGGCTGACTCAAGTGTTAGGCAGGGTCTCAGGCCTTTGATTGCTCACCCCTGCTCCCCAGGCCCTGCCCTCACTTTTACCAAAGGTTCTCCCTCGGCGGGAGGGCATCTGTGTTGGAGGTGATTTGTCTGGGTTCTTCCTTTTGGTTCCAGAAGGAACTGTCAGTCATCAGCATCTGCGTTGTTAGCAGTCAGTACCACCCCCGCCCCACAATGACAGTCAAGGCTGACTTGTTGACTGAAGCCTTTTTCCCAGACCCCTTATTTCGAATCCCCAAGCTTCAGTCCCTCTTGGGGGTGGAGACAAGAGGACATGTGGGAAGCCACGGAAGCAGGTTCTTTATGTCCTCTCCTCTGTGGCTGGCAAGGCTCACCTGGCCTTATCCACCCACTTATGGAACCTCAGGAGAGGAGGGCTCCTCCTAAAGGCATGCAGCTTGCAGCCCCTCTTTCTCACACGTGTGATCCTAGCGTGAGAGGTCATCCTGCCCTTGCTGAAGTTAGTAGTACTGTACTAAGAGCTCTGCCCTCATGTGAATTCCTGCCCTGGCGCCTCTTCCCTGGGGCTGAATCAGGCCCTGCTGCAAAACTCCAGGCTTCCCAGGGTTGGGGAGGCTGTGGGACCAAGGTCCATGTTGGTCCTTCCACTGGGTGCAGCAGGAGCTGGGTCCCGAGAGCCTGGCAGGTGAAACTCTGCAGGCCTTCCGCCTGATTATTATTTATTCACTCCTTTCCTCACCCCAAGTGCCCTGCTCTCCAGGTGCCTAGAGTATCCTAACTCTTAGGACCAGGGATTGTCTTGCACCAAGTATGCCTACCCCTGGCCAGTCTGAGGTCTCCTAGCCATAGAACTGACTCCTGGAAGCCTGGAGAGAAGGTGGTGACACCCATGGGTTCTCAACTGTAAGGAAAAAAGACACCAGACTTTTGTTCCCTAGTGGGGGAAAGCCCTTAGTCTTGTACAGGAGCAGCTTGCTCCCAAGTCCTTTTGGAAGCTGGCAGAGCTATATTCCTGACAGCCCTGACTGCCAGGTAGAGCAAAAGACATTGGTGGGGGTATGTGAAGCAAAAGGGGCAGGTGCACACACCTCCACAGTGACCTCTGTGCACACGGTTACCACCAACTGGCTGGCCCTCCTCCTCTTCCCTGGCCCATTGATCATCCCTTCTCACAGAGGGTCATCATTATTTCCAAATATTGTTTGTCTGATGACTTCCTCTTCCCAGTGCAATTTTTCCCTTCCTATTTCAACCTCTGGTTCCTGGGATGAGCCATACCCTGGAACTGGCCCACCCACTGTGTCTTCCACGTAAGGGAGACCTTTGCAAAGGGCATCCAAATGGGTAGGCAGGTGACAGCCGCCGTATTTATTTTGCATAATATTTTAATTTGTATATTTTTGTGATTTATTTTGGCGTTATGAGTTTGACTCTCGGGGAGTTTTGTTGTTATGACTCTTGTGTCTTTTGTCACAAAACAATGATATTTGCTAAACGATATATGGAATTTATTTTTGATTGGTAATAAAAAATCAAATATGTATAAATCCTGGTGAATCTACAACTTGCCTGTTTGTTCTGTCAGTATTCAGTATGTTGTTGAGATAAAAGTGGCTGTGGCTGGCTGTCTCTTGTGATGGGACAAGGGCAATAAAGGATTCTAGGACCATTCAGCAGTGAAATGCAATCAGAAATGGAATTTCTAAATATAGTCAAGGCTGTCGTCACAGGAGTGAGAGGGACGTGGCTGCTGGCAGACATACAGGACAGATGTGCTCAGCTGCCATAAGCATGAGTCCTGTGAAACAGATCCCATAGGGCCCTTGGCTTGTGAGTACTGGAAGGGCAGTGGGCTTCAGCAAATTGCCCCTCCTCCCTACCCATGGGACTGAAAGAAGCTTGATCCAAAAGTATGAGTAATATTGTTTTATAACATGCAGCTGCCTTTTCGTCCACACCTACAGGCTAGTGGTTTCAAAGTTGGAGTGTTCATCCCTTGAAGAACCTGAGTTACGTCACTATACCCACTCTCAAAGTTGCAGCTCTGCAGGGGACTCCCATGGTGCTGTACAGGTGCTGCAGGCTGGCTTGTGCGATTGAGTGTGCTGAGGCCAGGGGCTCCAAGCATGCAAAGTTCAATGGAGTAGACAAACTGGGGGCATCTATGTAGGCAACAAAGAAAAGAGGATATTCCAGATAAAAGAGGTACACATGCCAACGTCTGTGTCTGGGGCAAGATTTGTAAATTATCTTCATCCATCTGTTCCACACGTTTAAATCCCTTTCGCACGCCAGGTACTACCAACCCCTCTGTGAATTTAATGAAGAACCTTCCCACCACCCCAAGGGGGACAGTCACACACAGCTTTTCCATTTGCTGTCTCCCTGACCTGGGACACATCTCCTAAGTCTTGGCGAGGCTCACCCCTTATTTCATTTAAGCCTCAGTTCAAATGCCATCTCCTTGAGAAGGCTTCCGATTAGCCCATCTCAATCAGCATCACCCCAGCATCTGTCTCTTTATCTTGCCTTTTTCCCTCCATAGCACTTACTACCAAATATTGAAATATAGACTTGGGTATTTTCTATCGTCCTTGCGCTAGAATCTAGCCTCACAAGGGTAGGGACTTAATTTTATTCCCACTACAGTCCCAACACTAGAACAGTACCTGCTACACTGCAGGGACTCAATGCAGGAAATACTTGTTGAATGAATAAATGAATACATGTTACAACAGGGGATGTACTGGATGATATGGGGAGAGCACATAGCTCCAATAACCTTGAGCCAACCTAGTCGAGGGTCAAGGAAGATCACTCGGAGGGAGCAGCATATGAGCTAAGGCTTGAGAGAGAAGCAGGAATTAGCCGGTGGGTTTAAAACTCAAGAATAAATATTTAGATATAACATGGAAATGTCTTGATCCAAAAGACCAGTAAGGAAAACGGCCCAGGGAGGGCCAACAGTGGTCTGAAGGTCAAGTGGCTGTGTCTCCACTGATGCTAACCAGGGGTGGGGTAAAGAATGGCACAGCCACAGGAGAAGCTGGTCAAGGACTGTTGAGGCCTCTACTGCAAAAGGGAAACCACTCCAGGAGCAGCTTTGCGTGCCCCATATTGGATTTTTTTGTATCTTTGGGTACTGACAATTTAAATGACCACTTACGTTTTCCAAGTTTGATCCAATTGTTCTTCCACCTGAAGCTTTACTCCCAGAAAGTTAGTTATAGGTTGTTTTCCAAGGAAGCCTGAGACAAGGAAAAAGTAACCTGTTGAAGGTGAGAGCTCTGTCTCTAAATCCATGGGGAGTTTTTCCTGGCTTTTCTCTGGAACTGTTGTTTGTTAATGACTTTTCAGGCACATGACTCATTTCAAGCATGTCATCCATTCTATTTCAATGTCAGTATTTTATCTTGACGTGGAGACAGAAGTGAGAACTAAAGGAGCTGAATCTATTGTAATGTTTGCACTTTTTTTTTCTTCAGAGGCATGATGTTGCAGTGCAAAGGCCCAGTAATGTCTTTATTGCTTCTGCTGGCGGCTTACTCTGTAATCTGCAAAAGTAAGGTAAACTCAAAGGGCACAGAACATCACCTGAATAATAAAAAACACGGAGATGCCCCATTGGCCTAGTCACAGCTCTGAGTTTACAATGCAGAAGAGACACTATTACCATCTTTTAAAAATACACTATTACCTTTTTTTTTTTGAGATGGAGTCTCGCTCTGTCACCCAGGCTGGAGTGCAGTGGTGCGATCTTGGCTCACTGCAACCTCCGACTGCCTCCCGGGTTCAAGCGATTCTCCTGCCGCAGCCTCCTCAGTAGTTGGGACTACAGGCACCCGCCACCAAGCCCGGCTAATTTTTTGTATTTTTCGTAGAGACGGGGTTTCACCGTGTTAGCCAGGATGGTCTCCATCTTCTGACCTCGTGATGTGCCCGCCTTAGCCTCCCAAAGTGCTGGGATTACAGGCATGAGCCACCGCGCCGGGCCACTATTACCATTTTTTTTTTTTTGAGACATAGTCTTGCTCTGTCGCCCAGGCTGGAGTGCAGTGGCGTGGTCTCAGCTCACTGCAAGCTCCGCCTCCCGGGTTCACACCATTCTCCTGCCTCAGCCTCCCGAGTAGCTGGGACTACAGGTGCACGCCACCACACCTGGCTAATTTTTTGTATTTTTAGTACAGATGGGGTTTCACCATGTTAGTCCGGATGGTCTCGATCTCCTGACCTCGTGATCCGCCCGCCTCCGCCTCCCAAAGTGCTGGGATTACAGGCGTGAGCCACCGTGCCCGGCCAGCTATTACCATCTTTTAAAAAGTTTTTTACAGGCCGGGCGCGGTGGCTCACGCTTGTAATCCCAGCACTTTGGGAGGCCAAGGTGGGTGGATCACGAGGTCAGGAGATCGAGACCACGGTGAAACCCCGTCTCTACTAAAAATACAAAAAAATTAGCCGGGCGTGGTGGCGGGCGCCTGTAGTCCCAGCTACTCGGAGAGGCTGAGGCAGGAGAATGGCGTGAACCCGGGAGGCGGAGCTTGCAGTGAGCCGAGACTGCGTCACTGCACTCCAGCCTGGGTGACAGAGCGAGACTCCGTCTCAAAAAAAAAAAAAAAAGTTTTTTACAAAGCCTTTTCCTTTGGTCACTCACCACCAGCTTACTCATTTTTTTTTTTTTTTGCACATTACCTTCCACACAAGTTTTACTTTGTGGCCACAATGTGCATACTTTTTTTGATTGTTACTTTCATGACATAGCAAATTGTTTCTATAGAGTCTTTATAAAGGTCATTTAAAATGACATGTGCAGTAAGTCAAAGTCTTCTTGTGCTAGGAAATTTGAAAAAACAAAAGTGTAGAGAAAAATACAAAAATTACTGAATCTGAACATCTATAGAGAAGTGTTGTTAGCAGTTGGTTTATTTCCTTCCAATCACATACAGATCATATCTGATGGGTAAAGAATATTCCATACTGTCAACAGACCACACTGTCTTCTAAAATCGCTTCAGCAGTGAGGATCCTCTGGAATAGATCTTGTTAATCCTGAGGAATTATTCTCCCAGCGGTGAGCTATGAGAAGTGGAATCACCAGATGTAGTAATTCCTGACAGAACTGCCGCCTGCTTGTGTGGCTGAGATGCTGACCTAGGTATCAGGCTGGTCGCGCCGGAACCCAGCACCCACGCTGAGTCTTTCTGAGCTCCACTCTGCTCCTGTTAGATATTAACCACCTGAGGTAGCTGTCCAGATTCAAGGCGGTAGTGATTTTGTGTGTCTGTGTATTTATCACGGGGTCCGCGGCGGGAACGCAGGGGCTGTGTCCCACGTCCCCAAACCTCTAGTAGGGTACGGCGCGATGAACATCTTCCATAAACCTTAAACCTCCCGGCGCTCAGTCACTGGTTCTTATTTCAGCCCTCTTAGCCCCGTAGGTCGGCGCGCTGAAAACCTTTCTGGTACCTGGGGCCTTTCCTAAGAAAAAGGCACATGTCTCGCACATTTCAGTCTGGTCTGCAACTTCAGGCGCGCCAGCACCCGAGGTTCTTCCGACCGGCCGCTCCGCTCCCAAGCCGGGAACTTCCCAGAGAATTGGCTCGGCCTCCGGGCGCGGGGGACAGCATCGGGAGGAGTGGGACTCCGGGCGCCGCGCACGGGCCGAGGACAGCCGGGCTTGGGAGGCCCTGCCCGCCGCCCCGCGTCCTCCCGGCCACTGCCACCCCGCGCATCCGGAGCCGCAGCAGACTCGGCGGGGCCCGGAGCCCCACGCCCCCGGCCCGCCCCTGGCCGCCACTTGTTTACTCCCCGGCGCAGCCTAGTCCGACCCTGGGGCCCGCCCCCGCCCACCGCCTATTGGCCGAGGAGGCGCGAAGAGCCGTAACGATTGGCCCGGGGAGGCGCGGGGCGAGCGGGGTAGGCTGCGCGAGAGGCCGAGAGGGGGCAGCAGGCGATGGCGGCGGCGGTAGCTGCGGCGGGTCGGTTAGGCTGGTTGTTCGCCGCGCTCTGCCTGGGCAACGCCGCGGGGGAGGCCGCGCCGGGCCCGCGAGTGCTGGGCTTCTGCCTGGAGGAGGATGGAGCGGCGGGCGCGGGTTGGGTACGCGGAGGGGCGGCGCGGGACACGCCGGACGCCACCTTCCTCCTGCGCCTCTTCGGCCCGGGCTTCGCCAACAGCTCTTGGTCCTGGGTGGCCCCGGAGGGGGCGGGCTGCCGGGAGGAGGCGGCCTCCCCCGCGGGCGAGTGGCGCGCGCTGCTGCGCTTGCGCCTGCGGGCCGAGGCCGTGCGCCCGCACTCGGCGCTGCTGGCGGTGCGCGTGGAGCCGGGTGGCGGGGCGGCTGAGGAGGCGGCGCCGCCCTGGGCTCTGGGCCTGGGGGCGGCCGGGCTGCTGGCGCTGGCAGCGCTGGCGCGAGGCCTGCAGCTGAGCGCGCTGGCGCTGGCGCCTGCCGAGGTGCAGGTGCTGCGCGAGAGCGGCTCGGAGGCGGAGCGTGCGGCGGCGCGGCGTTTGGAGCCCGCGCGGCGCTGGGCCGGCTGCGCCTTGGGCGCGCTGCTGCTGCTGGCCAGCCTGGCGCAGGCGGCGCTGGCGGTGCTGCTGTACCGCGCGGCCGGCCAGCGTGCGGTGCCCGCCGTGTTGGGCAGCGCGGGGCTCGTGTTCCTGGTGGGAGAGGTGGTGCCGGCCGCCGTGAGCGGGCGCTGGACGCTGGCGCTGGCGCCGCGAGCGCTCGGCCTCAGCCGCCTGGCCGTCCTGCTCACTCTGCCCGTCGCGCTGCCCGTGGGGCAGCTGCTGGAGCTGGCGGCGCGGCCCGGGCGGCTGCGGGAGCGGGTGCTGGAGCTGGCGCGCGGCGGCGGCGACCCCTACAGCGATCTCAGCAAGGGCGTGCTGCGCTGCCGGACCGTGGAGGACGTGCTCACGCCCCTCGAAGACTGCTTCATGCTGGACGCCAGCACCGTGCTGGACTTCGGCGTCCTGGCCAGCATCATGCAGAGCGGCCACACGCGCATCCCGGTGTACGAGGAGGAGCGCTCCAACATCGTGGACATGCTCTACCTCAAGGACTTGGCCTTCGTGGATCCCGAAGACTGCACGCCGCTCAGCACCATCACTCGTTTCTACAACCATCCGCTCCACTTCGTCTTCAACGACACCAAGCTGGACGCTGTCCTGGAGGAATTCAAGCGAGGTAACGGCCCGGGCATGGTGCAGGGGACGCCCGTGCGAGTGCCCTCTCCCTGAAAAGGGGTGGAGAGTTATGGAAGCCTTCTGGAAAGGGTCCCACCCCTGTGGAGAGCAGTGAGACCTCTAAGGTCCCTTTTCAAGACGGTATTGGCCTTGCAGCTTGGAATGACCTTTTGAAATACTTAAAGGCCATCGATCAGAGTGGGAGGAATCCTTTAGACAGCGAACACTTTAACCCCCGCGTCAGGATAGCCCCCCCCCCCCATTTGCAGGGAGGGGTATGTCCGCTTGTCCTCTAATCCCCCAGCTCTTTCCCTCTCCCAGAGTGTTTCTGTGTGCTTGACTTTGTAGCAGGTCCAAATTTTTGGATAGAAACTAGAAGAACATAGAAAAGATGGTAGTCTCCAGGTATCTGGGATATTGTTGTGTGCACACATGTAATATCAAATTGACTGGACCTGTAATGTTTCCTTCAGAGCATTCTTAAGGTCCCTGGCGTTACTGCAGATAAGGGTATTTAGGTGTCAATCCCTTATCTGCGGTAAAGTCAGGGAAACTTAACACTTTGCTTTCACCAAAAGTAACTCCATTTATGCTGACTTAGTCTCCCTTTCTCCCAGCTCTGTCGCGCAGGCTGGAGTGCAGTGGCCGATCTCTTATCACTGCAACTTTCGCCTCCCAGGTTCAAGCAGTTCTCCTGCCTCAGCCTTCGAGTAGCTGGGACTACAGATGCACCCCACCATTCCGGGCTAATTTTTGTATTTTTAGTAAAGATGGGGTTTCACCACGTTGACCAAGCTGGTCTTGAACTCCTGACCAGGTGATCCACTTGCCTCGCCCTCCCAAAGTGCTGTGATTGCAGGCGTGAGCCACTGTGCCCGGCCCTTTTTTTTTTTTTTTTGCTTTTTAATCTCCTGTTTTTTAAAATTTTATGTAGAGACAGGGTCTCACTATTTTGCCCAGCCTGGTCTCGAACTCCTGACCTCAAGTGATCCTCCCACCTTGGCCTCCCAAAGTGTTGGGATTACAGGCGTGAGCCACCGCGCCCAGCCTCACCTCTTCTTTTCTAACCCTAAGGTCTCAAGTTCTCCCTTAACTCCACATTTTCATCCCTCCCTTCACTGTTTTAGCTGAGCAGTTCGGAGATTGAAGGTAAAACCAGTACCCTCCGGATGTGAAGGTGTGGTTTCTTCTGCAGTCCTCTCCAACATCATCCTTAGTGGTGCTCCCCAGAGTTTGGTGCTCAGACCTTGGTTAACAGCCATGCTTCTCACACCTGCACTCCTGTAGGGTGAGGGTGGGAGCACCCCAGGGTGTTGGATGGACTTGACCCTAAAGGCTGCCAGCTGTAAGGCCAAGAAGTGGCAAAGCCCCCTGGTATTTGTGGCAGGATGTTTCTGGCACCGTCTGTTGAGAGCCCCTGGCCTGTCGTTGCAGGAAGCCAGGCTTTGTGATAATGACCGCTACTCCTGACTGAGCACTGCCGTGTGCCAGGAGCTGATGGGCACTTTCTGTGTAATCTCGTCCCTCATTCCTTGCAGGAGGCCTGGGTGCTAAGTTACTGTTACTGCTGTAGCTCAGGAATGGGTGGGAGGCTTGGGTGGGCAGCTCTATTCTTTTAGACTCTTGGGTGCTCCTGGCTGTGTCCCTAGAACATGGCCATGCCACCCTGCCCTGGGGAGGGAGCCTGGGTTTGGGTCCAGACAGAGCCTCGCGGTGGTAAGTACTCCCATCTGGGCTGCCAGAGGCAGCCCCTGAGGCAGGGGTGGTTCTCCTGGTGTGGTGGCCAACATTGCAACCCTGGAATCAGCGGAGTAGGTTCCATCCTGCCCTTGCCTGCCCCCAGGCCCTGAAGGCTGCTCAGCCTCTTGTGGTGCAAAGTCCTCTGCTGTTAGTGATAAGAGTGGGTAAACAGACCTGCGGGGGGAGACTCATCAAGCACTTTGGCCAGTGCCTGGCGTGCATATGCTGTGTGCTTGGCGTTAGCAGGTGGTTCTTACTCCGGGACAGGCTCTGCTGGTAGGTGAGCTGTTTGCCAATCCAGGAGCAAGGGGTGAATCTGGAATTGCAGATTTCTGTTCTTCTAGGCAGGTCACCAGACTTCCTTTTTTTTAGGGAAAAAGTGGAAGACTGTAGCTGTCCTTTTGGTGTTCAAAGCACTCACGTTTCTAGATTCTTTAAGAAAAAGCTCACTCTGGTGTCTGGCTTCAGCTGGCTGCTGCTTTCAACAGTTGAGCAGTCACCAAGCAGAGATTTGGAGCAGCGGAGATGGAAGGGTTGTCCTGTTCAGAACTAAAGGCAACTTCTGTAGTTGGTCATGATGCTCAGGATGAGGCTGGTGAAAGTGGTCTTTCATTTTCCAAACCGCCAGTGTCAGGATCTTCGCTGCCATGGTCTTGTCTTTCAGATGCGATGGATGAGCTTGGTCCAGGGTGGTTGGGGATTCCACTTGGGGAAGAATAAAAAATGTTCATGTTCGTTGGGAAGGAGCGCAGAGGCAGGATGTCCCCTGGCGGGGGGGCTTGTGTGCTGTGTAAGGAACTTGTACTTGATCACCAGGGCCATGAGCATCAAGCAGCAGCATCAGTTATTTTTACAGATCAGTAACAATTGTGGACACCAGCGCAGGGAGACCAGCGGTGTGAGGGATCCAGGTGAGAGGGGATGATAACCTGAACAAGGTTCATGGCAGGCCTGGAGAGGAGCCCCAAGAGGGCAGCAGAGGTGGAATTGGGAAGATTGGTATCTGGCAGCAGGGCTATGCAACAAGGAGGAGCAGCTGAGGATGAGGCCCAGATTTCTGGCTGTGTGGTGGCGGTGCGCCTTCACTAAGGGCCGGGCGTGGGGAGCAGGTTTTGGCCATTGAATTTGTGTCTGTGCAGTGTCCCAAGAGGCAAACTCCTAGCAGGCCGTTGATGTGAAATGCAAGTGGGAGGCAGAATAGGAGTGTCTCTCAAGTCATGGGAGGGAGGCAGAGAGCCTCAGCCTCCTAGGAGCACAGGTGTGTCAGGGGCAAGGGAAGCCCAGGAGAAGCTGGCCAGGAGGAGGCAAGACCAAGGAAGGAGGAGTTCCCGAGATGCGGAATGTCCTGGAAGCTAAGGGAAGAGACCACTTTCCCAGGGAAGGTGAGTGACAGGAGAGGAGGCCAGCAAACAGGATGCCGTTGACCTTTGCAAGAGCAGATTTGGTGCCACGGCAAGGGAGCCATTTGGGGAATGAATGAGGTGTGGAAAGGTACGAGAACCAATGTAGACAGCCCTCCACAGAGTGTGGCTGCAGAGAGAAGTGACTGGCAGAGGATGTGGGACAGGGGAGGAGGCCTTCTGCTGTTTGGTTTTAAGATGGGCAAGTCCAGTAGGTTCAGATTGAAATGCAGGTTGAAATGTAGCTAGGAAGGAAATTAGAGAGGCCAGGGTCCGGGCTGCTCCTGTTCTGGGCTGGGTGGCCTCCAGGCAGGTCACAAGCAGCCCGATGCAGGAGGATTTGGGGTTGAGTGCCTCTGCTTGAAACAGACCTTTCTAAAAGCTGCCTGACAACATGCTGAAAAGGATCCCCTTGGAAGACAGTGGGGGAGGTTTTTGGAACCTGGAGGTTAAATGGGGAGCTCTTTAATCCCCCTTGACTTCCCCGCTCCTGTGGTGAGTGAGGGCCATTCGTGGGCAGACTGGCCATGTCTTTCTGGTGACATCCCGGAGCTTTTTTCTCTGCTTCTCTAGTTCAGTGCAGTCCTTTGGCAAATATCTTTATTTTTTCCGTGTTAAAGTCCTTTTTGTCCTTCCTAACCTTCTTAAGCATTCCTCCACTTAGGAACAAAGGGCATATTGCAGTCTTTGTGGCGTGTGAGGTTTTAAAAATCGATTCCCTTTCCATCTCTCTGCCAAGCTAATGAGCCTCTGAATTTCGTGGAGCTGGAGTCCCTGCCATCTTGGCAGCTTTCATTCCGGGTCTTGTTTCTTTTGCTGTGTCTGCTAGGGAACTTTGTAGTCTGGGGGCAAGGTAACCTCCCCAGCAAGGCGCCCCTCAATCAGTGCCAACTTGAGATGACGTGCTGATTATTTTGTGCAGACGTCACCAGGAAGAGTGAGTGCTTTGGAGCCATAATAAATAACTTGGACAGCTGCTCCTTGACTTACAAATGGAGTTATGTCCTGATAAACCCATTGTAAGTTGAAAATACCTTAAGTCAAAAATGTGTTTGATACATCTAACCTACCAAACCAAATAGTTCAGCCTGGCCCACCTTAAACATGCTCAGAACACTTACTTTAGCCTGCAGTTGGGCAAAGTCATCTAACACAAAACTATTTTAAAATAAAGTGTTGAATATCTCATGTAATTTATTGACTGCTGTACTGAAAGTGAAAACAGAATGGTTATATGTGTTTGAAGTATGGTTTCTACTGAATGCATATTGCTTTTGAACCATCAAATTTGAAAAATTGTAATTTGAACCATTGTTAAGTAAGGGACCTTAATGTACAAAAGAACATTATTATTATTATTATTATTTTTTTTTTTTTTTTGAGATGGAGTGTTGCTCTCTTGCCAGGCTGGAGTGCAGTGGCACAATCTTGGCTCACTGCAACCTCTGCCTCCCGGGTTCAAGTGATTCTTCTGCCTCAGCCTCCTGAGTAGCTGGGACTACAGGCGTGCACCACCACGCCCAGCTAACTTTTTTATGTTTTTAGGAGAGATGGAGTTTCACAATGTTGGCCAGGATAGTTTCGATCTCTTGACCTTATGATCCGCCCGTCTCGGCCTCCCAAAGTGCTGGGATTACAGGTGTGAGCCACTGCGCCTGGCCAAGAACATTATTATTATTATTTTTGAGACAGAGTCTTGCTCTGTCACCTGGGTTGGAGTGCAGTGATGTGATCGTGGCTCACTGTAGCCTCTACCTCCTGGGCTCAAGTGATCCTTCCACTTCAGCCTCCTGAGTAAGCTGGGGCCACAGGTGAACACCACCATCCCCAGCTAATTTTTAATTTTATGTAGAGATTGGGGTCTCCCTATGTTGCCCAGGCTGGTCTCAAACTCCTGGCCTCAAGCGATCCTCCCAGCTCAGCTTCCCAAAGAGATGGGATTACAGGTGTTTCCCACTGTGCCTGGCCGCAGTCTCTGCTTTAAAGGAACCCAGCTCTGGTTTCCTGTCTGCTGGGAGCCAGATGATTGCCATGATGCGGAAAAGAGTCTGACCAGCTCCAACAGCAGTGAGGAGCGTCAGCACACTACTTTTGTCTTTCTCACAGTATTCATTCATTCACTGAGGTGCTTTAGAAAACAGAAGAGAGAAGGTATTCCAACTGTTATTAACATCATAGAAATTGGGCATTATGAAAGGGTACTTTGGCATTCAAATAATTGGGGTACCCTGGAGCCTGCTAACTAAAATTAAACTTGAAGCTTTTCCAGGGCTTTCTGCTTGACGTTGGCAAGACACACTGTGAGCTGCTCGTGGCTCCTTGGAGCTGGCCTGTGGGCAGGCATCAGTGTGAGTGGTTCCACTCTGGTGGCTCAGCAGATGAGAGGTGACCTTGAGTCCCTGCAGCTGCCCTTGCTCTGTCCCTCTGCTGTCATCTTTGGCTGCCATCTAGACCCCTCAGACATTCTTCTTGGGATTCAGTCACACGACCACTGTTCCAGGGGATCTTCCAGGGCCTGCTTTCTTCTGTTCGTGATAGAATCATCCCAGTGTGGCAGGCCATGGAGAATTGTGTGCCTTGTTCTAGAGAAGTTTGAAAGCAAAGGAGTGAGTCCCTTTCTGTAGGAAACCTGCCAAAGGGGCTGGCTTCCTGGGAGAAGGGAGCCGAGATGAGGCCTCTCTGCGCCGAGGTGGCCATTTAGATCCTGGGCTTTGGTGCTGGAATCCAAGACATTAACCAAAACCACATGTCGCACTTGGCCTTCCTGGCCTGGCCTGGCCTGACAGGTTTGTACTCTGGTGGGGCAGCCGTGGCCCATGTAGAGACGGCACCCAGCACAAGCACTGAGGGTTAGAAGGTGTCTAGAAACGCGGTTCAGCAGGGCTGAGTGGCAATCTCCAGGGGCCCTAGCCTTCCTCCCGGAAAGCGGGGAGACGATTCATGTGGCCATTTCCAGCTTTTTGTCCAGGGCAATGCAAGCATCCTGGAGAACTGTGCTTTATTTAATCAAGCCCATGGGATGTAAAGTATGATCCACACAACAACACAAACTTGACTGTTTGATTTCCCAGGAGAGTCTTGAAGCAGATACCCCCTCACAGGCAGGTCCAGGCCAGTTACCCCTCAGCGTTTCCACTAGTGACAAACGAGGGCCTGGTTGAATGAGTTGCTCCCATCCCCCTGTCCTGGACCTGTGCCGCCCAGGCCGGCAGCCCCCTCCACCTGGGGCTGTGCTACCTAAAGGTGGAGTCTGAGTTGAGATGTGCTGTGAGCATAAAACACACCAGATTCAGAGAGTGCAACATAGACAAAATGTCTATGAATATTTTTTGTATTGATTACGTATTGAAATGCTATTTTGACTATATTGGGTTACTTACAATATATTATTAAACTTAATTTTATGTGTTTCTTTTGACTTTTTTAATGCAGCTAT
Organism: Homo sapiens; assembly: GCF_000001405.40. Taxonomy (NCBI): domain Eukaryota; kingdom Metazoa; phylum Chordata; class Mammalia; order Primates; family Hominidae; genus Homo; species Homo sapiens. The sequence goes on from NC_000002.12 coordinate 96,824,078, forward strand.
TCAGATTTTAAATTACTTAGGTGGCTTGCATTCTGTTTTTTTCAGACGGGTCTAACGTAGTGTGGATGAAAAGCACTTATCTGAGACATAGTAAATTCCTGAAGCCTCCCCAGCATTCCCCAGCACTCTGAGACTTGGGCTTTTTTCCAAGCTTACATTCCCTCACTAAGCAAACAAACCAAATAGGAAGCTAACCTGAGAAAGACATATAGGGTAAGGTGGAAAATCTCAGCCTGGTGCTCCTCCTCCCTGCACAGCTTGGCTCCCGAGTGGCCAGCTACCACTCTTCTCATCCCCTAGTTGACAGCCCCTAATGGGCAGCTTTAAGAATTAGGAAAACCAAAAGATACACAGACACACACACATACACACAGTCTATCTGTCTGTCTGTCTATCTTTCTATCTCTTTCTAATTTCTATCATAAAGAAGGACAAGAAGCCATGCACATTTATGTAGGATGGACAGCATATATATTTACTTTAAGAAGAAAAAGACTTAGGAAATCCTCCCAAGGACAGTCAGGCTGGGTGGCCCCACTCAGCTGCCCCGTGTGGACTGTCGCAGGAGAGCCTGTGTTTCCAGAGTCAGTGCCCTTGTTAGCCTGCATGTGCAGGCTGGCTGATGTGTGAGGCATTTGTGTTCTCCACTGGAGGGAGGCATCCTTGTCTAAACTGCATCCATGTCATGGAGGTGCACGGACCTGGAGCTGGATCCCAGCTCTGCCAGCTCTGCCTGGGGGGCCTTGTGCAGATGGGCATGAGCCCACTGCTTCATTTTCAACCTGTGTGAAAATAAGGCCAGTTCTCATAATCACGCTGGGAGTCTTAAGTAAAAACCTAGAAAAGAGTGTGGCTCTGTGCCTGGCACGTTGTAGGAGCATGAACGTTAGCCGTGTCCTTTTGGTGGGCCTATACCAGGGGAGATGAATCAAACTGGGGGGGGCCCAGCAAGCTGTTCCATGAGTGTCCTCCCCCCACAGGGAAGTCCCACCTGGCCATCGTGCAGAAGGTGAACAACGAGGGTGAAGGCGACCCCTTCTACGAGGTCCTGGGCCTGGTCACCCTGGAGGACGTGATCGAGGAGATCATCAGGTCCGAGATCCTGGACGAGTCTGAAGACTACCGTGAGTCCAGACTCTTGGCAGTTCTGTCTCCGCTGGGCCTGCACACTTCCCCAGGCGTATGTTGCGTCAGAGGCCAGTGGGCCTCTGTGCTGCTGGAACCCAGCAAGATCCACAGCCAGGCCCCCTTCTGAGCCCTGCATGGGTGCTGGCAGAGAGCCCCCTTGCAGGAGGGCTCACGCCTGCACCTCCACACAAGCATGGTTGCCTGTGCCAGCGGTGGCCTTGCAATCCCAGGGCTCACCTGGGGCTCCATTAGCAGCAGTCCTATTAGTTTCCTCCATTACTGAGAGAGCTCTGCCCTTCATGGGCCTTTCCCAGTCTTCTGTCTCCCTAGGTGCTTTTGTTTTTGCAGGTTCTTTTGTACATTACAGAAATGTCCCCTGAAAGAACCCACTGTTTGCCATGAAGAAAGTCTTCCTGGCTGGGCGCAGTGGCTCACGCCTGTAATCCCAGCTCTTTGGGAGGCCCAGGCAGGCAGATCACGAGATCGGGAGTTCGAGACCAGCCTGGCCAATATGGTGAAACTCCATCTCTGCTAAAAATACAAACATTAGCTGGGCGTGGTGGTGCGTGCCTGTAGTCTCACATACTCAGGAGGCTGAGGCAGAAGAATCGCTTGAACCTAGGAGGCAGAGGTTGCAGTGAGTTGAGATCACGCCACTGCGCTCCAGCCTGAGAGACTGGAGGGGGTGGAAATAAGTCTTCCCAAAGCAGCTGATCCCGTGCCCTTGATTGCATGGTAAAAGTGTCCGCCTGTTAGCATGGTGGCTGAGGTCTGCAGGGCTGTACAGAGTCTGTGCGTCATGGCCGGGCCGCCTGCCCTGCATGCTTCCAGAAGTATCGCTTTAATCATGCGTCGATTTTCAAACATAGCATCTCTAGTTCCGTTCTTGAGACTGCCATAGGCATGGGGTCTCCAGGTTAATTGCTGCCCATTTGCATTGGTAATCCTTGAATACATGCTTTATAGTGAGAAGTTTTTCAGTGGCCAGAGAGGCTGTTATTATTTTTTAATTTTTTTTTTTTATTTTGAGACGGTCTTGCTCTGTCATCCAGGCTGGAGTACAGTGGCGCATTCATGGCTTACTGCAGCCTCAACTTCCCAGACTCAAGTGTTCCTCCCACCTCAGCCTCCTGAGCAGTTGGGACTACAGGCGCATGCCACCACACCCGTCTAATTATTTTATTTTTTTGTAAAGACACGGTCTCTCTATGTTGCCTAGGCTGGTGTTGAACTTCTGGCCTTAAGTGATCCTCCCGCCTCAGCCTCCTAAAGTGCTAGGGTTACAGGTGTGAATCACTACATCTGGCCTAAATTTAAAAAAGTTTTTAGTCTACATCCAGTGACCTATCAGGGATGCTTGTTATTTTATACAAGCTGCTTTGTTATCATATCAGCATTCTCTTCAGCCAGCTCCAAGGCAGATAGTCACCCCTCTCTCTGTGTGGTTGGGGTGGGAGCAGGCCCCGTGGAGGGAGCGGTGCTGAGGACATGTCCCTGGCGTTCCGATGCTGCTCCATCGAGGACCCCCTGGCCTCAGGAGGAAGGAGCAGGCGATGCAGCCCCTTAGTGTGGTCGTGTTGACTGACAGGTGGCTGATGCCTGAGCGCGCCCTCTTCTTCCATCTTAGGAGACACCGTGGTGAAGAGGAAGCCTGCTTCTCTGATGGCCCCTCTGAAGCGGAAGGAGGAGTTCTCCTTGTTCAAGGTGTCTGATGATGAATATAAAGTAACAATCTCGCCTCAGCTGCTCTTGGCCACCCAGCGCTTCCTGTCCCGAGGTGAGGCGGGAGGGTGGTCCATGCCCCCTGCTCTCCTCACCGTTCTGTGGGTCAGGAGGCCGCCCAGGGCCGACACTGACTCTGCTCCCCACTCCTAGCAGGCGGGTGCGTCTTGAGGACTTCTGTGTTCTCTGCAGCCCTGCCAGCATCTTGGGTCATGGGAGAGACACCTCCTCTCTGCCAGATGACCAAGAGCAGGGCCAGGCCAGTGCCACGCCTGGTGCACCACAGCCAGGGGGCCTCAGCTCTCAGCTGGGCGGATGTGGGGTGCCCTGCCCAGTTCTTTTTTTTTTTTTTTTTTTAAAGATAGGGTCTCGCTCTGTCACCCAGGCTGGAGTGCAGTGGCACGATGTTGGCTCACTGCAACCTCCGCCTTCTGGGTTCAAGTGATTCTCCTGCCTCAGCCTCCCAAGTAGCTGGGATTACAGGCGTGTATCACCACGCCCAGCTAATTTTTGTATTTTTAGTAGAGGCGGGGTTTTGCCATATTGGCCAGGCTGGTCTCCAACTCCTGACTGCAGGTGATCCACCTGCCTCAGCCTCCGAAAGTGTTGGGATTACAGGCGTGAGCCACCGCACCTGGCCCCTGCCTAGTTCTCTTGTGTTGAGGTGTTAGGGGCAGCTGCTCACAGGCCACCCGGGAGATCCCTGGTGGGCACAATAACTTTAAATTGCCTACAGTGTTGGGTGTGGTTCCACTGGCCACTAGGCCCCAGTGGACACTGTCCCTTTTTTCCACCACGTGCAGAAGTGGATGTATTCAGCCCGCTGCGCATCTCTGAGAAGGTCCTGCTGCACCTGTTGAAGCATCCCAGTGTCAACCAGGAAGTGAGGTTTGACGAGAGCAACCGGCTGGCCACACACCACTACCTGTACCAGCGCAGCCAGCCGGTGGATTACTTCATTCTCATCCTGCAGGTAGCTGTGGGTCCCAGGCCTGGAGTCCCTCCTGCTTCCTCAGGCCAGGGAAGGGTCTAGGAGAAGAGGGGAGCAGGGGCATGCGGATATGCACCCTCCCACCCCAAACAATTGAGGTGGTGGGTTTCTCCTTCCGCTGTCTTCTGACGGGAAAGGTAATCTGGCCGCATCTGTTTCTCTCCTTGCCACTCCTCCCAGGGCAGGGTTGAAGTGGAGATCGGGAAAGAGGGTCTGAAGTTTGAGAATGGGGCCTTCACGTACTATGGAGTGTCGGCCCTAACTGTGCCATCCTCGGGTAAGCCACGGCCCTGCTGATGCTGAGGGCCAGGGTGGAGGCTGCAGAGCCTGTCCCCCATCATCACTTGGGCTCTCAGTGCCCCTCCTCACCTCTCCTTCCACCTGAGCCCACCACCCCACAAGGTGGTGTAGCCCCTGGGCTTCCAGGAGGGAGGGCAGCATTCTTCATCGCTCAACTTTGTGGCCCACTCCACCCCTGCAAAACCTCTCCCGGCTGTGTTTGTCCTTCTCTCCCAGCTTCCCATGCACATTGCCTCTCCAGAGTGATTGGTGGGGTGGGTCTTCGAAACTGTACAGTTGTCCCCACCAGGGGAGGAGGCTCCCAGCTGCCAGCATGGCTCCTGCCATCACTGATTGTTCCTTTGATAGTTCACCAGTCCCCGGTGTCCTCGCTCCAGCCCATCCGCCATGACCTGCAGCCCGACCCAGGTGACGGCACGCATTCATCTGCGTATTGTCCCGACTACACCGTGAGGGCGCTCTCTGATCTGCAGCTCATCAAGGTGACTGCCTGGGCTGCTTGTGGGTGCTGGCTTTAGCCGACTTTGTGTCACCGGGGGCTAGACCAGCTGGTCTGAGACTGCCCGGAACAAGGCCTTCCACTCATCCTGAGGGACACAGACCTTTGCACCCAGTTTCCAAGCAAGGTCTTAAAAACACTTGACTCAGTTGCTCTTCTCTGCCCTTAACTAGCTTAAAGTTGTGCCTCTGTCCTCTTCGGGCACGGTGTCACCTTTCCTGCCTACCTTCTGCATCTCGCTTCACCAATTGGGTCCCAGTAACGCTGTCATCCTCCAGGTTACGCGACTGCAGTACCTCAATGCACTCCTGGCTACCCGAGCCCAGAACCTGCCACAGTCCCCTGAGAACACCGACCTGCAGGTTATTCCAGGCAGCCAGACCAGGCTCCTTGGTGAGAAGACCACCACAGCGGCAGGTGAGTGCCAAGTGGTACATCGTGCATGGTGTCTGGACCTGAGGGCCGTGAGCTCACACACACAGACTTGCACTCTCGCCGCCCCCCCACCCTCTGTCTTTTTTCTCTCTTTTCTCCCCATCCTTTTCCCTTCTTTATATATATATATCTATATATAAATAATTTTTTTTTTTTTTGAGATGGAGTCTTACTCTGTTGCTCTGTTGCCCAGGCTGGAGTACAATGGTGTGATCTCGGCTCACTGCAACCTCCGGCTCCTGGGTTCAAGCAGTTCTCCTGTCTCAGACTCCTGAGTAGCTGGGAATACAGGCGCCCACGACCACGCCTGGCCAATTTTTGTATTTTTAGTAGAGATGGGGTTTCACCATGTTGGCCAGGCTGGTCTTGAACTCCTGACCTCAGATGATCCGCCTGCCTCACCTTCCCAAAGTGCTGGGATTACAGGCATGAACCACTGTGCCCAACCCCCTTCTTGCTTTTTTTTTTTTTAATTCATTATTCAACTTGAACTTCTTGCTGTCTTTAATAGCATGGATGACACCAAACTATAGACTAACTGGTATTTAGAGTAGAGTATAGTAAGTCGGTATTTCTCTCAAGGACGTCTTAGAATGGATTGACTTAATCAGAGATTTGTTGGGAAGTGGGAATAAGTTTTAGTTCAGACACTCTTTTGGCCATTTAAGATTAAGTTTAGGTCACTTTGAGTCAGCAGTGGCCCTGGCTTAGAGGGTGTGTGGCTGGCAGACACCATCCTAGACACTAGAAGGGCATTTGTGAAGAGTTTGGTCAGTTCATACTAATATTTAAGCGTGGCCCATCCAGTGCTCCACTGCGAGCAGGAAGATTGTGTTGGAAGAAATTTTGCAAATCGAACTAAAGGTTGTGGGATATGGAACCCCATCCCCACACTGCAAGGAGGGAGGTGAAAGAGTCTGAAGTGTAGGCTGTGGGTAGGAGTGGTGAAGGGTTTCTTGTTCTTGTTTTTCAAGAAGATACTTTAATTCTGATTGCGTTCCTAAGGTTGGGGTCAGAGATATGCCTGAACTTGAGATTCCTGGAAGAGCTGGTGGGGCTGTGGAGGGAGCTGCAGGCTTGCCTCCTCCCACCCCCACCTGCCCCACCACGAGGAAGACAAGCTGTTATCAGCACTTCCTCTGCCAGGCACTGTGCTAGGAGCTTCCATGTCTAACTCTGCTAACCTCCCCGTGGCCAGAGGGCTGCTAGCTGTTCTGCCTGTTCTACAGGGCAGGAATGAGAGCCAGAGAGAAGGCCCAGGGACTCTGACCTGCTTCCTGTAGGCCTCCCGTGGAGCCACTGTGGCTGCTCAGACCCACACTCGAGAGCACAAACATGTTTTTCTAATAGTCCTTTCTGAATTGTGAGGTCACATGCAGGTGCAAGGGACAGAAATCCCACCCTGGGCCATGTGGATGCTTCAGCCCCTGTGGGCTCCAGATCTGGGTGTTGGCAAAAAGGCAGCGGGTGAGGTCGTGCTGCTTAAGTCTTGGATCTGGGGATGGGTTGCATCTCTTCCTAAAGAGATCTCTCTAAGGATGGTGCTGCACTTTTTTTTAAGAGATAAGGTCTTGCCATGGTGCCCAGGCTGGCTTCATACTCTGGGCTCAAGTGATCCTCCTGCCTCAGCCTCCAAAGTAGCTGGACGAGTAGCTAGTGCCGCACCTTTTAGGGTTGTTGAGGCTTCTGTGCTTACCCACTGTGATGGTTTCTTATTGTATGGGGTGCCCCTTCTACAGAAGTTCACATTGTCACATTACACTGGGGTCTCAGAGGCCAAGGTTTTAAAAATGGGAGTCTTTTGGTTTTGGTTCTCCCACATGTGAGCCTTTTTCTGGCTCACTGCTACTCAGACTGCACGTGTTGTAGTGAAGATACAGACCTAATCCCAAAATAATGCTCTTCCCATCACTGCACACCCGGAGATTTTTAAATAATCTTCACTGGGCCGTCCTGTAAGAGAATAGTTGATAGTGGCTTTGTGGGTCATTTCCTCTTTGTAATGGATTATTCTCTAGACACAATGTTGGTTATTTTCACTTAAGTACAACCTGACAGTTGCTTCAGTGAGGCTGGCCTGCTGTCTTTCTGTTTCTTGCCTGAACTCGGGTTGTCCTGCATTTTGTCCCGTGAGCTTGGCACTTCACTGTCCGGAGGAGCGTAGGGCCGCTGCACACCTGGAGATTTTGGTGGGGCACTGCTTAAATCATGCAGATGAGAACCAGTTTCTGGAGACCTTGGCACTAGACGCCCAGCAGAGAAGTGCCTTTTTTGAGACTTGGAAGACACAATAATTTTAAATTGCCTACAGCAGGGGTTGGCAAATAGTGGTGCAAGGGCCACATCTGGCTAGCAGCCTATTTTTGAGAATGAAGTTTTATGAGAACCCACACATCTGTTTGTAGATTGCTATGGCTGCCTTTGAGTTACAGCAGTGGAGCTGAGTAGCTGTGACAGAGACTATATGACCTACAAAAACTAAAAATATTGGTCCTTTACAGAAAAAGTTGTCTGACCCCTGGCCTACTATTTCAAATCCTGGGTAGGTCCTCCACGTCAGTTCTTCATGGAACTGTATTGCCGAGGGAAAGGCAGTCCCCACACTGTGCAGCCCTCCATGCTGTGCTCCTGGCTTTCTCTGCCATCCTGAGCCGCAGGCTGTGGGGCAGCGCAGCACCAGCACTGCAGCTGCCAGCTCTCCCTCAGCTTCCCCTGCCCGGGGCACCGGCCCTCTCCATGGTGCTGCCCGGAGCCAAGAGGCACAACCATTTCTGCTCAATAGCTTCTCCTCTTCTTTCTCTCTCTGCTCTCTTTAGCCTTCCCAGTAGACCTTTCCCTCTTTGGCACAGTTGGAAACTGCAGTTGATAAATGACTGTGGACTAGTGCGCGTTTTTTGTTTTCAGAGCACACGTAAGGTAAATATCTTCCCTCTCCCTGCCCCTTCACTTCCCTTTCCTGGCCCTTCAGCTGAGGGAGGAGCAGAGCCCATGGCTCCCCAGGCTGGGGGGCATTTTTCTCCAGGGGTGTGGGGTGGGCGCTCCCTTCCATCCTTCTGGAAGACAGGAGGGGTCATGAGACTCCTCCACTGTGGAAAATGGTGCTTCCTTCCAGCACAGGGTGCTGTATCGTCCCGGGAAGGTGCCTCTTGTTCAGCATAATGACCTGGGACCCTCGGGGCCAGAAATCCACAGCCCCAGCTTCCCCGTCTCCCAGGGAAGGCATCTGTTGGCTGACCATCTGCTAACCAGTCGCTCCTGTTTCTGCTCTGATACTTCCCAAGGCATCCCGAAGCACCTGTCTTAGCTGCCCCTTCCTGTCCCACAGAGGATTTGGCACTTGGTTTTGACAGGATACTTTACCAGCTTTGATGTTAATTCTCCTTCCCTTGTCTCCTGTAGGGTCCAGCCACAGCAGGCCCGGCGTCCCGGTGGAAGGCAGCCCTGGGCGGAACCCAGGCGTTTAACGGCTCACTAGGCAGCCCCAGATCTGGGGAACAGATGAGCACGTGGGGAGCTGGAGTGAGCTGAGCAGAAGTTTTGTGCCCGCCTGCCCCCATCCCCTCCAGGCCACGTTTTAGATGGCCCTTGTAGTTGCGGGTCCTGGGTGTCCTCAGAACTAGACATCAATGCCTGGATCCTTCAGCCGGCCCTGCCCTCCTTTAGGAGACAGGAGTCACCAGGGCACAGCCCTCCAGGCCCGCCTCAGGAAGGAATGAAAGGAATGCCATCATCTCTAGTTCCCAGGGCCCAGCCTTCCCCTTCTCCCCCGGGGCAGGGACAGTGCGGCATATTCAGATTCAGACCTCTTTGGGCTGAGCCACCTTGTGAGTGCAGTTACTGCCTTTGTGTGGCCGTGACCTCTATTTGTTTGCTTTTAATTTGCCAACCTATCGCTGCTGGCAGCACTTTTTGAGCAAGCCGAGAGCACCCATTTTGGCTGGGGGTTCAGATCGATGGCCTTGTCCATGTTGTCCTTTCTGGCTTCCCTGATGGTGTCATGTTTCAGCGCATGCGCCCCAGCCTTTCCCATGTGCCAAACCAGAAGCTCCACTGCCCGTAGGCTGTCCCTGTAGCCCTGCTCCCTCCCTGGAGGCTGCTCTTCTGATTCTGAGAGCTGGCCTAGTGGTGCTGAGGGCCCCTTTCTGCTTCTCTGCCCACCTGCTGAGTTGCCACTCGCAGTGTTGTCAGTTCCCGTGTTCTGAGAAGAGGTCATGCCTGGGAGGAAGGGATCGTCATGCTGCATCGAATCCTCTCTCCGCCGTGTGGCCCCCAGGAGAGTAGCTGCCTGTTGCACCTGCTCCACACCTCCCCACAGCCTCCCTGCAGGTGCTGTGTGGCCGTGATGTGCAGAGAGCAGTGAGGGAGGGTTCATGAACCAGGTGGATCCTCTTTAAAAAAAAAAAAGTTTTTGTTATATCTCTAGAACATTTCAAGTCTTTTCCTTTTTTTCTGTTCCTAGCTATGGGGTTTTAGAGAAGTGGGAACAGGAAGGCATTTGTCTTTTTCTTCTAGTTTACTACATTTTCCTTCCGTAGTTCTTCAGCTGTGTGGAAACGGGCATCACAAGGACATAGGATCATAGATTGGGTAGGGAGGGAGGAGGATTTCTGGAACTTTTCTCAAAGGAATTTGGACCCTTATAAATGGGACTGAAGGTCAAAACAACAGTGATATCCTTGCTTAGAAATTGTCCTCAAGGAATAAACTCTGAGAGCAAGCCCGGGTTGGAAACAGATGCTTTAAAATCCTCTCTCCAGAACAGTGGTTTTTTGTTTGTTTATTTGAGATGGAGTCTCACTCTGTCACCCAGGCTGGAGTGCAGTGGTGAGATCTTGGCTCACTGCAACCTCCACCTCCCAGGTTCAAGCCATTCTCCTGTCTCAGCCCCCTGAGTAGCTGGGATTACAGGTGCCCACCACCACACCCGGCTAATTTTTGTATTTTTAGTAGAGATGGGGTTTCACCATGTTGGCCAGGCTGATCTTGAACTCCTGACCTCAGGTGATCTGCCTGCCTTGGCCTCCCAAAGTGCTGGGATTATAGGTGTGAGCTAAGATCAGGGATTCTTAACCTTGGCTGCACACCAGAATCACCTGGCAAATTAAAAATACGTGGACCTGCCACCAGAGCTTGTGATTTAATCAGAGTCGGCATCAGAGTTTTCAATTTTTTATTTATTTATTATTATTATTATTATTATTATTATTATTGAGACAAGATCTTGCTCTGTCGCCCAGACTGGAGTGCAGTGGTGTGATCACGGCTTGCTGCAGCCTCGACCTCCCTGGTTCAGGCCATCCTGCCACCTCAGCCTCCTGAGTAGTAGGGACTACAGGTAGGCACCACCACACCCAGCTAATACTTTTAATTTTTTTTTGTAGAGATAGGGTCTCATTATGTTGCCTGGGGTAGTCTCGAACTCCTAGGCTCAAGCGATCCTCCTGCCTCGGCCTCCCAAAGTGTTGAGATTATAGGCGTGAGCCACCGTGCCCAGATTCACAGAAGTTTCATACACCTTTCACCCAGGTTCCCCTAATGTTAACAGCTTACATATAACCTTGGTACATTTATCAAAACTAAAGGTGCAATCATACTAATAGCTAGAGTTTATTTGGATTTTACCATTTTTCCCAATGTCCCTTTTCTGCTGCAGCAGCCAATCCAGGATGCCATACTGCACTTAGAGCTGTTGCTTTCTTTTTTCCTAACTTTATATTTTGAAATAATTTCAGATGATAGGAAGTTGTAAAGGTAAGGGCCCCACGCACCCTTCATCTAGTTTCCCTCCATGGTTACATCTTATATGGTTGTAATGCAGTATTCCAACAAAGACTCTGACACTGGTGCGATGTGGGTGGACAGTCCAAATCATTTGTCACATGTACATCTGTGTAACTACCACTGCAATCAGGATAAAGAAGTCCCATCCCCACAAGGATCTCCCTCCCCACCTTCCCTAACTCCTGGTAACCACTAATCGTTCATCTCTTCTTATTTTGTCATTTCAAGAATGTTGTATAAATGGGAGCATAGTGTGTAAGCATTCGGGATTGTCTTTTTTCACTCGGCGTCATTCTCGGGAGATCATCCAGGCATTGCATGTGTCAACAGTTTGCTCCTTTTTATTGCTGAGTGGTATTCCGTGGTGTATGCATTGGCCCCCTGAAGGACACCTGGGATGTTTCCAGTTTGGGGCTATTCCAAATAAAGCTGCTACGACTATTCATGTACAGGTTTCTGTGTCAGGATTAGTTTTCGAGGAGTGTAAATGCTTGGTCATAGGGTTGTTGCATGTTTCGTTTTTTAAACAATCAAACTTTTTTTTTTTTTTTTTGAGACGGAGTCTCACTCTTTTGCCCAGGCTGGAGTGCAGTGGCGCAGTCTCGGCTCACTGCAAGCTCTGCCTCCCGGGTTCATGCCATTCTCCTGCCTCAGCCTCCCCATAGCTGGGACTACAGGCGCCCGCCACCACGCCCGGCTAGTTTTTTGTATTTTTAGTAGAGACGGGGTTTCACCATGTTAGCCAGGATGGTCTCGATCTCCTGACTTCGTGATCTGCCCGCCTCAGCCTCCCAAAGTTCTGGGATTACAGGCGTGAGCCACCGCACCTGGCCACAAACTGTCAAACTCATGTCCTCACCGGCAACCTAGGATGATCAGTTTCCCTGAATCCTCCACAGCACTTAGTGGTGTCCACATGTTTTTACTTCAGCCGTTCTGACAGGTGTGTCGTGATGCCTCACGGTGGTTTTTCATTTGCATTTCCCAGTGGTGGACACCTGTGTTTCGCTTCAGTGGAATATTCCTGTCTTTCACCCATTTTCTGATTGGATTGTTTCTTCTGTTGAGTTTTGAGAGTTCTTTGAGATTCCTTTATGGGATTTTTGGTTTCCATTGGTCTGTAGCTTATCTTTTTCACCCCTCCCCCTCCCCCCCTTTTTTTTTTCCTGAGACAGAGTCTCACTTTGTCACCCATGGTGGAGTGCAGTGGCACAATCTTGGCTCACTGTATACTTGACTTCTGGACTCAAGCAGTTCTCCCTCTTCAGCTCCCCATGTAGATGGGACTATCACCACACCCAGCTAATTTTTTTTTTTTTTTTTTTTGAGATGTAGTTTCACTCTTGTTGCCCAGGCTGGAGTTCAATGGCGTGGTCTCGGCTCACTGCAACCTCCGCCTCCCAGTTCAAGTGATTCTACTGCCTCAGCCTCCCGAGTAGCTGGGATTACAGGCATGTGCCACCACGCCTGGCTAATTTTGTATTTTCAGTAGAGATGGGGTTTCTCCATGTTGGTCAGGCTGGTCTCAAACTCCTGACCTCAGATGATCTGCCCGCCTCAGCCTACCAAAGTGCTGGAATTATAGGCATGAGCCACCATGCCCAGCCTATGCCCAGCTAATTTTTTATAGAGATGGGGTTTCACCATGTTGCCCACACCTGGTCTCAAACTCATGAGCTCAAGTGATCTGCCTGCCTCAACCTCCCAAAGTACTACAATTACAGGTGTGAGCCACCGTGCCCGGCCATCTTTTCACCCTCTTAACAGGGTTTTATACAGAGCAAAAGTTTTCAGTTTTGATAAAGTCCACTTTACTGATATTTCCTTTATGGACTGTTGCTTTTAGTGTTGCATTTAAGAACAACTCTACCTAGTCTTAGATCCCAAAGGTTATCTGTTTTTTCCTAAAAGAAGTTTTATAGTTTTAAATTTAAGTATGCATGTGAGCCATGTTAATTTTTGTATAATGTGTAAGACTTAGGCTAAAGTTCTTTTTTTTTAATCCTATAGCTGGTCCAGCTGCTCCAGCACCGTTTGTTGAAAGGCTGTCCTTCCTCCATTGAATTACTTTTGCACCTTAAAGTCAGCTGGGCATATTTGTGTGGTCCTGTTCCCGTGATGATCTCGGCTCTGTCGATCTGTGTGTCTGTGCCTCTGCCAGCATTGCACTCTTGGTTCACATAGCTATATAGTAGATCTTGAAATCAGCTGGACTGATTCCTCCTCTCACTCTATTCTTTTTCAAAATATTTTTGCTATAAATTTGTATATGAATTTTAGAATAACCTTGTCTACATCTACAAAACATCTTCTAGGATTTTGATAGGAACTGCATTTAACCTGTATGTTAATTTGAGGAGAATTGATATCTTTACTGTATTCTGTCTAGCAATCCATGAACATGGCATGTCTATTTAAATCTTTGATTTCATCACGTTTTATAATTTTCAGCATACAAGTCCTTGCATATTTTGTTAGATTTAAACCGAAGTATTTCCCTTTTTCAGCAATTGTAAACAGTACATATTTTTAACTTTTGTGTCTACATGTTCATTTCTAGGAGGTAGAAACAGGTTTTTGTGTGTTTATCTTGCACCCGAGATTTTGCTGGACTCCCTAGTTGTCTGCTTTCTGTAGATTCCTAGGATTTCCCACATAGACAAGCATGGCCTCTGCATGAGAATACCTGGATCCTCCCCTCAGGGCTTCTGACTTAGGGTCTGGACATCAGGACTTTTTAAACCTTCCTGGTGATTCTGATAAGCAGCTGAGGTGGAGAACCACTGCTCTTTGACCTTGTCGTCAGTGAGCAGAGGTGCCTTAAGCACAAAAGCCTAGTGCCAGGACCCCGCATCCCGCCCACTCTGCACTCGGCCTATCTTGCTGTCGGCCGGCATGGCTAACAGGCGTGGGCCCTATCAGACAGTCCCTGGTGACTGAAGCATGGGCTCCTCTCGGCCCAGGAAAGACGGCTAGGCTGTAATGGATAGCCAGTTTTAATGAACAGAGGATACTGATTGGTATAAAAAGGTGTGTTTGTCACTGAGGTGTCCTCATTTTCTAGATGAGGAGTTGTCTTCTCCATGGTCTTGAACGCCTGCTTCGCCATGGCACCAGCGTCTGGGTGCACGCTGGCTGTCGCCACAGGGCAGGAGCTGCTCATGGAAAGGTGTGTGCCCCTAGTGTGCAGCACTGGTCAGCTTTTCCACATAGTAACAACAGCCTTGTTCTGGGCCTGAGAAGGCCCCCAAAGGTAGACGAAAAGGAACCATGGCCAAATGCCTATCAATCAGCCCGGTACCTAATGTAACCCAGGACCCATGTGAGGGAGGCTGAGCCTTCACCTTTCAGCCCTTCCCTCAGCATGTGGTTCTCAGTTTAGGGCAGAGCTTCTTAAGATTCACTTTCTGGCGTTTAGGGGCCCAGCCCCACCAGCAGTACAGGCCTACACCAGTGTAATTTGAAACGTACAGACGGTGGAAGAGGAAGTCTAGGGAGCTTGGGTCCTTAGACCACCAGGGAGCAGGGAAGGGATGGGAAGGGCTGGGGGGCGGCGGGGGCTCACCTTCCTCTGCTTCCCTGTGGGCTGGGTTCAGAGCTCCTCAGTGTCCTGGCCTCCCAGGTGGGATCAAGCAGGGTGGGTGCAGCTGCAGCGTTCCAGGCAAGAGCTCAAGCTCCAGTACCAGGAACATAAGGGGACATAAGGGCCTCAGGCAAACTAGGGTTACGGGCCACTGCCCCAAGAGTTGAGTGGGCCACAAGCAATCCCCAGTGCCCAGGCGCTTCCCCATGAGAGCCGCCAGCAGGCAACGGTGTGCCAGGCCGGCCTGAGCGGGGCCAGTACACAGTGGGTGCGAGGCTTCTCTCAAATGCGCGCTCCAGCTCATCAGTCTTAGGGCTTCTGAGGCAACCTAGTGGGTCCTGGACTTCTGTTGCTGTGGGGCCTCAAACCTGTTGAGTAGCCACCTCAGATGACCAGAACCCACCTCCAGAGTTCCTATGACCAAAGTTGTCTAGAGCCGCTCCGGACACTGCCAGGGTTGCTACTGACAGGAATGGGGTCCCCAGAGAAAGCCATGCCCACAGGCATCCACCAGCTGCAGACAGGCCCGGCCCCTGCATGGCCTGCCTTGGCTGCACCTTGTACATCCTGGATGGCATCTGCCGGCCACGGGCTGAGTCCCCACACACACAGACTGGCCCTGGAGAGAGCAAGGCAAGCCCCCTAACCTGGGACAAGTGGACACTGAGGACTCCCAGACCCAGCCCTGGGTGGCTCCAGCTTGGGACTGCTCCCTTAAGGCTCGTTCTTGGCCCTCACTCTCCTCCCCTTCCTGGCCCTCATCTGGACCCGCGCTTTCTGCTGCCTTGTGGTCCTCTGCTCCAGCCCTGGGAGGGAACGCGGCTCCCCTGACACTCGAAGCCAGGGAGGCCTCTCTCTTTGCCTGCTGGGCCCGGTGCCGCTCTTCAGTTCTGCCAGGGCTGCTGAGGCGGCACAGGCCAGAGAGGGAGGAACCAGGGCTGAGGGCAGGAACCACAGAGGTGCAGACGCGGGGGCGGGGCACAGGATGGAATGGTGGCAGTGCGAAAGGCGCGGCGGGGGGCGGTGCTGCGGTCAGCACCGGGTGCGGGGATGCGCCACGTGGGCCTGCAGGGCCTCCCGGATGCCGCGCTGCCAGTCTCGAGCCAGCTGCACCGGGGTCACGGAGGCCTGGGAGCAACGGTGTGGGTCAGTCCCTTGCAGGCGCTCCACCCGCCCTCGGGTCAGGAGCCAGGGCTGCGCCCACACTCACCGCGTTCCGCACCCCCAGCTCGGCCCCATAGAGCAGCAGTAGCTTCATGGCTTTGTAGCTGCCGTGCCGCACGGCCTCGTGCAGAGCCGTGTCCCCTTCCTGCTGAGAACGCAGGCAGTCAAGCTTCTGCCTCCGCGTGCTGCCCTCCTCATGCAGGAAGGTCAGGGCTGCTGTCACCGAGCAGACAGCACCTCTGGTCCTGGCTGGGGCTCCTCAGTCCCTGCTCCTCTGGAGCTGTCCGAGCCGGAAAAGACCAAGCGCCTGCCTTACCTTATCCTGTGCGTTCAGGTGGGCGCCACACTCGATGAGGTGCTCCAGGCAGTCGGGGTGCCGGGTGCGCACTGCCACGTGCAGGGGGGTGCTCCCGATCTGAGAGCAAGTGGGGGTCAGTGCTGGGTCTGGATTGGTGAGGCCTCCCTAACCCATGGGACTACGTGCTCTCTTCTCCAGGAACAGCGTCTGCTCCCGTGTTCCCGACAGGCCCCCAAAGCACCGTGCCCCTCACCTTGTCCCGGGCATTGACCCGGGCTCCCTGGTTAAGCAGCTGTTTGAGGATGACCAGATGTCCTCCGCGGCAGGCCCAGAACACAGGTGTCCTGTCCAGCTGCAAAACAAAAGCACCCAAGCACTCAGCTGCTGGGATGTGAAGCTGGGCGTCGACCAGAGGCTGGGCCTTTCCCCATCCTCACCAAGTCTCGCGCGTCCACTGTGGCACCTGCCACCAGCAGCTTGTTCACCAGCTGGCTGTGACCCTTCAGACAGGCCCAGTGCAAGGCGGTGCGGTGGAGCTGAGGGCAGAGATGGAAGATTAGGCAGAGGGAGTGCAGCCACCCCTAGAGACCCCACGCGGTCCCCTTCCCAGGGCCAGGTCCCTGAATGGAATTGCCACTTCCCCCACCACGCGATGGGCCGCTCCCTCTCCTCCGTCTGCAGGTGCCACTGGATTCATGCCCATAAGAGTGAAAATCCCTGCAGCCTCCTAGGCCAGGACTTGAACACACTGAAGGCAGCGCTCCTGCAGCTGCAGCTGCTGCCAGCCGACTCACCCAACCTGTGCTACCTTGTCATGGGCATTGGGGTCCCCTCCGTCTGTCAAGTACTTGTCAATCAGGTACTCCTGGTTCTCAGCAGCTGCCTTCAGGAACATCTCCAGGCCCACAGGCTCCACCTGGGCCTGGGACTGCGGCTGGTTCAGTTGAAGACAAGACCAAATCACTCCCGAAGGCCGCAGGTGCCCAAGATGTCACAGCTTCACCAGTCTGGCCCACGGGTCCCATGCAGCCCACCAAGGAACACTGCTGGCTCGTACTAATGCAGTTTCTTATTCTAATCCCACGCCAGGAGATTGAATAGACTGTGTGTGTGTGAGCGTGTGTGTTATGGATTGACTTGTATCTCCCCAAGATTCGTATGAAGTACTAACCCCAGGTACCTCAGAATGTGACCTTATTTGGAAACAGAGTCACTGAGGATGTAATTAGTTAAGATGAGGTCACACCGGCGTATGGTGGGCCCCTCACCAATATGACTTGTGTTAAAGTGGGCTCTAATCCAATGTGACTGATGTCCTTATGAAAGGGGACACGTGGGCCGGATGCGGTGGCTCATGCCTGTAATCCCAGCACTTTGGGAGGCTGAGGCGGGCAGACCACAAGGACAGGAGATTGAGACCATCCTGGCTAACACGGTGAAACCCCATCTCTACTAAAAATACAAAAAAAAATTAGCCGGGCGTGGTGGCGGGTGCCTGTGGTCCCAGCTACTCGGGAGGCTGAGGCAGGAGAATGGCATGAACCCGGGAGGCAGAGCTTGCAGTAATCCGAGATCGTGCCACTGCTCTCCAGCCTGGGCAACAGAGCGAGACTCCGTCTCAAAAAAAAAAAAAAAAAAAAAAAAAAAGTTGGGGGAGACACATGGACACAGGCATGCACACAGGCAGAACGCCCAGCAAACATGAAGGCAATAGTTGGGTGATACATCTACAAGCCAAGGAACGCCAAAGATCACCAGCATCCACCAGAAGCCGGAGAGGCATGAAGGGATTCTCCCTCACCACCCTCAGAGGGAACCAGCCTCGCCAACACCTTCCTGTTAGCCTTCCAGCCCCCAGGACAGCGAGGTGACACATGCCTGCTGTTGAGGCTGTCCAGGCTGTGGGACTTTGTTATGGCAGCCCTGGCGGACACATCCGCGGGGGCTCTGGAGTGGATTTAATGGGCTCCCCAGGCACTGGCTGTGTGGTCCTGGCCTGCAGTGCCCACTCTGCCCCAAGCCCTTCCTCTGGAACTGGAGCCCTGGTGTGTGCACTGCCCTAACCCCGACCTCCCACTCACCTTAACCAGGGGCTCAGGTTTCCTGGGGGGGACTCTGTGTCTCAGTCGCTTTTTCCGTCTTTGAACCAAGTTTTCCAAGTCAGCCAGGTTATCCAGATTAAATCTGGTACTGTTAAATCTTTCAAGCTGGGGCAGAAGACAAGACCATGCCAGCCATCAGCCGCTGGTCAAGAGATCTCTCTGCCCTGCCGACAGGAGACACCAGCTGCTCAGGCTGCCCCACCAGAGTCCCTCCAGGCCTCACTGCTCAGCCGGCCTCAGGGATTAGCCACTGCCCCCAACCCCGGCCCCCGCCCCTCTCTCACTTTCTTCTTCTTCTCTTCTTCCAATTTCAGCTTCTCCCGGGCCACAGCCTCTTGGGGGCCCCTCCTCCAGTCACTAGGCCAGGCTCCAGGGTCAGGAACTCCATGTCCAAATCCCAACACTTTCCCTTCAACTCTTTCTCCACTTACCTGTAGGAACAGGATATGAGTACTGAGTTGGGAAAATTGGAGGAACCCTTAGAAAACAGAGCTGTGGAGTAGCAGGGAGCTGTCTTATAAGGGCAGATGTCACAAGGCTGGTGCCCGGGATGGGAGCCGGCCTCAAAGCTCCTGCAGTCCAGAGTGCTGGCAAGCTCCCTCACCCTGTGGGTGCTGCAGGCTCCGCAACTGTGTCATCAGCTGACACCCAGGGGGACAACGGATCCCCGCCTACCCTGCTCCTGTCAGCAGGAACACAGCTGGGGGGACATGAGGCCACAACCTATTTATACTGCTGGGCATTTGCCCAGGTAGCCTCAGGGCAGATGACACCTTAGCTTCCCCCATGTTGTTAAGATTCCTACCAGATCATACTGACTGCCACCTGACTCCAAGCTCAGAGGGACAGAGAAGTCCCCCCGGGGTAAAATTCTAAATGCCTGGGTTCAGTTCTCGGCTCCTTTTGAAGCTACATTTAAGCTCAAACACTTAAGGCAATTGCCTAAAGGAGTTGTGAAGGTTATGAGTTATTGGGACCTGTGCCTGGGGCAAAGCCTCCGTAGCAAACACCCATGCTTCCTCCCACCGGGCCCCACCTCAGGAGTTCAGGAGCTGGGGAGCACTGAGGAATCAGCCTGTTGTGGGGAAAGAACAGGGTGGAATGATAGGGTAACAGATCCTAGGACTTTCTAGTCAGGTAGAACCATATTCCTTCTAAAGAACTCTAGCAACCTAACACCTCCCTGCCATTTGCCTCCCGCCAGAGGCTGCACCAGGCTGGGGCCAGCAGCCCACAGATGGGCTTGCTGGGCCTCACACCCTCCAGGCCCCTCGTCACTCAAACCGACATCCCTAAGAGTCACTGTTTCCCTCACTGCCCAGGGAGCGAAAGAGCACCCTTCCCTATCCCCAAGGCAGCCAGGACCTCTGGCCATTTCCAGAGCAACAACTATCATGGTGCTTAAGCTGAACTACAACCACCACAGCCACACTTGCATCTTCCAAAGTAACCTGCCATTTCCTGTTCCTCTTTCACCATCACTATCCAGGGCAAAACTCACTGAACTCAAGGATTTTCATGTCTTCTTTCCCATTCGACTTCCCTCTCTTGCTCCCTAACCCCCTCACCACCTCACATGAGAACCGAGCAGACACACCAGAAAGAACCGCACGCTCAGCCGGGTGTGGGGGTACACGCCTGGAGTCCCAGCTACTTGGGAGGCCCAGGTGGGAGGATCACTTGAGCGTGGGACTTCAAGGCCAGGCTGGGCAACACAGCAAGACTCCGTTTCAAAAAATACAGATTTTTATAAAAGAACTGCATGCTTCCCTGCACCTAAGACTTGACCCTCACACCACAGAAAGAAGCTGCCAGCCCTCTCTAGCCAGCCTCCTCCTATCAAGCCGGTCCCAGGGTGCCTCCCACCTCCGTCCCACATCCTTACCAACTGCTGAATGCTGATGAAGTCCATGGTCCCCCCTGTTCCTCACACCCCCCAGTGAGAAGAGCTGAACTGCTCAGCCCTTTATAGGAGCGCCTGGAGACGGGCAGGGGTGGACAGGGAAGGACTGGCGCAGGTGCAAGCCCCTGGGCCAGATGACTCTGGGACTCTGTCACACCAACTAAAATACCAGTCTGGGAATGCAGCCCACTGGGGAAAAGAAAAGGAGCTGTTTGGAGATGAGTTGGCTGCATCCTCGGACACCCACTCCTGCACCTCTGCCATGCCCCACACCTACTCAGGGGCCATTTAACCAACACACTGCTAGCCCAGATTCGGGTGAAACGTGTTCCCCTCTCCTAAGTTTAGATGCCACTCCTGAAGAAAGCCCAGCCTGGGCCTCCATGTTGTAGGGCCGGCTGCCTGTGAACCTGAAAGCCCAGCCTAGGTGGCTGAGCAAGGAGGCTGGAAGCCTGAGGGGGTGGTCGGGAGGGGCAGGAGCGGCCAGCCTACAGCCTCAGCCCTCATGGTGGCCACGTGAGGAAACCGTGATCTCCCAACTTGCAGTTTCAAGGCTGCCCTTCCCTTCCCTGTGCTGTGGGTTTCTCGCCCCCGGGCTCCCCCGCTCCTCCCTCAGTGCTCTGAGAGCACATGGCAGCTGCCCCAGCCCCGAAGCCAAGCCTGGCGCCTGTCCTCGGGCCTCTGGAAGTCCTCCCCGCCCCTCTACAAGCCCCTACCAGACGCTCTCCAGGGACGGAGTGTGCCCCTCCAGCCACAGGAAAGGGGAGACTGATCCGCGTCAGGTCCCGGGATGGAATAGTAACCATGAAATCCAGCCGCAGAGCAATGTGTCTCAAGCCATCAGTCACCCTTCCTAATTCTCAGGAAGCCAGGCATGCCCTTCACCCAGCTGAACCTTGAACTCCGCCTTGGCCTTTGCAAGGAAATCAGCCAGTAAATAAGACCCCAAAATCGGAGCAACCTGAGAAGACATGACCAGGGTACAAGGAGGGAGAACTGTGGCCAAGGATGGCCACAGGCCCCAGATGGCTCCCCAGCTCCCAAAGAACTGGCCTCTTGGAAGGGCTTCCACATTTTCAGAGAACTCAGGAAAAGGCAGAGCTTTCTTAGAAAACTCAGTTCTTGGCCCGGCAACAGTGAGACTCCGTCTAAAAAAAAAAAAAAAAAAAAGTTTTCTTTTTTTTTTTAATTTTTTGAGACGGAATCTCGCTCTGTGGCCTGGGCTAGAGTGCAGTGGCGCGATCTCAGCTCACTGCAACCTCCACCTCCCGGGTTCAAGCAATTCTCCTGCCTCAGCCTCCCGAGTAGCTGGGATTACAGGCACCTGCCACTATGCCCAGCTAATTTTTTATATTTTTAGTAGAGACGGTGTTTCACCATGTTGGCCAGGCTGGTCCTGAACTCCTGACCTTGTGATTCACCCGCCTCAGCCTCCCAGAGTGCTGGGATTACAGGCTTGTGCTATCGCGCCCAGCTGAAAACTTAGTTCTTAGGCTAAATTTAGGGTGCTTTTTTCAGACAAAGGTGTTCCTTGCTTTTTTTTTTTTTTTTCTTTTTGAGATGGAGTTTCACTCTTGGTGCCCAGGCTGGAGTGCAATGGCGCGATCTTGGCTCACCGCAACCTCCACCTCCCCGGTTCAAGTGATTCTCCTGCCTCAGCCTCCCGAGTAGCTGGGGTTACAGGCACGTGCCATCACCCTGGCTAATTTTGTATTTTTAGTAGAGATGGGGCTTCTCCATGTTGGTCAAGCTGGTCTCAAACTCCTGACCTCAGGTGACACCCAGCCTGTTCCTTGCTTTTGGTTATGAGGAGGGAAAGAGTCATCTAAAATGAGGGCAAAGGGGCCGGGCGTGGTGGCTCACACCTGTAATCCCAGTACTTTGGGAGGCTGAGGTGGGCAGATCACCTGAGGTCAAGAGTTCGAGACCAGCCTGGCCAACATGGTGAAACCCCGTCTCTACTAAAAATATAAAAATTAGCCAGGCACCTGTAGTCCCAGCTACTTGGGAGGCTGAGGCACAAGAATCACTTGATCCCTGGAGGTAGAGGTTGTGGTGAGCCAAAATCGCACCACTGCACTCCAGCCCGATGACAGAGCGGGACTCGGTCTCAAAAAAAAAAAAAATAAAATGAGTGCAAAGAAACAAGAAAAAGTAAGACTGGCCACCACTGTCCACTCCAACTCACAAACACCCCTCAGCACGTGGCACTGGAGGAGCGGCGTTTTGCACCCCCAGGCTTCAGGGAAGTTCTCAATAGAAAACCCATTAGTTGTCTCATATGACTGGTATTAACTCTGACTTAAAAAAAAAAATCAAGCCAGAAACAGTGTGTTGAGCAAGAAAGGAAAAAAGATTCCTTATTAAAAGTTCAAACATAAACAGAAGGCTCAGGACCTCCTTGACTACCTCTCTTGCCACGTGGCCCAGGAGAAACCATGGCTGGCAGTTTAACAGCCACCCTCCTGCTTCTGCTCTGTGCATTTTGTGGATGCACATCCACGTTTTTCTTTTCTTTTGAGACAGGGTCTCACTCTGTTGCCCAGGCTGGAATGCAATGGCGCGATCTCGGCTCACTGCAACCTCCACCTCCCGGGTTCAAGCGATTCCCCTGCCTCAGCCTCCAGAGTAGCTGGGATTAGAGGCACCTGCCACCACATACGGCTAATTTTTGTATTTTTAGTAGAGACAGGGTTTTACTGTGTTAGCCAGGATGGTCTCGAACTCCTGACCTTAGGTGATCCTCCCACCTCGGCCTCCCAAAGTGCTGGGCTTACAGGCGTGAGCCACTGCTCCTGGCCTACATCCACGTATAGATCCATACATTTATACATGATCTTAGCCAAAAGGCTGAGAGGCAATCACATTCTACAGGCATGTTCTGTGTGAAGGGGGTCCCACTGTGGACACGAGCAGCAATATCCTGTCAGCACGCTGCGCTCTGCTGTGCAGCCGAGAACTTGGATCTGCAGAACTCAACCACTCCCTATCAGGGAGGAGTCGGTTCTCTCTTTTTTTTTAACATTACTCCCCATGCTCCAATGCACATATTTGTAAATGCTCCTGTAAATAAACATCTTTGTAACCATGGAAGAACATCTCTCTACATAGCTACAGAGAAATCAAATTATTGGTTCTGCTCATTTAAATTTAAATAGATACTGTCAAACTGCCATCTACAGTAGCTGTACCAATTCCCATGAATGGATATCAAGAAACAAAGACAGCACTTTGGGAGGCCGAGGCGGGTGGATCACGAGGTCAGGAGATTGAGACCATCCTGGCTAACACGGAGAAACACCGTCTCTACTAAAAATACAAAAAATTAGCCGGGCCTGGTGGTGGGTGCCTGTAGTCCCAGCTACTCGGGAGGCTGAGGCAGGAGAATGGCGTGAACCTGGGAGGCGGAGCTTGCAGTGAGCCGAGATCACGTCATTGCACTCCAGCCTGGGTGACAGAGCGAGACTGCGTCTCAAAAAAAAAAAAAAAAAAAAGAAAGAATAAAAGAAAGAGCATAAAAGAAAAAAAGGGAAAAAATTAAATGTACATATATAGAACAAAGGATCAGGATCTAGAATATCAACACTCCTATGAATCAATAAGAAGTGTTTCTAAAATCGGCATGGGTAGGCAGCTCACAGAAGACACAGGTGCTCAACCTCACTAGTAACCAGCAATGAAAAACGAAACAGATGAAACAGCACTTTTCTCCCATCGGACCGTTGCAATCAATGAAATCATGGTATGCGCAAAGTGCTGATGAGGAGCTCGGGAAGCGGGCCTCCCTCAGGCTGCTTGCCACGTGCCAGGCACTCTCTCGAGGGCTCTCCCAGTGCACACTGACCTCCTCCCACAATGACTCTGAGGCGGGCCCTATGATAACCACTCTCATTACAGAAGAGGAAATGGAGGGGCAGACAGCTAAAGTGACTTTTACCAAGGGCATTCAGCTAGAAAGCAGCTTCTCACATAGTCCCTACTTTCTTCTAATACTTACATAGTTTTGTGTTTTTATATTTAGATCTTTAATCTTGCAATTTATCTTTGGGTGTGGGATGAGGTAAGGATATAACTTTATTTTTTTCCAAATAAATAGATGTCTCATATGAACTAATTTAGAATATGATCATCTGTCCAGTCTTAAACACTTTTAGCCACACCAAATCTACTCCCTCGCTTCCACAGTGACCAGACTGGGGCTCTTCCTGGGTGGTCTGGCCTCAGTTCCCTGCCCAGCAGCATGGATGCTGACCAAGGCAGGGGCTTGGAGAACTGGTCTGTGTACCCTTTAAAGGCAGCTGGAGATAGGGTGGCGGCTCAGCTGGATAGCAGGTCCCGCAGGTCACTGTTGCAAGGCAGCAGGTCACATGCTAGCCGTGCCTTTCGGTCCCGGATGGCCTTCAGGGCTGGGCTGTGTTGCAGGAGGAGGGAGCAGATGTCCCCGTGACCCCTCTCAGCAGCCTGTGGAGAGAAAGGCTGGAATCAAAGGGCATACCCCCCCACTGGGCTCTGCTCTCTCTTGTTCCACTTTCAGTGGTTCTTCCTTCTAAAAAAGAGGCCTCTCTGGGCGCAGTGGCTCACGCCTGTAATCTCAGCACTTTGGGAGGCCAAGGCAGGCGGATCACAAGGTCAAGAGTTCAAGACCAGCCTGACATGGTGAAACCCCATCTCTACTAAAAATACAAAAATTAGCCAAGTGTGGTGGCACGTGCCTGTAATCCCAGCTACTCAGGAGGCTGAGACAGGAATATCGCTTGAACCCGGGAGGCGGAGGTTGCAGTGAGCTGAGATCATGCCATTACACTCCAGCCTGGGCGACAGAGCGAGACTCCAACTCAAAAAAAAAAGAGGCCTCATGGAAATAGACACAGCTGTTTGAGTAGATTTCTTCTAATTCCTACCAAATCCCAGTGACTTTATTCTGATTTGTGGAGTATCCCAGTGCCATTCTCGCAGTTAGCTTGAGTTTTTCTTTCTTGTGTCCTTTGCCAACTGTCTTTGGCCAGACCTACACATTAAAAACAAGTACAGCACCTTGTATCTCCAGGCATCTCTCACAAACCTGCACACATCACCTAGAGGGTGCTGTGCACTGTGGGCACAGGAGGCACCAGACACGGCCCCTACCCATTGGGAATTTTATTTATTTATTTTCTTATATTTTTAAATTTTTATCATTGCATTTTAGAGACAGGGTCTCACTCTGTTGCCCAGGCTGGAGTTCAGTAGTGCAATTATAGCTCACTGCAGTCTGCAATTCCTGGGCTCAAGCGATCCTCCTGCCTCAGCCTCCCAAGTAGCTGAGATTGCAGGCGTGCACCACTACACGTGGCTAACCTTTTTTTAAAAAATAATTTATTTTGAATTTTTAAAAATAGAGACAGGGCTGGGTGCAGTGGCTTATGCCTGTAATCCCAGCACTTTGGGAGACTGAGGTGGGCAGATCACTTGGGGTCAGGAGTTCGAGACCAGCCTGGCCAACATGGTGAAACCTCATCTCTACTAAAAATACAAAAATTAGCCAGGCGTGGTGGCATGTGCTTGTAATCCCCGCTACTCGGGAGGCTGAGGCACGAGAATCGCTTGAACCTGGGAGGCAGAGGTTGCAGTGAGCCGAGATCGCGCCACTGCACTCCAGCCTGGGGGACAGAGCGAGACTCCATCTCAAAAAATAAAAATAAAAAAAAATAAGAGACAGGGTCTTGCCATGTTGCCCAGGCTGGTCTCGAGCTCCTGAACTCAAGCTATCCTCCCACCTTGGCCTCCCAAAGTGCTGGGATTATAGGCATGAGCCAAAGTGCCTGGCCAGGAAACTTTTAGATTGGCAGGGAAAGACTGGGGCCTAGTTCCCTGTGTTCTCTTCTTCTCTTTTAAGGTAGGAGACCCCAATCCAGATGTCAATTTCTAACCTACCTCCCCCCAAAAATAATAGAGTTAAGTGATTTACATAGACTATCTTATTTAACTTTCAAAATAGCCCTCACAGGCAAGAATCATCATTATTCCCATTTTACAGATGAAGAAATGCAGGCTTAATAAATGCCTTGCCCAAAGTCACAGGGCTAACGTGTCCACCTGGGATTCTAAACCAGGTTTGCCTGAACTCTTATTAACTCTGTGAACCACTATTATTTCCTACTCCTCCCAACAGACAAATTGATAGACTATAGGGCTTTTGAGAGGTATCAAAATTAACACTAGTGGCAACCACTATCCCAAATTGGAATCCAAATCTTTACTCAGCTGGTCCTCCTAATGAGTACAGACACAAAGCTCTCAATTCCACTGCCTTAATTCAGGCAGTGGGATGTTGTCAGCAGTTGTGAGATGCATCCCAAATAATTTTTACAAAAAATAAAATACCAGTGTTTGCAAATAGTTTTAAAAGACACATACGCAGGCCAGGTGCGGTGGCTCACGCCTGTAATCCCAGAACTTTGGGAGGCCGAGGGAGGGGGGATCACCTGAGGTCAGGAGTTCGAGACCAGCCTAGCCAACATGGTGAAACTGTCTCTACTAAAAATACAAAAAATTAGCCAGGCGTGGTGGTGCGTGCCTGTAATCCCAGCTACTTGGGAGGCTGAGGCAGGAGAATCGTCTGAACCCAGGAGGCAGAGGTTGCAGTGAGCTGAGATTGTGCCACTGCACTCCAGCCTGGGCAACAGAGCGAGACTCTATCTAAAAAAACAAAACAAAACAAAAAAAAAAACAAAAACATACACAATAAAGAAAAATTCACATATCTCACATTTGCATTATCTGCATGAGAGAAAAAGGGATGGAGATGCACCTAACTATGGGTAACACCAGCCAGGTATACCCACAACAGCATCCTGGCTGTTTATATCTGTCATGTGAGTTGTAGCAGTAAAACGTCTGAGCAACACCATTAAAAATAAACAATCTGTCTATCCAATTGGCAATGATTTCTTTAAAAACCCAACATTTAGCTGTTCACTCAGCACGTATTCACTGGGCACCTATGCCCTATGCTAAGTGCTAAGGCTGCAATGTTTTTTTGGGTTTTTTTGAGACGGAATATCTGTGTCACCCAGGCTGGAGCCCAGTGGTGTGATCTCAGTTCACTGGAGCCTCCACCTCCTGGATTCAAGCGATTCTCGTGCCTCAGTCTCCTGAGTAGCTGGAATTACAGGTGTGTGCCACCACACCTGGCTTTTGTTTTTTTTTTTGAGACAGAGTTTCGCTCTTGTTGCCCAGGCTGGAGTGCAATGGCGCGGTCTCGGCTCACAGCAACCTCTACCTCCCAGGTTCAAGTGATTCTCCTGCCTCAGCCTCCTGAGTAGCTGTGATTACAGGTACGTGCTACCACGCCCGCCTAATTTTGTATTTTTAGTAGAGACGGGGTTTCTCCATGTTGGTCAGGCTGGTCTTGAACTCCCGACCTCACGTGATCTGCCCGCCTCAGCCTCCCAAAGTGCTGGGGTTACAGGCATGAGCCACCACACCCGGCCTAATTTTTGTATTGTTAGTAGAGATGGGTTTTGCCATGTTGCCCAGCCTGGTCTCGAACTCCTGGACTCAAGCAATTAGCCTGCCTTGGCCTCCCAAAGGGCTGGGATTACAGGTGTGAGCCTTTGTGCCCAGCCAGGCTGCAACAATTTGAACAGGACAAAGCCCCAGCTGTCTCTACTGAGATACGCAGACCCCAAACAGGGAATTTCCAGGGGTACAGGAATTAGGAAAAGTTGAGTCCATGGCATACAGCTAGGCATACATCCAGGTGAGCTCACCATGTCTAGGGATCAGGAAAGGCTCTCGTGGGGTGTGATGTGTAAGCTGAGATCCAGAAGAAAGGGTAGAAACAAGCCACATAAAAAACGGGAGGGGAGAGGCACCCAGACAGGGGCTAACTTGTTAAATATGGCTCTGGGGGGACAGAGTAGTAGGTTCAAGAAAATTAAAATGGCTGGATGTGGTAGCTCATGCCTGTAATCCCAGCACTTTGGGAGGATTGCTTGGGCCCAGGTGTCGAGACGATAGTGAGAGACCCTGTCTCTACTACTACTACTAATAATTTTAAAAGCCTGGGCAATGTGGTGAAGCTGTTTTTAGAAAAATTAGCCAGGCATGGTGGCATGCACCTGTAGTCCCAGCTACTTGGGAGGCTGAGGTAGGAGCATTGCTTGAGCCCAGGAGGTCGAGGCTACAAGTGAGCTGTGATTGTGCAAGTGTACTCTAGCCTGGGTGAAAAAGTGAGACCCTGTCTCAAAAATAAAATAAAATAAAATAAATTAGCTGGTCATGGTGGTGCAGGCATGTATAGTCCCAGCTACTCAGGAGGCTGAGGTGGGAAGATCACTCAAGCCCAGGAAGTCGGGGCTGCAGTGAGTTATAATCATGCCACTGTACTCCAACCTGGGTGACAGAGTGAGACCCTGTCTCAAAAAAAAAAAAAAAAAAAAAGAGAAGAAAAAAGAAAAATTATTAGTAGGGCCTCTGAGTGTAAGAGACCAGGGGACAAGAGCTCAGGAGAAAACTGGAGGGGTGGGGAAAAAAGACAAAAAAGACAAAAAAAAAAAAAAAAAACCTGGAGAAGGGGGCAGGAGCAAACCCCAGGAAACCTTCACAATAACTCATGGACCTGGAAAAAGCAAGCCTCAAGGACTCCAAGTGGGGGCGTGGCATGATCAGAACTGCTTTAAACAATCGCTCCAGGAGAAAATCAAAGAAGGGGCAAGAGGGGACTAGATTTACACATGATTTACACACATATATGATTTATACACATATGCCACATATGCATAGACCGCCTCTCAAAGGTGCCTGCAAACTCAGTAAAGTGGCCGAGCAGGGTAGCTCACACCCGTAATCTCAGCACTTAGGGAGGCAGAGGCAGGAGGATCAATTGAGCCCAGGAGTTTGAGACCAGCCTGGGCAACACAGTGAGACCCCATTCCCCACAAAAAAGGAAAAGCAATCGGTAAAGTGAACACCTCAAAGGACGGGCCTAGAAGGCTGAGGGATGAGGAGCTGGGTGGGAGGGAAACTCGCTTTCATGGCATGCCCTTGTAGACTCTTCAGATTGTTTACCATGTGCAGGTATTTCCAGCTAGAAAGAGTTTAATTAAATGATCACTCCGGCTAACATATAGCAAGTGGACTACAGGAACAGGCAAGAGTATGTATAAGTTTCAGAAAACTATATGGAAAAGGCTTCATGACATGTCTCTAAGGGAAAGAAAACTAAAGTGCCACTGTACATTTTAATTTACACGCTCAGAAAAAAGGCTGGAGAATTACCCATTAGTCCTAAAGTGATGACAGGTGAGCAAGGGAATTACAAATGATTTTAACTGTCTTCTCTCTGATTTCCTGTTTTCCCCATGTTTTCTACATGAACATGTTATAACTTTAAAAATAAGGAAACGACATTTTTGGAAGGGGGAACGGGCCCACCTTATGCAGACTGGTCATGCCGTCGTCATCCACCACCCTGGGGTTGGACCCATGTGATAGCAGGAGCCGCGCGATTTCAGTGTGCCCGCAGTAGCTGGCTCGGTGCAGAGCAGTGGCACCCCCGTGGGTCTGGGCATCACACTTAGCTCCGCTTTCCAGCAGGAACTGGCACACAGCGTAGTGCCCATTGCGGCTGGCATAGTGCTGCAGGGAACAGAGACCGAGGTCAGATGGGAGAAGCCAGGCAGGTGACAAGGGTGGTATAGAGGTGAGAGCATGGCCTCCCTGCAGCGAGGGGCCTGGAATCATCTCAGGTGCCAACCCCAGCAGTCGTGTGACCTGGGCAAGCTTCTGCGTGACTAACCTGAGTTTGTTCAATTGAAAAATGGGGAAAATGATCATTCCTATCTCAAAGAATTGTTACGAAAATAAAACTAAATCATTGGCTGGGCGCAGTGGCTCATGCCTGTAATC
The DNA here is from genome assembly GCF_000001405.40 of Homo sapiens. Taxonomy (NCBI): domain Eukaryota; kingdom Metazoa; phylum Chordata; class Mammalia; order Primates; family Hominidae; genus Homo; species Homo sapiens. The sequence continues at coordinate 96,853,875 of NC_000002.12, forward strand.
CCAGCACTTTGGGAGGCCGAGGCAGGCGGATCACCTGAAGTCAGGAGTTCGAGACCAGCCTGGTCAACATGGTGAAAACCCATCTCTACTAAAAATACAAAAATTAGCTGGGTGTGGTGGCACATGCCTGTAGTCTCAGCTACTCAGGAGGCTGAGGCAGGAGAATCGCTTGAACCTGGGAGGCGGAGGTTGCAGTGAGCTGAGATCGCATCACTGCACTCCAGCCTGGGTAACAGAGCAAGACTTCATCTCAAAACAAAACAAAACCTAAATTATTGATGTAAAGGTCTCACACTAATTTAAAAAATCCAGGTTCATATGATGCTTAAAAAGAGAAATTTTGCTGGAAGAGAAGAAAGGGAGGGAGGAGGTAAAAGGTAACCATCAGTCCCCCTCCTCAGAGAGCAGGTGTCTCCTGAGTTAACGCTTCTGTCTCCTGACCCTGTGCTCCTCCCTAGCTCACCAGCGCAGTGTAGCCGGCCGAGTCGGGCTGACTTGGGTCCTCGGCCTTCTGGATTAAATGCTTCACTCGGCCCAGGTCTCCATTCAGGGCTGCCGACCAGATTCCTGCAGAAAGGCAACCAAAGGACTGAATGATGCTGAATGGGAGTTTCAGTGCTTGCTTTGCCTCTTGACCTCAGTTTTCTTGTCTATAAAGTGAAGAATATTCATTCCTTCAACAAATATCAACCGAGCACCTCCTCTGTGTCAAGGTTTGTTCTGAATGCTGGTGACTTAGCTGTGAACAAGACAGATGGGCACATCTCATCAGGACAGTAGGACTGGGCGGACACAGACATCTCCATCCCACTTCAAACACAGAAGTGCTGGATGAAGTAATGTTTAAAATGTTTGGATCTAGAGTGAAATTCAGGTCGGGCTGGGATTACAGGCGCCCACCACCATGCCCAGCAAATTTTTCTATTTTTAGTAGAGACAGGGTTTCACCATGTTGGTCAGGCTGGCCTTGAACTCCTGACCTCAAGTGATCCATTTGCCTTGGCCTCCCAAAGTGCTGGGATTACAGGCGTGAGCCACCGTGCCCAGCCAGAAACAACTTTTAAAAAATATAATGATGCCTCCAGAAGGCTGCCAAGGCAGTGTGACAATCTCCCACAGAAGAGGATCTCCCTGGTGAGCACAAAGACTGAAAGTTGCAAAACAAGAAGCAATCTGCTGCCCTAAGAGACAATCAGCAAATATAGGTGAGATGAGGGGAGTTCGGGGAGTTCAGGGTGGCATGGCGACAGACAACAACTAGCAAATACAAGTGGGAACACGCATGCCTCCAAAGTGAGCCATTATTGCACAATCCAAAAAAGACCTTAAAACAACAACATTGAAGGTGTTCACAGAGACAAAGGGATAGAATCCACAAATCAACAGAACATTAGGAAAAACAAAACAGCCAGATCTGAAACAGGAAAGTTGATAAATTAAAAAACAGACTCATTGAAACAAAACAACAACAATAGATGGGTCAAAGAGTACTGCAGACCTAGTCAAAGAGAATTAGTGATTTGGAATTCACCCAAAATGTAGTACAAAATGATAAATAGAAAAATATTGGCCAGGCGCAGTGGCTCACGCCTGTAATCCCAGCACTTTGGGAGGCCGAGGCGGGTGGATCACGAGGTCAGGAGATCGAGACCATCCTGGCTAACAGAGTAAAACCCCGTCTCTACTAAAAATACAAAAATTAGCTGGGCTTGGTGGCACGCGCCTGTAGTCCCAGCTACTCAGGGGGCTGAGGCAGAAGAATCGCGTGAACCCAGGAGGCAGAGGTTGCCGTGAGCCAAGATCGCACCACTGCACTCCAGCCTGGGCGACAGAGCGAGACTCCGTCTCAAAAAAAAAAAAAAAGATATATTACTGTGCGGATCACGAGGTCAGGAGATCAAGACCATCCTGGCTAACATGGTGAAACCTCATCTCTACTAAAAATACAAAACAAAATTAGCCGGGCATGGTGGCGGGCGCCTGTAGTCCCAGCTACTTGGGAGGCTGAGGCAGGAGAATGGCGTGAACCTGGGAGGTGGAGCTTGCAGTGAGCCGAGATTGCGCCACTAAAGCCTGGGGACAGAGCCAGACTCCGACTCAACAACAACAACAACAACAAAACAACAACAACAACAACAAAGAGTTACTGTAGTGAAGCGGATTAACAAATCTCACAGTTTCTTTTATTTGTGACAACAGTAGCTAAAACTGGCTTATCAAATACACTCTTCCCATTAATGTTTTAAAGAATGTATTTGTTTGCACAAAAAAATGAGGAAATTGTTTGCGGTAAAAATTGTTTTTTATGAAAGCAAGATGCCGGGTGCGGTGGCTCACGCCTGTAATCCTAGCACTTTGGGAGGTCAAAGCGGGCAGATCATGAGGTCAGGAGTTCCGAGATCAGCCTGACCAATATGGTGAAACCCCGGTCTCTACTAAAAATACAAAAACTAGCCGGGCGTCGTGGCACACGCCTGTAATCTCAGCTACTCAGGAGAATAGGAGAATCGCTTGAACCCAGGAGGCGGAGGCTGCAGTGAGCCGAGATTGCGCTACTGCACGCCAGCCTGGACAAAAGAGGGAGACTCCATCTCAAAAAAAAAAAAAAAAAAAGCAAGATGATGGATACATCAGAGTAACTGGCCTAACTTTGGATAAGGCAATGTTTACTTCTTAACAGCACAATTGACACTTACGGGCCGGATGATTATTGTAGCGAGCTGTCCTGTGCATTGTACCATGTATACAGCATCTCTCATCTCTACCTACTACACGCCTGTAGCACCCTCCTGATTGTGACAACCCAAAATGTCTCCAGATATTCAAAGTCCCTTAAAGGGCAGAACTGCCCCCAGTTGAGAACTGGGGTGTTTAGGGAGGGTCTCTGAGGAGATGACATTGGAGCTGGGATCTGAAGAAAAGCATCAGCTAGCTTAACGGTTGTAGGAAGTTCATTCTAAGGAGATGGGACAGCAAGTCCAACGGCCTTAACTCAGGAAAAGGTCTTGCATATTTGAGACACCAAAACAAGACCAGTGTGGCTGCGGCGTAGTGATTGGGGGAAGAAAAGCATGAGAAATAAAATGAGGAGGAGAAGTAGAACCGGCAGGGGTGGGTCTACAGAGCTTTGTAGGCCATAACAGGGAATGATGTGATTTCTAATTTTCAAAAAGCCGCTCTGGCTGCTATGTGAGAGTAGAAAACCCTGTAGGAAGGCAAGCGTGGAAGCAGAAAGACCCTCTGAGGCAACCACTTCAGCAGTGCAGAGGACAGCGGTAGGAGGGGCGGAGGGAAGTAGGCAGGTGCCAGAACCACGGTAAAGGAAGAGTTCCATGAGAATGCTTACACAGCAGTGGCAATCGAGGGCTGCATCCGCAAGGGCAGATGACACAGCACAGTGGTTCCCAACGCTCACAAGAAGCACCCTGGTTTCCCGCCTTCCTCTGTTCCTATTGGCACCATAATCTCTGTATAATCTGGGCCAAACGTGTTACCTCTCTGGGTCCCACAGATGAGATACTGTGCCCTGCCTCGAAGGCTGCCCGTGCGAAGCTCTTGCCATCTTTAAAGCATGCAGGCTGCCTGGCACCCGGGGCTAAACAAAGGCCACTGCTCTCCTTCACCGCGCAGCCCCCAGGCCTGCAGCTCCATGCCCCTCAGGTTGGGTGCAATGCCCCTGGTGCAGATTCTGCTCCCCGGGCCCTCTCTCAAACACCTGAGCAGGCTTGTGTCTCCCAGGGGAGGTCGTCCCCCGCTACTCGGGAGGGTTACGGAAACCAGTGCTTCCGCTTCCCCGCCGCCCGCGGGACAGGTGTCTCCTGGCCGAGCTCGTGCGGGGCCCTGGGAGGCTCTCAGTACACGGGAACCGTGGGTCCCGCCCGCCTTCCCGCACCAGGCCCCAAGCCCCAAGCCCCAAGCTCTCGGGGCCCCGTTCATCCGCCTCTCCTTGGCCCCACGCCTCCTCCTTGGGCCGGGGCCTGGTGAGAACCACGAGGGCCGCGCGGCAGCCTCACCCCTCTCGAAGTCCATCTCCTCCAGCGTCTGCTGTACGCCGAGCACCGCGCTGGGATGCGAGCAGCAGGGCCCGTCCGCGCAGGGCCGAGGCGTCGCCATCCCGGCCCCGGCGTCAGTCGATCCGCCCCGGGTCTCAGGCTCAGCCTCGGCGGGAGGGGCGGACGCAGGGCCCGCCCCGCGTCCCTGATCTGGCCGCTCGGCGTCCGCGGCTGTCGCCCTAGTCCCGCCTTCTCGCCAAAGCTGACCAATCAAACGCCTAGGCCTTAGCTCGAGAACCAATTGCAACGGTAGGGCGGGGCTTGTTGCGCCCGGCCGTGCCCCGAGGCCTCCGCGCGAGGGCGTCCAAGGCCAAGCGAGGACTGAGGCGCTGGGTTCCGGGAGCCGCGCGCCGCTGGAGGGCCGCCGGGCCGCCTGGCCTTGCAGGGTGTGGGGATGAGGCAGCTGGGTCCGGTCGGGAGCTTTCCCGTTACCTTCGCCATGACCCAGCCGTCCAGCGACCTCGCAGCCTCCTCTCTTTACCGCCCCTAGTCCCTAGGGCAGGGAGGCGCCACGCGCTCCGCGGTCTTTTTTTTTTTTTTTTTTTTTTTTGAGACGGAGTCTCGCTGTCACCCAGACTTGTGTGCAGTGGCGCGATCTCGGCTCACTGCAACCTCCGCCTCCCGGGTTCAAGCGATTCTCCTGCGTCAGACTCCTGAGTAGCTGGGACTACAGGCGCCCGCCACCACGCCCGGCTAATTTTTTGTATTTTTTAGTAGAGACGGGGTTTCGCCAGGATGGTCTCGATCTCTTGACCTCGTGATCCGCTCACCTTGGCCTCCCAAAGTGCTGGGATTACAGGCGTGAGCCATCGGGCCGGGGCGCGCTCCACGGTTTTTAGCCCCTCTTCCTGGCACCACCCCGGACCAAGGCCGACCGCCCCCGGGGCAGCGGCAAAGTGACGGCTGGAAAGGCCTCGAGACGCCCCTCCCCGTACCCTGCTCTTCCTTACAAGTCCAGCAAGGGGCAGGTGGCCACAACTTGTCCTGCCTGTAGCTCCACCTCAGGGCAGGGGCAGGGCCTTGGTTTGTGCAGAACCCCCTGGCCCCACAGTGGGCGCTGAGTTTACGGAATCGGTCTTCATGATCAAAACCCACCGGGAGGCCGTCTGCGGACCGCGCACCTTCGCAGCGTGCTCCTCAGCGGACCCCAGCCTTCTCAATTCCCAGTTAAAACCCAGGCAGCTGCCTGCTCAAGCCACGATCAAGTGTACAGGGGAGACCGCCTGATCGGCTTAGAAAGAGTGCATGAACGACAGAATGCAGGTTGGGTTCTGTGCCAGTCCCTCTCCAGGACAGTGGTCTGGTGCACACTGGATGTAAGTTCCTTCCCCCGCTAGTTGGGGCACGGAAGACCCTAGCATTCCTGGTGGGTAGAAGGCTGGAAGTCGTTTCTCCTCCCCTAAGCAGGTTGAGAACCCCATCCTCACACAAGCAATGATCTCATCTCCACAACCTTCCACTCCTTTGGCCCCTCATTCCCACTACCCGTCTTGAGTTCTGGGAAGGCACCCCCCCCACCACTCCGCTTCTCCCCTGGACTCCCAGTGCCCTGACTTCTCCTTCTGGCCAGAAGCCAAGGCTGGCTCCCAAGGGGCTATGGCCATGGTCTCGTTCCCAGCCCCGCAGCCACCACTGTGGGAAAACACTAGAGCTGGGCTGTCCCCTCCCACAGGCAGGCAGGGACCACAAAAGTGGTGGCTGCCCTGGGATTGTGGGGGAGGCCCAGTCCAGCCTCCCTCCACCCAGAGAGCCTTCCCTCTTGGTACCCAGAAAGGCTTTAGCCCAAACATCTTAGCCCCATCAGAGCAATCGTTTCATTTTCTCCATTTTATTTGTCAATATAAAAATACTCAAATATTTACAACAAATAAATACGCGGGGACACAATAAGTTACACTGTTAGGAGCCCTCCTCCTAGGGCTGGAAGAGAGTATGCCATTGTCCACAGCAGGCCCACCCTCTCCCTTCTCTCCCCTCACACAGCCTTTCCCAGCCCTGTACAGGAAGAAGGCAAGTATAAAATACCACTGAACCCCGGGGCCAAGTGGGAGGCCCCACCCACCCTTCCCCCCAAACACACAGGAGGCTCCATCTCCCTCCCCCCACCCTGAAAACATTCACAGCCCTAGGAGCAGGACTAGGCCCACCCCAAGCCCTGCACTCCCTCTGAAGGGGCACAGCACCCTGTCCACCCCACCTCCATATGTACATCGCTGCCCGACACTCGGGGCAGTGGGGGTAGGAGAGACAAAGTGATACGACCCCTTCCCCTTCATAGCTCCAATGACTCACCAGGAGGACCCAGGCCAAGGGAAGACTTGACAGAAACAGGAAGGCTATGCCACAAGCGCGCACGCGCGTGCACACACACATACACACACACACAAACACATGTGCAAATACAGACAAACACACATCTTGAAACTTCTGCCTTGAAAAGTTTTGGCGGCTGGGGTCCCGCGTGTCTGTGATTCACAGAGAGGAGGAAGATGCCTTCTGCGAGGCTGGTGCCCTGGTGAGCCACACCAAGTGGCAGTGCCCGTGCTGAGCAGAGCAGGTCCTCATGGCCGGGTGGGTGCTGGGCAGTATCTGTCCCAGACAGAGCAGGTGCCCGTGCCATGTCCCTGAGGTAGCTGGTGCCTGTGCAAAAGTAGGAGCTACACCTCCCACGCTTCCCGCCGACGCGGTGGGGGTTCCCCTCATACTGATGACTCCTCGGGGTTGGAGTCGGGCAGTGGCTGGCGTTGCTGCAGTTTGCGTCTCAGTTCATCCGCGAGCTCAGGCAGGGGGTGCCCGAGCCCTCCCCGGTCCTCCCCTCCTAGTTGTAAGCGCACGTAACCATTGGCATTTGAGTTCCGCCCACCCCCCAGGTGAAGCCGAGTTGGAGAAGGCAGAGGCTGGCCTGGGATGCCTGGAGGTGGCGAAGGGGGCCCCCCACCGGGCTGGCACCGGGCATGCCCAGGTACTATCTTAAGGGAGCCATCTGAATAGTAGTAACCGACAGGATCCCAAAGTTTCTCATCTGGTTCAGGACAGGGCCGGAAGGGGGGACTGGTGGGCTCCTTGGGCAGCTCCAGGGGGTACACCAAGGTCCTCTCAGTAGCCTTGGCCCCTTTCTCCAGCTCTTCCCGCAGCCGCCGGCGCAATGACAGCACCAGCAGCAGCAGCACCAGGCACACAGCCCCCAGGGCCACCACCGCCAGCCACACCAGCCCCAGGTTTTCCAGGGGGGCCCGGGCCTCCAAGGTCACCGACGGGCCTGCCACGACAGCCACAAGGTAGCCTTCAGCAGCCAGCCGCGCCCCCTGCTCCTCTGAAAAGCAGTGGTAGGCCCCGGCATGGCGGGGCTGGGCAGCCATCACAACCAGGGCCTGGAGCCGGGCATCGTAGAGGAAGGACCCGGGCTGTTCCGCAGGCAGGTCCCGGCCCCCAAAGGTCCAGCGGGCATGGGCCAAGTTGGAGGAGAGGTGGCAGGGCAGCACCAGGTCTGTGCCCGCCACCACCGTGATGTTTTTGGGAGTGGGCCTGACTGTAGTGGCAGAGAAAACAGAGTGCATGTTAGTGCAGGAAAGCAGGGCTGGGGAAGAGGAGAACAGAAACTCCAGCTCTGGTCCAGGGCTCAGCCCGATGCGACGGGAATGAAAAAGCTCACCTTTCTTACTGCCACGGAGGTTGCAGATGCCTGAAGTGTCCGAGGTCATCACATGCTGGATCAGTAGAGATCTGGTAGGGGATGTAGGGTACATCAGCAGCCTGGCTCCAACCACCCTGAGTCCCTGGAGGTCCTGGCCTATGTAGAGCCCAACTCACCCAGAGTGGCCACCCACGGCCACACAGCGGCTGGTGTTGACGCTCCAGGCGCAATAGGGGTCCCGGGCGAGGACACAGTCTGCACAGGAGCGATACTTCATGCAGTCGGCCACGGGCAGCTGCACCAGCTGAGAGCGGGAGCCGGCAAAGAGCAGCTTCTGCGAGAAAAGCGGGGCGCAGGAGGGGGGTCGGCCAGGGCCACACCACGGGAGGGGCGGCCGGACCAGAACGCAGCATGGGGACAGCTTGGACTCCTGCAGGGGGCACAGCACGGGGCGCCAGAAGGAGGAACAAGGGAACAAGGCAGAGCTATAGTGCTGAAAAGGGAACTCTAAGAACCGCAGAACTCAGAGGGCTTACACAGGCCAGATGCAATCCTAAGCCCCTTATCGACGTGACGTTATTAGAAAGGGATGATGGGGCTGTGAGGCCAAAAAGTATAATCACACACACTCACACACACATAGTGCAGGAAATACATTTCAAGGCCCATCAGCCCTCACAACAGCAGCAGCATAACATAAGATGTTTTCCTGTTTCAACGGTGGATGCCAATCTGTGTGTTTATTCAACCACACACTTTCTTTCTGCCATTATTCCATGTTCTAGGGGACAATTTTGAGTCATAATAGCTGGTAAAAGGCAAACAAATCAAAGTTCAGGAGGTGTAGCAAACATGCCACAAGAGTATTGCACAAGGCAACTAGGAACAGCAGGTCATGCCTGGAATCCCAGCACTTTGGGAGGCTGAGGTGGGCAAATCACTTGAGGTTAGGAGTTCAAGACCAGCCTGGCCAACATGGTAAAACCTTGTCTCTACTAAAAATACAAAAATTAGCCGGCTGGCCAGGCGCAGTGGCTCACGCCTGTAATCCCAGCACTTTGGGAGGCTGAGTCGGGCGGATCGCAAGGTCAGGAGATCGAGACCATCCTGGCTAACACGGTGAAACCCCGTCTCTACTAAAAATACAAAAAATTAGCCAGGCGTGGTGATGGGAGCCTGTAGTCCCAGCTACATGGAAGGCTGAGGCAGGAGAATGGTGTGAACCTGGGAGGCAGAGCTTGCAGTGAGCCGAGATTGCGCCACTGCACTCCAGCCTGGGTGACAGAGCGAGACTCCATCTCAAAAAAAAAAAAAAAAAAAAAAATTAGCTGGGCATGGTGGCACGTGCCTGTAGTCCCAGTTACTTGGGAGGCCGAGGCAGAATTGCTTGAACCCGGGAGGTGGAGGTTGCAGTGAGCAGAGATCATGCCACCGCACTCCAGCCTGGGCGACAGAGTGAGACTCCATCTCAAAGAAAACAAAAACAAAAACAAAAAACCTTTAGCTGGGCATAGTGGCAGGCACCTGTAATCCCAGCTACTCAGGAGGCTGAGGCATAAGAATAGCTTCAACCTGGGAGGTGGAGGTTGCAGTGAGCTGAGATCGCGTCACTGCACTCTAGCCTGGGTGACAGAGTGAGACTCCATCTCAAAAAAAAACCAAAAAGAGTATTGCACAAGGGTATAATGCAAGCACTTCAGGGAAACAGTCACGGAAATGGGGGCTGGAAGGAAAACCACCATGGTGAGGGCATCATAAACATCTCACAGCCTGGGAGGTCTGGTCACAGGGGCATGGTCAGGGAAGAGGCCAGAGCCAGAACCACAGCACAGCTTGGAGGGTCTGAAAGAAACATGGGAGCAGTTGCCAAGGCTTGATGCTGGGAGCGCAGCCCCGTGACCTGGCTATATATAATGGCCCTGTGCAGTGCAGATTCCATTCTGTTTTCATTCTCGTTTCCAGGAACCCACCCCAAGTTAGGCAAGGTGTGCATCCACATGTGTGTGTGTTCCTAACTCTGCACTGGCCAAGCACATAGGCCCAACTGGGAGAAGCAGCCAGATGGAGAGAGTGAGATGGGATAGTGCTGGGGACAGTGGCAGATAGGGCCCAACTTACTACCTTGCTCTGAGATAGCACCAGGCTTCTCATGGGCTCCTGGTCAAACAGCTGCAGCTCCTCAATCAGGTGAACCCAGGGCCCCAGGCTCACAGCCTTGAGCAGCCAGCCGTCTCCTGGGGGGTGCAGAGGAGAAGGTGTAAATGAGAGGGCACAAGGCCGTGGGGCAGCTCCAAATCTCCCTGCCCTGGGCACACGGGCTTCTGCCCAGCCTTGAGCAGCCATGCCTGCATACCCATGCACCCACCTGTGCCAATGAACAGCACTGTATAGGTGGCTCCATCAAGTCCTGTAACCCGGTCGGCCACCAGGTGGGTGAAGTTGGTGCCCTTCTTCACGAGCAGGGGGCGGCTCCACCGAGGCCCCACCTGCTCCTCCATCAGCGGGTGCTTCTTGACGAAGTTGAGGATGTTGTCGGGTAGCTCCAGGGAGCTGGTGTAGCCGTGGCGCCGATGCCAGTTGTTAATGCACTGGGGGCAGGGTGTGGGGGGCAGGCCATCAGCAGGGTGGGATGGCACCGCAGCTGGGTGGGGAGATGCATCCCTGCCCTAGCACTCACCGAGCCAGGCCGAGGGCTGGGTACAGGGTCAGTGTAGCGGTCCCACTTCTGGGCTTCCTCATGGTACTCCTTATAGGGGCCCTCAAACACCCGCTGGATCTCTTCCAACTGGTACTCACAGATGGCCGACAGGTACATGTCACCCCTGTCACAGCGAGAGGGAGCCCAGGGTCAGGTACCCACCTTATCTCTTCCCACCCCAGCTAAGGGCAAGCAGCAGGAAGGCAGGGCCTGGCACAAACTGGCCATGGGTACCAGAATGCCCTGGCAGCTCAAGTGCCACCTGGCATGGGGCCCTGCCCCTTCACAGGCAGCTCTGAAAGGGGCAGGTGCCAGCATTCTCCTTGGCTTCTGGACACCTGGCTTCCGGGACTGCCTCTGAGGCCTGGTCCAGGCTCCCACCCATGCACCGTCCCTGACCTGAACCCCAGCTCCTCCCCACTCTGTGGGAGCCCTGGCCAACTCACCACTGTGCTTGAAAAACCCCAAAGAAGGTGGTGTTGTGCCAGGAGGTGTCCTGCAGGGTGTGCATCGCCTGCAGCTGGTTGAAGTAGAGCTGCCAGTTCGGGGCAGAGCATGCCAGCCGCGCCTTCAGGAACGTGGTCCACTTCCTCTGCAGGGTCCGTGCGCCCCCCATATCGCCCTGGCAGACGGCAAGGGGACACTGCCGGTCAGCCCCGCTGGGCCAGCAGGGCTCCCAGGGCCCACCGCTGTGAGACTCGGTACCTTGCAGACACGGGCCACACGAGCCACCACCTGCTCGGCATAGCAGTCGGACTCCACTGCCCGCTCCCTGAAGAAGAAGTAGACCTTGTCGTCGTCCCCCGTGAAGCTGCCCACACTCTCAGGTACATAGGCAGAGCCTACAAAGTGAGGTTCTGTGGGAAGGGGAGGAGGTCAGCAGGGAGGGGCTGGGCCCCGGGGGACCTCCCACCCATGGCTCCCACAGGCCCCCCGGTGGCTCACCGTTGAGCCAAAAGGCCAGGTACTCTGTCTTCATGGAGTGGTGGGGCCCCATGTTACGCAGGATAATGGGTTCCGTGCCCAGGAAGTTGTTGAGTGTGGCCGAGTACAGCTCACCATCTATGGGAGACAGAGGTCAGCTAGGCCACACATGAGGTATGGACACATCCGGCCAACACAGACCCAAGTGGAACCAAGCCCCAAGGACTCACCCAGCCTGCATGGGGGGCAGCCACTCACCCACAAGAAGGCCAGCATGGCCCTTAGCTGGGTCATAGGGACACTTGCCCTTCCCATCTTCAAACTCTCCATGCTCCAAAGTGAAGGTGAGCATGTTCTAAGGACAGAGAGAGAGGTGATGAGGAGATGCTTAAGGGCAGGGCTCTGTGGGCCACATCCACGAGTCCAGAGAAGGGTGAGGAGGGCGGGGGGCTGGGGACACCGAGGTAGGAGGGCAGCACTCACGACGTAGGTGCACTTGGGCTGGAAGGCGTAGGTGCCACAGACGTACAGGTGGGAGGCATTGTAGGGCTGCAGGAAGCGGATGAAGTTGAAGCACTCGGTCTGGGGGCAGAAAGGTGTCCGGTTAGTGAGAGCGCGAGGGCCAGAATGGGAGGAGACGTCCTGGGGTGAAGGCAGCACCAGGAGCAGCGTCCAAGCACCCACCTGGTTGTTCTTCCCTTTCTGGATACACTCAGTCTTCTTCTCCACGGGGGCCTCCCAGGAGATCTGGGGAAAGGGAAGGGGATGTCAGCCACGTTACAGGTACGGACTGAGCACGTGTCACAAGCACAGCCTGCAGCAGCAACACAGGGACGCCCAGTGCAGAGGCATGGTCCCTATTCTCTGGGGACTTCCTTTAGTACAGAATGGAAGCCCCAAACCACCCCACTACACAGAATTCAGTAAGTGCCAGAGAGGAGAGGAATGCCGCATGCTGACCCCAACCAGAGGGCAGGCCCCGGATGCCCAGCAGCACTTCTGTGGGGGCAGCCAGGCTGAGGGACCACCTAGCCAAGCACAGCCCCTCTGGGCCTTGCCCTCTGGCAGGCCCGACTGCCTCCCACTGCCCCACCTCTCACCGCTCCTTGCAGCTCCAGGGCCTCCATGCTGAAGGCAAACAGGGCCTCTCGGGCGCCCACGTACAGAAGCCCAGTGGGCTCCGTCAGCGTCAGTGTCAGGAAGTCCTGGATGCCGGTCTGGGAGAACCGCCGTACTACCGTGGCCAGCTCTGCAGGGGTAAGCATGGCTGCTGATGGGCAGGACCCCTGGGGCTCGACAGCCCTCAGTCTTGCTCCACGAGAGCCAGCACCCCATGCCACAAGCAGATGCCAGCCAAACCCCCTGATTGGCAATAAAGGACACTTTTGAAACAGCCTTTGGCCCTGACAGCCCCACCTGGGCCTCCCTAGCCTTTCCCAGCCTGGGAGGAGGCAAATCCAGGCTGCTGGGAGGAAGGAAGGATATCTCAGCCACAGCTTCCGGCCAGAGGAAGCCATCAGACTGATGGCTCTTGCTCTCAGGGTCAATGGCACCTCCGGCCGCAGGGCTGGGCACCCCCACCCCACCTTCGCTTCCTCGGCGGCTGCTTCCTTCTTTGCCCTGCTGCCCACTGCCTCTATCAGAGTCCAGCAGAGCAGGAGGCACAGACGGCTATGAGTACTCCCTGCCTCAGGAAACCCTTCACTCCAGCAGGACCCCAATCCAGGCTGCCAGAGATGCGAGCACAGCAGGCCACTAGGACAGGTGGGGATGGCAGGAGGGGAGCTGGGCTGTGAGCCAGGCCAGGGAGGTCCGGAGAAACCAGAGGCTCAGAGAGCGGAGATGGGGCTGGGGCCTGGGAAGTCTTGCTGCCACCCGGCATGCAGGGCACTACGACATTTATACAGTCACGTGATTCCTACATCAGCTGCCAAATATGGCTGCCGACCTGTCCTCAGGGTCCCCCCAAACCAGCCTTAGTCTTTGCAGGCAACAATGGATCCAGACACAGACCGGCATGGCAGGGCTTCACTGGCACCCGAGTGGAGCCTGTGGGAGGTGAGCTCATCCCAGGTCCCCAGAGCGCACGGCTGATACAAACACCTGACATCACCTTTCACACGGGTGTGTGCACAGGGAGCACTGCTGGGTCCCCGCTGTGCCCCGGCAACCATGCGAGCATGTGCACATACACACACACTTCCAGGGCCACCAGAGTGTATGATGTGTACAGGGCAGTAGGAGGTCTTAGGGGGGCCTGGGGAGCCAGGGGAGAGAGCCTCCAGTTTATATTTATCCCGGTTCCAGTTTCTCTTTAGGCTCCCAGCGCCAGTGACAATTCAAGAAGCGAGGCGTGGAGAGGGCGAGGCAGAAGGCTCTCCCCCTCCCACACCTGGGCAGGCAGTCTGGGGTGGGGAGTTGGACAGAGCTCCCCCAGAGGAGGCTAATCCCAGGTCCCAACCCACACTGCCCGTTCTTCCAACTCGAGTTTCTTAGAAAGCTGTGCCACACACGTGAGAATAAAGCCAGCACACTATGGGGGCAACTCCTCAGCAGCCTGTCCCTGACTTCCTCCTCACCCCTCCAGGCACTCACCCCCAGAAGACACTGTCTTACGCGGCACAAGGTTCCACCACACCTCAGCCCCAATGCCCAGGCCCCACAGCCTTGCTGCCAGCAGCCAGACAGCCCAGTGTGGGGCCATGGCGCACGCCCCGGCTCTGAGCTTCAGGCCAGCTGTCCTGCTGAGGGAAAAGACATGGTCAGAAATCACAGCCAGAGAAAGCAAACCAGAGGGGCCCGCAGCAGGAGAGGCCACAGGACTCCTCATCAGGCCTTCCAGGAGCCCCGGTGCCCTCCTTCCCCTTCTCTTTGGAGGTGGACCTAAGTCCCCACACTTGGCCTCTGCCTAAAAGACCACAGGTCTCCCTGGGAAGCGGGGAGGAGTTGAGTTGGCTGAAGGCTAAACAGGCTCCGGGAAGCCCTCCCTGGCCTCCAGACCCACCACTACCTCTGCGCAACAGGAAATCATTTGAGAAATAAAAAGGGGACCCCCGCCCAACATACACACTCAGGCCTAAGAGGTTTGAGTTTCTTGAAAGAACCTCAGGCAGCAGGCCTTGCAGCCACTGGGGCTCCGGACCCTGCCAACACCTAATTCTGGGAGGAAGACTCCTTAGGGCGACGAGGGCATGCGGTGGGGTAGGCGGTCGGGAAAGCCCCAAAGGGGAAACCTGGTGCGGCCGGCTGCGAGCGGAGGTCCCGGTCCCGGCCTGTCCCCTTCCCCAGCGCAGACAATAGCCCTGCAGAACCCCAAACCCCGTTCCACATCAGCAGGGCAGGAGTGTGAGAAGGGCCGGGAGCGAAGGGGCCCAGCTTCCCGAGGCCCCTTTGTTGCCCAAGAGGGAGGCAGGAAGTGGGTGGGATGGGCGTGGAAATGACCAGGGCCTCATCCTGTTCCTCGCACTGCCTCCTCCGAAACACCAGCCCTCTGGCGGAGGGGCGGTGGGGGGACCGAGCTCGGGTCGAGTCGGGGACTCCGGCGGCGCGCGCAGGCGACGGGGGGAGGTAGGGGCGGGGACGCGAGGGGGTTCCTCCCGGGCCGCTGGCAACGCGCCGCGCACGGCCGGCACCCGCTGCGCTCCCGCGACTCTGACGAACCTTCCCAACTCGGGGACTGCGCCCCAGGGACCCTGGCCTGGGCGGGCCAGCGGGATTGGCTTCCCCTGCTCCAGCCTTCCCGTGCCAGGGGCGGAGACGCAGAAGCTGGGGACCTGCTCACCCCCAAACAAAGGGTCCCCGCCAAGACCCCGTCCCGGGTCCCCCCGGGTTCTCCCCTCCCCCAGCTCCAGGGATTTGAACGCAAACAAAGCGGCGGCGCGGGGAGCGTGGCGAGCCCGGCCTGCGGACGCCCCCTGTCGGCCCAGAGCCCCGGCGCGGGAGAGCGGGGGCTGCGCCCCAGACCAGCCCCCCAAAACGCCCGCGGCCTCATCTCGGCTCCTTACCCGAGGATCGGGCCGCACCCCGTGGCGTGCTCCGAGGATCCGCCCGGCAGCGGTGCTCCCACCCGCAGCTCCCCCCAGGGCGAGGAAACGGGCAGCCGGGAGGAGGGGTTGGGGGGAGGGGTGCGGGATCCAGGCGGGGCACCCCACACCCTCGCCCACCCCGAGCGGCCAGCCGTGGACCGCGGCCCTCCCTGCAGGGCGAGCGCTCCAGCCGGGGACGGCGCGGCCCGGCTCGGCCCGGGGGCCTGGCTTTCCGGGACAACCCGCCTCCCCAGCGGAATGGGCGGGCGGGCGGGGGGCCGCGGCAGGGAAATCCGATCCCACAACATCGGCCTCCCTCCAAGCCCGCCCCAAACTTTCCATCGGGGGTGGGAGCGCCGAGGGCAGTCCAGGAGCCTGGCGAGGATCCCGGCCGCGGACCGGACCGCGCGAGGAACCCTCGCTGGCGCGCCCCTCCGGCCCCGGGGCTGCGGGGCTGCAGGTGCTGTGCGCCCCACTCCCGAGACCCTGCGAAGCAGCCGCGGGGGTCGCAGGAAGGATCCCCGCGTACAGCCGTCTCCGCCGCCGCGGCTCCCCGCGCCCCAGCCCCTGTCCCTCCCGCGTCCGGCAGCCCCTGCCCAAGCAAAGGGACAAAGCGGCGGCTCCGGGGCCCCGCGGCTCCAGCCTCACGCAAGCCCGGCCTCGCTCACCTATTGCGCGCAGCTCCAGTCCCCGGGCGCCGCCCTCGCGTTCGGCTCTGACCGCCGTCCACCCCTGCCCCCGCGTCGCCGCCTGCCCGCGCTCGCCCGCCAGCCCTCCGCGGCCTCTCTGCCACCGCCCCTCCGTCCCCGCCCGGCTCCGCGCCCCTAGGCTCGGGCTCCCCGCGCCACCACGGCGGGCGCCGGCTCTTTCTCCAGCGCGGCCGCGGCTCTCCGCCCCCTTCCCCTTGACGTCAGGCTGGGGGGGTCGAGCGGAGGCCGGGGGCGGGCCGCGAAGGCTCGCTCAGGAGGGGGCTGCGACCCGCAGCGACCTGTGGACCCGCCCGCTCTCCGCCCGGGGGCTCGGACCTCCGCCTCTCTGGGTGCCCGGACCTCAACCCCTCCGGGTGTCCAGCAGCCCCGGGGCTCGGAGTCGCGGGCTGCGCCACAGCGCCTGGAGGGAGGTGGGGCGGGGGAGGGACTCCGGGTATGGCCACGGGGGAATCACACTCACCCGATCTTTCTGAAGTGTCCCCCGAAGACTCCGGGCGGGCTGGGCTGGGGAGAGGGACTCCCGACCGTGCAGTTGCAGGAACGACCGCGGGCGAGCCACGTCGAGGCGAGTATCCAGGGGAGGCACGCTGGGGGAACCGAGGCGTCTTTTGGGGCGGACCAGAGGGGTCTGCCGTTTGGCCCCCAATTCTGCCTCTTTCTAGGCCCCGAGGACCACTGGTCCCTGCCCTCAAGTCTGGAAAGGGCTTCACCAGCCAGGAAGACCCTTCAATCAACAGAAAGGGCCTGCTCCTGCTTCTCACGCTTTGGGCAAAGCGCCTATCCCCAGAAAATGACTCCTCGTGCCACTGGAAGGCTGATTAACAAGTGGCATGAGCCCTACTGTTCAGATGAAAGGGGCTGTGGGGAGCCACGCTGCAGAACCACCGCCACCTTCAGAACCACCAGCCTCCGCCCACAGCCACTCCTAGAAGCAACTTGTAGCTCTGGCCTCATGGGCGGTGCAGCGTCTTTCCTGCCAGCTGGTCCTCTGAGCTGGGCAGGTGGTTAGAAGAGGTGGTCCTCATGGAGGACACCCCACGGGCACCTGGAGACAGATGCTACCTCCTGGCTAGGGGCAAAAGGCAGAGGTGAAGGGGCTTGACGTCCTGAGGTTTGGAGGTAACTTTAAGCCAGGGTGCAGTCCTGGAGGGGAGGAACACTTCAGGCTGCGTCAGCAGATCTGGATTATAAATCAGTCCGACAGCAGCTTTTGTTCTGGGTTAAAACTTGGCATCTGAAAAGTGGAGACCAGAAAAGTGGTGGAGATAATTGAGAAAAGCAGCCCAGTTTGGTTTCAGTAACAATCGGGTCTTTGCTGGTACACATAATGGCCCCTTCTCCCTTGCTGGCCAAAGCCACGTTTCCCAGCTCTTTTCCACTAGGAAAAAGAAAAAAAGCTGTGGCCTTGGAGATGCTGGAGATAATGACCATGGGGTGGGCAGGGAAGGCCTCCTGCTTCAGCTGACAAGGTGGGAGAAGGTGTGTCACCCTCGTGTTTAGTTTATTCCCCGTATCTATTCAAGCGGAGGGTAAACTGAGATGCAAGTGCCCTCACTTGTGTTCTGTGCTTTAGATTTTTGCAGCTTGTCTTGATGTACATTTTCTTACTTCACCCTTATGACCACCCTTTAAAAAGTAAGTAATTTGGGAGGCTGAGATGGGAGGATCACTTGACCCCAGGAGTTCAAGACCAGCCAGGGCAACATACTGAGACCCTGTCTCTACAAAAGAAATTATTATTATTATTTTTTTTTTGAGACAGAGTCTCACTCTGTCACCCAGGCGGGAGTGCAATAGCGCGATCTCGGCTCACTGCAACCTCCACCTCCTGGGTTCAAGTGATTCTCCTGCTTCAGCCTCCCAAGTAGCTGGAATTACAGGTGCCTGCCACCAGACCTGGCTAATTTTTGTATTTTTAGTAGAGACGGGGTTTCACCATGTTGACCAGGCATGCGCCACCATGCCCAGCTAATTTTTGTATTTTTAGTAGAGATGGGACTTCGCCGTTTTGGTCAGGCTGGGCTCGAACTCCTGACCTCAGGTGGTCCACCTGCTTAGGCCTCCCAAAGTGCTGGGATTAGCCACTACGCCCAGCCCCAAATTAAAAAAAAAAAAAAACTAGCGGGGCGTGGCGGGGAGGGGTGGCTCACGCCTGTAATCCCAGCACTTTGGGAGGCTGAGGCAGGCGGATCACGAGATCAGGAGATCCAGATCATCCTGGCTAACATGGTGAAACCCTGTCTTTACTAAAAATACAGAAAAATTAGCCAGGCGTGGTGGCGGGCGCCTGTAGTCCCAGCTACTCGGGAGGCTGAGACAGGAGAATGGCGTGAACCCAGGAGGCAGAGCTTGTAGTGAGCCAAGATCACTCCACTGCACTCAAGCCTGGGCAACAGAAGGAGACTCTGTCTCAAAAACAAACAAACAAACAAACAAACAAACCAAACTAGCGGGGGCGTGGTGGCATGCATCTGTAAGTCCCAGCTACTCAGGAGGCTGGAGTGGGAGGGTCGCTTGAGCCCAGGAGGTTGAGGCTGCAGTGAGCTGTGATTGTGCCATTGCACTCCAGCCTGTAGAGCGAGACCCTGCCTCGACAAAATTAAAAAAATAAGTATTGTTGCTCCCCTTTTGGAGATGAGTCAAAAAGATTAAACAACTAGCCCCAAGTCATGGAGATAATTAAAAAAGATTAAACAACTAGCCCCAAGTCATGGAGATAATTAAAAAAGATTAAACAACTAGCCCCAAGTCATGGAGATAAAAAGGTCAGAATTTCTTTTTTAGAAACGGGGTCTTACTCTGTTGCCCAGTCTGGAGTGCAATGGCACAGTCATGGCTCAATGTAACCTCAGACTCCTGGGCTCAAGCGGTCCTCCCACGTGAGCCTCCCAAGACTACAGGTGCACACCATCATACACGGGACAGGGTCTCGCTATATTGCTCAGACTGGAAAGTTCAGATTTTTAAATCAGGTCTTGGGACTCCCGATTCTGTTTTTCCACAGAGTCACCATCTATCCTGACAATGCTCCATTTCATGCTGTTTTTCCTCACCTTCAATACTGCTCCCCCATCCCCCCACCTCTAGGTGTGAAGGTTACCAGGAGAGACCTGAGCTCGCTGGCTCTGACTCCAAGGTGGCCTCAGTGGAAAGTTTCAAAAGGCAACCGGTTTGGTTTCACTGGCAGGGCAGCGGCAGGCGTTTGGGTTCTGGAGGCCCAGGAATGTAGAAGCCTCCAGCTAACAGACTCCACGCGCCTATCCTCCCAAACGCTCTCGGAGATAAGCTCCCAGCTCCCTCCCCTTTTCCACCTTCATGCACTTCCTGCTGTATTCTGTCCATTCCAGCACTGGCCCTTTCTGTGGGTGGGTGGGCAGAGGATACAATTTCCTGCATGACTACTTGCTCATGATTCATACTTCTAAATGAAAGTACAACTGATATAAAAAAAAGATTTCTGGGTCTTCAATTAATAAAAAAATTACTAATACAGGTACCGGGGGTGGGGGGAGGTGCACGTACCTGACTAGTCTCCCTAGGGCCTAGCATATCTATGGAAGGTATCCACACTTTGGGACTCAGGCCTTGACAACTGCTTGTGGTCGTGTCAAGGAAAGACACAGAAATTGTGCTAAATGACTCTCAAGGGTCTTCAAAGATCACCCAGCAGCTCAGGCCAGCCCCTAGAGATGACCTAAAGAGTCTTTCCTGAAAAGCAAGTCCCCCTTCCCATCTCTTGATGTTGGTTGGGGGCCACACTGCCCTTCATTTGAGCTACTCACCTACTAGCTCTCCTGAGGCAGCCAGAGGGAGGCCCTGGGTGGACACTGGGTTCTCTGGTGAACGCTGCCTGGTGGATTTCCAAGGCAGCCAGGACTGCCGTCATCCCACAGATGGGGAAGTGAGAAAGCTTGGGTCAGCGCGCCTGGGGACCGAGGTGACTAGGGACATAGGAAAAGGACTCTCCCTCCCTACTTCCTCCAAAGGAGAGTTATCAAAGCTGCCCACCTGGGATGTCTTTCCCTTCCCAGCCCCTCCCTGTCACCAGTACCAAAAGGAAGCAGGAAAACATCCGTCATCACAGCCCCGGATGCGGATTTTCCAGTGGCTCCTATCAGGATATCCCCCAGCCTTTTCCCAAGGGCTTAGGGATCTGGAAAAGTCAAAGATCTGGAGGGCAAGTGGTCACATTGCCAGCACCACTGTGAAAATCTGGACCTTGGGGAGGCTGAGTCTCTAACCGATCCCAGACTAGTTTTAGAAGATCTGGTCAGCTCCCAGCCAGTCCCAGAGAGGGCCCATTACACACCCCAGGGGACAGCATACGCCCTTGGGCGACCTCACAGTGCACACCTCTGCTCGGGTTACAGCCAGGTCTCTGGAGGGACTGAGTCGTCACCGACACCTCCTCTCCCCTTGGTATCTATTTCTCTCTTGGGGATGGGTATGTTTGGGGAGCAGTAGAGGAGGGGACAGTGGACAAGAGCCAGGACTGGGGAGGAAGGCTCCAGTTATCGACGCTGATGGACAGCTCGGCTCCTTCTCAGAGCCAGGTAGGGCCACCTTCGAGAACTGGAAACTCCCCCTGTTTAGCTTCTCAGGCCTCCCTACTTCCTCTTTGCCCTTGGCAGTAAGAACAAAGAAGGGAAATTTCAAAGGTGATTTCCAGGTTTCCAGAGAAAAGTGAATAGCTACAGATGAACTGTCAGTGCATGCAGTGTTGGAGCAGGGCAGCCCGAGGGCGGGTGAAGGAGGCTGGCTCACCATAGTCCCTGCTCGTTCACTGGAGGATCTGAGGTTGACCTGATGCTGCCGGGGCTTCGGGGGTGCCCGGGCCATGGGGGCATGTGACGCAGCCAGGAACAGAAACTTGAACTGTCACGGAGGTCGCTTGGCATCTAAGTCACCCTGGCCGAGGGTTTCTTCCCCCTCTCATTTGGCAAAGGCTGCTAGGCAGAAAGGCGTCCTGTGTGGTATCCAGCACTGTGCTGTGCGTGTGCCCGTGCCCCTGAATAATAGATGCCCCCAGCTCCTAGCATTCTGGGGATGCAGTGAGGGAGGCAGCTGTGTCTGAAACAGCCCCAGGAACTGGTGAACTCCACTTTGGGTCTGCATGTTGAGCCACTTAGCCTGAAAGTCCTTTATTTTGGGGGAGTCTCTCTCCTAGTTAGCCTGCCCACCCTATCCCTGTGCATGAAAGCCGGAGAGGGAGGGGTACATAAAAGCAGAAGAGTTGTACACAGCCGCCATGGGAGAATTAGCAGACAGCCAGGGTTGAGTTGAGGAGTGGGCACAGTCCAGTGTGGCAGGGGCAATCCTCTGCCACTGCCTAGCTACCTCTTGTGTCACCTGCAAAACCCCATCCAAACCCAGGAAGGGTCAGGAGGGGCCGGGGACTAAATGTGGATTCTCAGGGTTGGAGGAGTGGGCAAAGTAGATCTCCTGGAGCACAAAGGGACCACTCCCTTCTCAAGGGGTTCAGGTCAAAGATACCTAGGACCCTATTAGGGATCAGGTCCCATGAACTCATCTGGGGCAAGTCGGAGGAAAAGCAAAAGCAGCATCTGGAAGTGTCTTCTGAACTGCCCCCACTCCTGAGGCTGGGGAGTTGATTTCAGAGCTCAGCACTAAATGGAATTAAGTGTAATTACAGCCCTGATCCACATCTCACTCTGTGCGTCCTCCTCAGCAGGGGCGGGGAATGGGGAGTGGTCCCAGACTGGGTCCAAACAAACGTCCCATTCCTGGGTTTCTGACAGCTCTTGGGCCACAGTGGGCTGTAGGGAGCACTGCCCCTCCCCGGGGACTTGCAGACAGCCCTCTGCTACAGGCAGGACCTGGGCCTGGGCCCCAGTGCTGTAACTGTCGAGCTAAGAACCCAGCGAAACACAGGCAGAGGCATCAGGAGACTGGACGCTGGCATGAGCCCTCGGGACAGGGACTGAAGGAAGTGTTCTAAACCACTGATGCTGAAAGAAGACTTTAATGTGCACAAAGAAACCTCACATTAGTGACAGGGAGACAGAGGAAGGAGGGTGGGGAGGACTGAGGCCCAGGGAAACCAGAGCTATGGAGACAGAGGCCTTAGGGAAGAGGAGATGGCTGGGAGGAGGGCTGAGGGGTGGGCGAGGCAGAGAGGCCCATCCCTTGCTGAGAGGAGAGGGGGTCGGGGCGGTGGCAGAGGCAGGCTCTTGCAGAGAGGAGAGGGGTCGGGGCGGTGGCAGGGGCAGGCTCTTGCCTCATCAGGCTGGTCAGCATGTGGCCTCCTCTGGCCTTGATGCTTCGCTTCCTCCAGTTCCCTGAGCCTGTTCACTTCCTGCTGAAGCCAGGAGCCCTGGGCTGCCCTGACCCTGTCCCTTTAGATGTCTTTCCAGGGGCTGAAATACTGGGCCTGCGGCGAGGAGAAAAGCAGGCTGTGAGGGCCTGGGCCCAGGTGCTGCCCACTGCCCTGCAGCTCCCCGGGCTGGCGGTGTCCATTCAGCACCCATCGCAGGCTCATGCCAGGGGCCGAGTGAGCAGGATGCCTGGGTTCACACTACTGGCGAGGACACAGCGGTCATCAGGCTACGTGACCGTATAAGTGGTCTCCCAGGGCCCCTCTACCAGGCCCTGAATCACTTTTCCTTCTTCTCGTGACAAGCACACTGCTCCCACCAGAGGCTGGTGAGATCTAGTTCCTTGGGGAGTGAGGGTGAGGTTTGTTCTCCAGCCTTCTCAGAGACTTGGCGAAATCTGAGACCCAAACCACAGCCTGTGGCCAGTGTGTCAGACCTAAGTCAGAGGTTATAGGGGAAGGACAAAAGAGGAGTCAAGAAGAGGCAGGCTAGGAGAGGAGGGGCACTGGTGGTGGGGTGGGGGGTGGTCCTCACCAGGTCCTGTGCCCCTCCATAGAGGACTGGGGGCTCAGGAAGGGAGGAGACCCCGAGCCAGCCCAGCAGGGTGCTGTTTGTTGGAGAGATGGGGCCGGAAGGGAGGGCACCAGCACAGGGGCTGAAGTTGGTTAGGTCAGAGGCTTGGGAGTCAGGCTGGCTCATGCCCTGATTCTGACATTCACACAAGCTGCCTGCGTGATGGGGGGCAAGCCACCGAGCCTCTCAGGGCCTCTGGTTAGTCTGCTCATCTGTAAAATGGGCTCCTGACAACACCTGCCTCATGGGGGTTGTGTGGGTTCTTGAGAAACGGATCTTCATTCAAGAAACACTAGCTGTGACTATCACACCTACAGGCTCTGAGAAAACTCGGCGGGGGTAGGGGGTGTAGTGGAGAGGACCAGGGCAGCCTGGGAGCCTTCCTCCTAACACAGCAGGAGACCAGCTTCAGGCCCACAGCACAAGTGAACAGCTGGGGCCCCTTCCTGGCACTGCTCATGAAAGACTGGCACTCTGGGTCCAGACTTTTCCCTCTCCAGGGTGACTTTTCTTTGCATTTCCTGAGGACTGCGCTTCTCTGTGTCCCCTTCCCTCCGCACCCACCCTGGGCACTGGATTTTTTTTTTTTTTTTTTGAGATGGAGTCTTGCCCTGTCGCCCAGGCTGGCGTGCAATGGCACGATCTGGGCTTACTGCAACCTCCGCCTCCTGGGTTCAAGGGATTCTCCTGCCTCAGCCTCCAGAGTAGCTGGGATTACAGGCGCACACCACCGCGCCCGGCTAATTTTTTTAATCTTTGGTAGAGACGGGTTTCACCATGTTGGCCAGGCTGGTCTCCTGACCTTGTGATCCGCCCGCCTCAGTCTCCCAAAGTGCTGGGATTACAGGCGTGAGCTACCACGCCCAGCCTTTGGCACTGGATTCTTGATAAGAATGATGAAGGCCCCTCAAGGCGTCCCCACCCTTCCCCCACATGCCCACTCCACCCATATCCCTGCCAGGAGCTCAGCAGCTGCAGCGGGGGTGGATGTGCTGGTGGCTCTGGCCAGCCCTGCCTGACCACTTCCCGCCCCTCCCAGGTCTGGGGGCTAGAGGGGGCACCACCTGGGGCTGGCAGTGGGTCAGCAGCTCCTGCCAACGGATGTAGGTCTGGGTAGCCAGGTCCTTGAGCATGGTGCGGTGCATGGCCTGGGGGCTCTCCCGGATCTGCGTGCTGATGTGGCGGTCCAACTGCATGCACAGCAGCTGCAGCTCGCCCTGTGGAGGCGGAGGGAGGCCAAGAAGCGGGTGTAGCACAAGCCAGGCACATCCAAAGCCGGGCAGGAGGAGAACAAATTCAGAGAAAGGAAGGGGCACATTTGAGTGACTGTTCAGAAGTTGAGGAGGAAAAGGAGGATGGGGCCAGCACAACTGTTGGGGCTCGGGTCAGTGTCCCTTGGGAATGGCTCAGCTGGTGGGACACTGTGGGGAGGAAGAGGCCCTGGCTCTCCCACGCTGGCTTCCCTCTCAGCCTCCCACTCTCTGCAGTTCCTAACAGTGGGCTGGGCGCCATCCCAGCCAACCCCCGCCGCTTGGGGGAGAAGACACAGCTGGGCACCCCCACCACAGCCCTGCCCCTTGGGAGACTCACCCACTGGTCTGGAGTGATGTCCTGGCAGCTAACAACTACCCCGGCCAGCATCAGCAAGCTGTGGCACAGGTAGCAGGCCTGGAGGGAGAGCACAGGGAGAGCTGCTTCTCTAACTCCACCCAGGGCAGCATGGCGTGCCCTCCACCTGCACACTCCCCACTCTCAGGCTTGGCAGGCCAGGCAGGGGCTCAGTCACCCCTAGGCTTTCAGCAACAGTTTCCAGGGAGGCATCTTCAAGGGGACCTGGGTGAGCCAGGCTCTGGGCTGGCACTCACTTGGAGCTGTGACTCCCTAGCAGGCACTCCCAGCCTGCCCTCTGATGAAGGGCCAACCTCCCTTCCTCTAGAAAAAGGAGTCAGCCATCCAGAAACACACACTGTCCCCCAGCCTTGTGCTGGGGCAGCAGAACGCACCTTCTGGGGAGAGGGGCCTATCCACTCTGATCTCTGCAGTCTCTGTTCCCTGGGACACCAAAACGGGTGCAGCCTGCCTGGACAGTCGCCTTGCTGACCCGAGGAGGCAGATGGAGAGATGGGAGCCGAAGGTTTTGGCTGAGCGTCTGCACATCTCGCCTCCATCCTCATTCCTGCCAACTGCACACTCTCAGCAGTGAAAACAGGACGCAGGCCTGCTCCATCTGGCCCGAGAACAATTTGATCTTGAGGCACCCCTGGACTCTTGGTACCCATTCACTTATGGGATACGTGCTTGCTGTTTAGAGAAACCGAGCCATGGGGAGCATCCCAGGGCGTGAGGCTCCAGAAGGGATGCAGCCTGCCCTGGATTCCCAACTGCTGCCCGCAGGTGCGCCCCTCCACTCAGAGGGCCCTGCTGCCTTGTCCTCTCGGCTCTCTCTTCATGTCTAGGATCAGGAGGTGGCAGATGACCAGCCCCGAGGACGAGTAGGGGTGGGAGAGGCGGGCTCTAGAAATGCCGGCAGGTGACAATAGGCTGGAGCTCAGAACCAGCCCACGGCCCCTGTGCCCCAGCTTCCCCTGCCCTCATCACCCGGCCCTCCCAGGGCGCCAGGCAGTGCCCCAGCAATGGCTGCAGCTTCTTTGCACAGGCCCAGGAGTCTCCTCAGGACAGAAGCCAGACCACTTCTGAGGACATCAGATTTGGTACCATCAACTGACTTCTTAAACCCAAATACCGCAGTGCAAAATCCTGAGGTCGAAGGCCACCTGGGGCTCCCACCAGCAGCGCCCACCCTGCCTGGGACGCAGCCTGTTCTCCCACACAACGGCTAAGGCCCACGGGTGGTCTGACTCCACAGGCTGACCAGGTGGCCTTGCACACGGCAGGCAGAGAAGACACAGTGGGGGAAACCGAGGCGTGCCTCCAGGAGAGCTGCCCTGGGGTGGGGAAGACCCAACCTCTCTGAAGCCCAGCTCCCTCTGCCTGCCGGGTCCCTGCAGCGGCCTGTGGACGCCCGAGTTGCCCGGCCCAGCTGGCCTGCTGGCGATGCACTGCTGGCTCCCTGAGCTCCCCTTCCCTCCAACCTGGCCTTGCCTTTGCGACTCTGTCCAGCCTTTGCAGTCTTGCAACAGCTCACTGCCCCCTTGTCATAAAGCAAGTCTGGGCCTGCGTGCCGGACACTATACCTTGACTGAGACATGGTGACATGAAACAAACTCAGACATGAGAGGGAGAAAGATACTTCAGGAGGGCAACCATTCGGTCAGGAAATAACATACCTCTGCTTCTGCACAGACCAAAAGGAGAAAGGGCCCTTCCAGGGTTTTTTGGGGGATGGCGAGTACAACTTAGAGGCTTCAGGAATTGACTAAGCTGAAGTGGGCCTCAAAGGAACAGTAGGATTCGAGGCAAAGATGGCCCTGTGCAGGCAGAGGAGGGCTGATGACAGACCCTGAGGGCGGTTCCAGAAACAGAAGCCACAGACCCTGAGGGCGGTTCCAGAAACAGAGGCCAGTACAGGTGCAAGGGAGTGGGGACAACCTGGGGGGCAGAGTTGTGGGAACAGGCTGGGGGTGCCTGGGGGAGGCAGGTGATAGAATGTGGCCACACTGGTGTGCTGGAATGTACTAGGTAGCAGGAAAATGAGCTCTCTCTGGGAGAAAGGATTACAGGGTATCCCTACCTTTCCTTTTTCCTTTTTTAAGATTATTTCTCTACAATGTGTGTACTCATACAAGGAGAATACAATGAGAGTTGGTTTAAAACATTTTTTTTTTTTGAGACGGAGTCTCGCTCTGTTGCCCAGGCTGTAGTGCAGTGGCGCAATCTCCGCTCACTGCAAGCTCTGCCTCCCGGGCTCACGCCGTTGTCCTGCCTCAGCCTCTGGAATAGCTGGGACTACAGGCGCCCGCCACCGTGCCCGGAGAATTTTTTGTATTTTCAGTGGAGACGGGGTTTCACCGTGTTAGCCAGGATGGCCTCGATCTCCTGACCTTGTGATCCGCCCGCCTCGGCCTCCCAAAGTGCTGGGATTACAGGCGTGAGCCACCGCGCCCGGCTAAAACTTTTTTTTAACAAGATACTGCCAACGGTAATTGGCTGAACCTAACTGGGTTTGGGGTGGGTGTGAGGCATGGGAGCGGGACTTGGCCATGAAAAGCAGCCGAGACCCAGGCTGGGCAAGGTGGTTCACGCCTGTAATCCCAGCATTCTGGGAGGCTGTGGCTCAGGAGTTTGAGACCAGCCTGGGCAACATAGTGAGACCCCGACTCCACAGAAAACAAAACCAAAAGGTTATCCAGCATGGTCACCTGGATTCCCAGCTACTTGGGAGGCTGAGGCAGGCATATCACTTGAGCCTGGGAGGTTGAGGCTGTAGTGAGCTGTAACTGTGCCACTGCACTCCAGCCGTGGGCAACAGAGCAAAAGCTGGTCTCAAAAAAAAAAAAAAAAAAAAAGGAAGAAGCTGAGGCCCCTCTTTGAGAGGGCAATCTAATGATGAGAGGTGGCAGGGGATGCCGAAGAAAACATCCAAGGGTTATCAGGGCCGTCACTGAGGACAGCTGGGGAAGGCACCCTGGGCTGTCTGCGAGGGAGAATGTGTGGGACTGGGAGGGGCGAAAGGGGGCCTGTCCCTCTCAGACCTTTCACTCCCCACTGCTGATGGCGCAGCTCACTGGCCTGCTCCACCCATGGGCTCTCGGGGGAGTCTCTTTGTCTGGAGGAGGCCCGGCTGCAGAACTTCCCCTCCTAGAAGGAGTCGTGGGGAGGGTCTGAGATCTGAGGAATGCCCTGGAGGAACATCAGGGAGGAAAAATCTGTCAGTGGACTTACCCCAGGCAGTGGAGAGTTACTGGTTTCACAACTTGTTTCTTATGCTAATTCCCATAATTGAATCTGCAGGGGGCAGGGAGGGGGGAGGGGAATCCCAGAAAAACTATTCCGAGTGTTTGGGTGGATAGTGAGTAGGAAATGGCAGTCCTAGAGAAAAACCCTGTTAACCACATTTTATAAGTTGTTTTTCCCAAAGGGAAAAACCTAAACCTGCCACTGCCTGGAGGCTGGGTGGCTGGGTGCATGTCTTCCTTGCATTTGAGGTGCTTCCTATAAGGAAGACGTTGACCCAATTTAAGGAGATTGGTGGCTGTGCAGATGCCCTCCCTTGGGACATCTCTGGGAGCTTGGCTGAAGCTGGGTTCCCAGTAGGGATTTTGAAAAGAAGCCTTCATTATTGGCATAGGAAACACCCACACTTCCATCTCCTCCCTGCATTTCCCCAGGACTCTTGGTCTCAGAGCTGCAAAGAGGTAAGAGAGAGTCTGATCCTGTCCAGACAACAAGCAAGGTGTCCCCACCCTCCCACCAGACCCCTCTCTCTGTGTGAAGGTCAGAGGAACAAAACCTCAGTGGAAACTGGGAACTCTGTAGCCAGGAGCAGGCAGACCCTGAGTCTCCCCATCTAAACCGCCAGCGGCTGTGGACACCCGATTCGCCCAGCTCAGCTGGCTTGCTGGTGATGCACTGCTGGCGGCTCCCTGAGCTCCCTTCCCTCCAACGTGGCAGGGGCAGGCACGGGAGTGGTGCAGGGCAGGCAGGGGTGGGCGAGTGAGGGGGCCCTTCCCAGCAAGACAAGAAGGGCCAGGTGTGAGAGCTGCGCTTCCTGCTTCCTTCGCAGTGTGACCAATTCCTGAACTTAGCAAGCCTGCTCCTGTCCTGGCTGGCACTACAGAGGCACGGTTCATCTTCCCTTCCACGAGGCAGGAGAGAGAGGCTGAGCCCAGGCTGCACTCCCTGCCTTACCTGCTTCCTCTCCCTTTGGGAGCACAAGGTGGCCCTTCTATACGCCAGAGGGAGGCCCTTCCAGGTCTCTTAGAACTGCTTGGTGCGGTGGGGATGTCATTGTGGCCTCAGGGTTAGCCCTCCTTGGGTGCTGGGGGGCTACACTTGTCCAGGCCTCAGAACCTTGTCTGAAGACGGGACCCAGCTCCTGCCCCATGGCACGTTAGTCAGGCTGGGAAGCCCTAATGGGAAATGGGACCCCGGAAACCTCAGTCAACATCATGGGGAAAGGCAGAGTCTGAGGGCATGCCCGGACCCAATACTGACAAGAAAAGCCCAGCCCATCCCTGCGGCCGCTGCCAGCAAGGGCCGAGCTCCCGTTTTCTGGGTCTTTCCCCAGAGTCTGGTGGGCTGGCTCTTCTGAGAAGTTCCATGCAGGAATGCCTCACTCCTGGCTCTACAGCCTTCAAGGGGGCCGTGCCCTCCCCCTGGGGAAGGAATGACAAGGCTGAGTGACAGCAGACAGCAGACTGGGACTGTCACCAGAGGAAGGGAGGTCAGCATCTCCATGTTCTGGTCCAGCTAGTTCTGACCCCAGGCTCCCCCAGCCAAGACTCCCAAGTCAACTAGGAGCCATTAGCAGCGCTTTTGTCATAGACGAAAGGGAAAAAGGGTGGACATTTCCCAGGAACTTCATCCTTTAGAAAATTCCCCTCTAGCCAATGCCAAGGGAGCGGGCTGTGGCCTGGGCTATTTACGCTGAAGGGGGGCAGGAAAGGAGGACGGAGAGGCTCTCCCAGGAAGCCACTCGCTCTGGCCAGAACATATAACCTTTCTCCCCCATCAGGTCATGACCAAGAATCCAGTCTTAACCCCGGGCAAGTCTTCCCAAATCCAGCTCTCTCCTGGAGGCTGCCAGACCGGGTGGGGAAGGCAGACCTGTTTCTGGCAGGAGGACCCTGCGGGAGCAGGTCCAGCTAGGCTCTGGGGCAGCTACTGTGTGTGTGTTGGGGGGAGAACCAAGGCTGACCCAGGAACACCTGCTGGGAAGGACGAAGATGGACCCAAAGGGCACGGCTCTCCCAGCCAGGCTGCTGAGGCCCAGGGGCTCACCCCCAGCCGTCCCTGCCTCTCACTCAGGAAGCTGGCCCTGATGTCTGCTGGTGCTGGGATTCTGGCCTGGGGTACCAGGAGCCAGGGGGGGTCCTCTTGCTTTCTCCTTTCCATGCTCACAGCCCTAGCCTGGCTGGGCTGCTCTCAGCCCAATCTCGAGAGCCTAGAGGTCCAGCCCAGCCCAGGAGAAGCATTCTGCCTTGGTATCATCATTGCCACACACGAGTCCTCTCAGGACAGAGGTGTAAGCACACGGACTGAAGATCGACTCTAGAGCTAACGGAGTCTGGGAAAGGCTGAAGCTGTGCTGGTCTACCCTGGGCCCTTTCAGACCCGAGGCTGGGGCTGGGCCACAATCCTTTTTTTCCCTTTTTTGTGCAATTTAAACCTATATAGTACCACTTCACGGCATCCTGATCCAGTAGCGCACACAGAGAGGGCCTGGGACCCCGCCTTCAGCAGACATGGAAGCTGCGGCATGGGGAGGGTTCCTGATGTGCACGACCCTGTGTCCAGGAAGGGCAGGTCTGGCCCAAGAGCAGATGTCTGGGCTCTCAGCCTTCAGCAGGACAAGCTCCCCGGGTGTGCGTGGATGGTGGTGGGGTCTCTAAAGAGGATTCACACTGTGGACATCCCCCTTGGGAAACAGCAAGGGTCCACGGGCCTCCTATTGGAAGGATAGGGCGAGGCTGAGGCTGCTCCCCCAGGGTGGAGGAGGAAAGCCCTTTGCAGGCTGGGCCCCCGGGGCACGGTCTAGGTATCCACACAGGTTGGGCACAACAGCGATGAATCATGAGTAATCTGAGGTAGGGCTACTCAGGCCCCAGGCCAAGAGCCTCAGTCTGGGGAGGGAGACAGAGCTTAGGTGACTGGTGTGTCCACAGGACACCAGGCGAAAGGGGATGCATTTTCCTAGCTACGTGCCTTCTGAGCCCCAGCAGTGTGGCACTGGCCACCAGGACGAGGCTGCCATGTCTTCCCTGCCCCATGAGCAAACCGCACAACCTCTTCCCCTTGGCCAGGCAGCTTCTGCTCCAAGGTTGCACCTCTGAGCCTTGGCTTTGGCAGACACTAAAGAAGGAAGCAGAGGGCGGTATCGAAAGCTCTGTTCCCAAAGGCAAGCTGACTTGGGAAGTGACTCTGACCAGGACAGGTCGCCGGTCATAAGCCCTAGTGAGGAAGAAATGAAGACATATAACCGACCACTAGGAAATGAGGCGGGTGACCTAAGACCTCTTCCTAACCTAGGGTCCCAGAAGACACAGGGCCAAGAGGCCAGAGAGCAGACGTCTTAGCCAGAGAGCAGACGTCACTGGTGGGGCCTGCCAGGCAAGACACCCAATTCTGTCAAAGTGCCTGCTAGGGCAAGGGGTGGGGGTGACCCAAACACGGTCCCTAAACACGGAGCAGGGATGAGGCCCATTTAGGGTTAATGGGAGACAGGCTGGCAGCAGCTGGACAGGCAGGACTTCCGGCTCTGCTGCAGTGAATGGCCATTGAATGGAAGTTTGCTTTTGGGCCCTGCTGGGTAGAGAGGTGGGTGTCTCTTTCCAGGCTGCAGAGGACTCGGGGCCCAGCACGTGCCCACACCCTCCACGCCCTCAGAACAGGAGCTCTCACCTGCACCTCTGGCTTCCTGGAGAGTGAGTTCAGAGATCCGAGACCCTTCACAGCGGGGATCTCTTAAGTTCTATCTCTAGCTGGGGCCTGGGGCCTGGGCCCTGAGCAGCCCTGGCTCCTGCTCGTGGTACTGAGGACAGGGAGGGAATGTGGAGGCCATGGCGCATGGGGCTGGGGAGGGAAAGAGATGGAAGGCTGAGAGCTCCAGATTCCTGCAGACCTGCCGTGGGGAGGTTATCTCAGAGCGTCTCCCCATTCCTCCATCCGCCGGCTGGTGGCAGGAGCCAAGGCACTGGAGGCAAATCCTTGCTGGAGGGCGGAGGGCTCCCACCCAGTCCACCTTCCTCTCTGGCTTCCTGCTGGTGGGGGTCAGGGAGATGACAGGCAGGGATTGGCGGGGTCTTCCTGCTGCTCCAGCTGGGACCAGAGACCTTGACACCAGGGAGATGTGGACCAGAAAACCTAGCTCTGCAAGCTACCCAGAGAGGGACAAGATTCTCGGTGCCTATGTGTAAGAGTTCACGCCAGTACACGTATACATCAGTGCATATGTGTCAGTGTGCGTGTGAGCGTGTAGAGTGGAGGGGGTCACTGACACCAGCCAGGGCGTTGCATAACCACCTGACAGAGCAATGGTTTCCCCATGGCTTCCCCTTCTTGTCTCGCTTTTTCACTTACTGAATTGTCTCCGCGGTGTTGGCACGTCTGGCCAGAGCCTGGGACTGCCCTC
This sequence comes from Homo sapiens, assembly GCF_000001405.40. Lineage (NCBI taxonomy): Eukaryota > Metazoa > Chordata > Mammalia > Primates > Hominidae > Homo > Homo sapiens. Next base: position 96,886,076 of record NC_000002.12, read on the forward strand.
CTCATCCTTCCCACCAACACCAGAGCACAAGGCCACTGCCCGTGACTGAACCACAGGGATGCTGCACACGTCCAGGGATCCTGTCCTTTCCCTTCCTTTGTAAGAGTGTCCCAGCCTCCTGTCCCCTACACTCAGACCAAACTGTTCCATGGTGGTGACTCCAGCCCTGACTCGAGGGGTGAACGTGTATCCCAGGCTGGCCATTCACTGTATGCTAGCTTGCCAATGTGACTGGCTTAGAGACGGGCACCTGACCCAAACCAAGCCAATGAGACGCCATTCTGGTTACGATTCGAGGGCCGAAGCTCTTTCTTGTCCAGGAAGAGTTAAAGGATGAGGAGACCCAGGTAGAGTGTTAGGTTAGAAGCTGAGTCACTTGCCTAGGGCTGCTGAGGGAAGGCTGTTGAGCCTGGAGGAGGGGAGAGCCTGCCTGGGAAGGCGCCAAGGGCCAGAGCCCGGAGGAGGAGGGTGTGACACTGAGGTTTTTTGACACTGTTTAGCCCTTGGGTCCCTCTAAGTCTGATGAACTGTCCCAGGGCTTTCCAGGATTTGTGTTTGTGTTTCCGTCACTAAAAACTCCTGGCAAAGACAGGGAAGAAGGGACAGAAAACGTGATGCGCAGAGAGCACTTGAGAAGGCCATGGTCGGCCTGGGAGCTGTTCCTGCAGACTGAGGATGGCGTGTAAGGGACCTTCCCCACTGTGCTTGGCCGTCTTCGGTGCACAGCTGGGAGCCTCAAACACTGCAGCCTTGAACTTCTGGGCTCAAGCCATCCTCCCGAGTAGCTAGGACCATAGGCGTATGCCACCGTGTCGTGTTAACACCAAACCTGGCTCATTTTTAAAAAAAAACCTTTTGGCCGGGCGCGGTGGCTCACGCCTGTAATCCCAGCACTTTGGGAGGCAGAGGCGGGCGGATCACGAGGTCAGGAGATCGAGACCATCCTGGTTAACATGGTGAAACCCCATCTCTACTAAAAATACAAAAAAATTAGCCAGGCGTGGTGGTGGGCGCCTGTAGTTCCAGCTACTCGGGAGGTTGAGGCAGGAGAATGGCGTGAATCCAGGAGGCGGAGCTTGTAGTGAGCCAAGATCATGCCACTGCACTCCAGCCTGGGCAACACAGCGAGACTCTATCTCAAACAACAACAACAACAACAACAACAAACCGTTTGCAGAAATAAGGTCTCGCTATGTTGTGCAGGGTGGTCTATGAACACCTAGCTTCAGATGATCCTCCTGCCTCAACCTCTGAAAGTGCTGAAATTACAGGCTTGAGCCACTGTATCTAGACAGGGTGAGGCATTTCAGGGGGAGCCATGGGGGTTGTGCCTGAGGTGAGACTCTGGATTGACCCTAAAAGGTAGCTGTTCAAGTATGTGAAGCAAGATGTAAACAAGCCACGGGTTGAGCCATGCCCGTAGCAATCCAAGGACGGGAGAGACAGTCTGGGCTCCGCAGGAAGGAGGGACAGCAGGAGCAAAGACGCGGCGTTGAGAACAGAGCGTTTCTGGGAGAGCATCACTGCTTGGATTCAAATGTCGCAGTGTGATGTGCAGCAGTGAAGCCATGCATTGGGCCAGCTGGCGGAGGCTCTGGATTGCAGTTTCATACGATGTGACAGGCACTAGAGTCTATTTTCCTAACTCAGAACGAGAAGAAGATAATCCACAGCGTTGTCCAGGAAGAGTTAAAGGATGAGGAGACCCAGGTAGAGTGTTAGGTTGGAAGCTGATGAGTCACTTGCCTAGGGAGAGAGGCCCCGAAGGGTCTCCGGGAGGACTGGGCCTGGGTGGGGTGGGGCAGGGAGCAGGCCCGGGTGCTGCCAAGGCCCTGAGCAAAAGCTGGCTGAAGAATGCAAGCCTGCCTCCGCAGCTTAACTCTCTCACTTCAAGCCTGCCTCCGCAGCTTAACTCTCTCACTTCAAGCCTGCTCGTACACTTGCAAAGAAACCAGAATTTCTGGGACCCAAACAAAGCTGGCCTGAGCCTGGGCCCTGCCTGGCTTTGGGATGCCCAGAAGTACTGGCCTGTCCCCAGATCTGTAGAGGTCCCCCTCTCCTGGAGGGTCAGCTTCCCAGAGGCCATCTCTTTGAGGTTTATTTTTAAAGATGTCTGATGTTCTGTACTTTGGAGGAAGTAAGACAGAACCAACCACAGATTAGACAGGAGAGGAACTCACAAGTTCTGAATATCCATTTTCTGTTCCTCAAAACCAGTCGGTTTCCTCCCAGCCCTCCTGACCTTGGCCTGACCAAGGTCCCCAGCCCAGTGGGGCAGTAAGGAAGAGACAGACACTTCCAGGTGGGAAGGCAGAGAGCATGGCGAGAATGGAGAAAGAGGCTCCACCTGCCTTTCAGGGGGACAGAGGGTAAGTGGCCTGTGCCCAGGGGAACACATGTCCCATTGCTGGAGTTGAGCATGCCAGCAAGAGAGGGCAGAGGCAAGCACACAGCTGCCAGAGGGCAGCGGCCCCCTCCCTGCCTAGCCCTGCAGTGAGAGCCAGGCCTTTCTCCACAACCTCCCATTAAGGCGGCCCTTGGCAGGGTCACCCAGCACAGGGACAGACAACTGCAGTTACAGCAGCGGGAGCGAAGCAGTAAAACTTGTTTGCCAACTCTATCAACACACGCGGCACACCACAAGGATATACAGGAGATGTGCACAGCACGCACTTATGCACAAACACACAGCAGAGGCCACACCCTCTGCAGAACATGAGCAGAGCTACTCAGAATGAGCATGAACGCAGTGGAGTTGGCACAGCTGGGCTGAGTTTATCCCAGAGCATCACCCAATCCCTGGAGCACACCCCCCCTCCCCGCCAACAACTCCATTCTGTACAAATGCACTTCTCCAATAAACAAGCCACACATCCCCAGGCCTCAGGAGCATGAGCTGGGGACCTTAAGTGGTGTGCACCTCGAGAAAGCTGACTAGAGCCACTCGCGCTCAGTCGGGGGCCTTGATCTGGGTGGTGCCCCCGCAGGGACCATAACAGGTGCAGAACCCACAGACTGCCCCTTAGCTGTTATCCACTGGGGACATCATCTGGCTGGGAGGAGGACATGCCCAGAGGGCAGCTGGGGAGATGGGGACCAGGCTCCTGGTGCCTGACTCTGCCCCAGCTCTGGGACCATCCCCCTTTGTGGTCCTTAGTTTCTTTCCATACAATGGGAAATAATTAACAACTTCACAGTCCCCAAATTTAACCAACCGGGAGAAAAACTTCCATCCCACCATAAAGATCCTTGTACTATATGCCTCCCAAATCCCTAAGGGGAAAAACAGAATTAAAAAACCTCATCAATAGAACATCAGTAGGCCCGGTGCGGTGGCTCATACCTGTAATTCCAGCACTGTGGGAGGCCGAGGCAGGTGGATCACCTGAGGTCAGGAGTTTGAGACCAGCCCGGCCAACATGGTGAAACCCCATCTCTACAAAAATACAAAAATTAGCCGGGCATGATGGTGGGCACCTGTAATCTCAGCTACTTGGAAGGCTGAGGCAGGAGAATCGCTTGAACCTGGGAGGCAGAAGTTGCAGTGAACCAAGATTGTGCCATTGCACTCCAGCCTGGGTGACAGAGCAAGACTCTGTCTCAAATAAATAAATAAATAAATAAATAAATAAATAAATAAATAAATACAAAAAAAAATAGAGCATCAGTAGAGCAAAAAGAAAAGCAAGAAATGATAAGGAAGTGTGGTAACGAGGAGTATAATATGCAATAGCAGGTTTTGACAGCCAAAATATCAATAATCTCGATGGAATTGAATTGGGGCCCGTTGAGATGGCTCATGCCTGTAATCCCAGCACTTTGGGAGGCTGAGGTGGGAGGACTGCTTGAGCTCAGGAGTTTGTGACCAGCCTGGGCAACGTGACAAAACCCCATCTTTATTAAAAAAAAAAAAAAATTGGCTGGGCGTGGTGGCTCACACCTGTAATCCTAGCACTTTGGGAGGCCGAGGTGGGCAGATCACCTGAGGTCATGAGTTCGAGACCAGCCTGGCCAACATGGCAAAACCCGTCTCTACTAAAAATACAAAAATTAGCCAGGCATGGTGGCACGCGCCTGTAATCCCAGCTACTTGGGAGTCTCAGGCACGAGAATCGCTTGAACCTGGGAGGTGGAGGTTGCAGTGAGCCGAGATCCAGTCAGTCACTGCACTCCAGCCTAGGCGACAGAGCAAGACTCCGTCTCAATCAATCAATCAATCAAGCAATATAAATAAATAAATAATTAGCCCGGTGTGGTAGCATGTGCCTGTCCCAGCTACTTGGGACGCTGAGGTAGGAGGATCTATTGAGCCTGAGAAGGCGAGGCTGCAGTGAGCCTTGATGGCGCCACTGCATTCCAGCCTGAGCAATAGAGTGAGACAGGCCCTGTTTAAAAAAAAGAGTGAATAGGCCATGACCTCCATGACCCTGAGCCCTGAGGCTGGATAGAACACACCAGAAAACATCTGGCCAGATATGGTTTATACAAGTCAGCTACGAGGAAATAAACTGCCCCAAGAAGACCCTGGTTCTGGGTTGGTGGGCTCAGGTGGTAGCTTGGAGAGACAGTGGCAAATTGAGTCAAGTTATGCAATGTTTTTCTGCCTGCGGCCAAAAGAACAGTCTCCCTTGATTGCCTGGGAAGGCAACTGGGGCGAATTGGTATCCATGGGCCAAAGGGAGTACTTAGAGGCCAACTCTAAGTATTAAACTCTCCTGTGTTAACTCTCCCACAGGAAAACACCCTCTACCACTGTCAGCCAAATAAGCCCTCTGCCTCTCACATGGCTGTACCAGACCCCCAAGCATCACTCCAAACCAGATGTTTACTCTTCTCTGAGAATAAAGCCCAGATCAAACCAGGCATGCACAGGGCCATAGATAACCAAAAGCGGCTCAGCTTTGTTTTCTTTATCCAGAAGCTCTTCAAAATGCTAAAAACGTTATCAGCTCACTAAGCGGGATAGTCCACAGAAGCTCTTATAGTCCATATAAGCTCTGCCTGCTCAGCTAGGACTGTGGTCAAAGCCAGGACACACGGCCAGTGCAGGCATCTATGTTGCCCCTGATTCACTCCAGTTCCTGACCCCCATGCACAGCTGCAGCAGGAGCTCATGGCTTCCTTTGCTGAAGTACTTGGTGCTTTCCCAGGCAGGACCTCACTAGCTTATAATTACAAACGATGTGCTGGGATTGGTTCTGCCACATGCAGGTAATACTTCTTTAGTCCAGAGCCTCCTGCAGGAGAAGGCCAGGCTATAAGCTCTTGTGGCCTTAATGATACAAAGACCTTAAGAGACAAGGGGACCACGATGCAGAGGCTGGTCAGATGGCACACAGGAGGCAGCAGGTTTCCAGAATGGGGGCAGGAGAGCGAACAGCGAATGCCAGAACAGAATGGAAGAAGGGAGTTCAGAGAAGGACAAAGGAATTAAAACTGGATTCATTCGTTCACCTAGTGCCAAATGTGGGACGCAGTGCTAGAGACACTGCATGTGCCCACAGTCTAGCTGGACAGGGGGCAAGCAAAGGGACAACTTTACTTGCCAAGGGATCAGTGAGGAGAGAAAGTTGTGCCCTGGACACCAACAGCAGCTCTCTCAGCCTCTTCCCAGAGGGAGAGGCTGGGCCAAGGCCTGAGGCAGCCAGAGGAGGTGGGGAAGGAGCTGGGCAGAAGTGTTTATTTGCAGGGCTGGAGGAGGGCTGTGACCCAGCCGCACAGGGCAGGAAATCTCCCAGACAGGAGTGAGAGGGCCTGGGGGATGGGTAGGCGTCAAAAGGCAGAGGCTCAGCTCAGCAGCCCCAACGCTGGGAAAGTAGGCATTTCCTCCAGGCTGGGCCGCCTCAGGTCAACCCTACTCTGGCCTCAGTTTCCCCATGGCACTGAAGGGAAACGAAAAGGCAAAGACTTTGAGCTCTGGGGATGAAAGGCTCAGCCACGGCTCAGACCACCACTCCTTATAAAACAGGGTGGATGCCGCCGCTGTTGTTTTTGGCTGGTGAGTGGCCCATCTAACCTCTTTGAAGATGAAACATGCTGAGGCCTAATGAGGAGTCATCCGGCCGGGGTGGGAGTGGAGCCCAGTCACCTGCCCCACCTGGCCCCTCCCAGTCAGAACAGTGCCCAGCCCAGGGGACAGAACCCAGCCCAGGGGCCTGTTTCACACTTCTGTGCCCATGTACCCTCCTTGGCCTGGGGCTCCCTCACTCAGAGGCAGAGGTGTAGGGGAGCGCAGCAGAGGGGGTCTAAGGTGGTCTCGGGCTGCAGTGAAGGCTTCTGAGAGCTGCCTGGGACTCGCCTGCCTCTCCACTGCCCTGGACCAGTGCACCCTACCCCTTTGGGGCTCTGCCGAGCTGCACGGTGCCTCCATGTTTTCAGGCCAAACAGGTCATTTCCAATATGGCGGCCAACCAGGGGGAGGCTTTCAAACCTCCTTTAGGTGTGTGAGAATAGTCCTCTAAAGAAAAGGCATCCTCAGCCTGCTCACTGTCCCTCTTCCCCAGCTGTTGAAAGAATGTCTTCTGCCACCTGGATAGCCTCTGTACCAGAGTGAGCCTGGCAGGAATCACACCTCTGCTAGGTGAGGCCCAGGACTGGCCCCCAAGGTGCCTGCAGGCCACACTCTCCGCTTAGCCAGACCAGACGTGACACTCTTTCCTCTCTCTCACCACTCGCCTTCTTGTTCCTTGCTCCCTGCCCAGGCCTCCCTGAGTTCTGTTTAGACAGACCACCCCAGGACTGACCCCCACCTCCTCTCTAGAGGCCCCATAACCAGCCCATAACCAGCTCCAGTTTCTGGGGAAATACTTGGCACAAGAGAAGGGGCATGCAGACAGCTCACGCTCTCCTGGGAGGCAGCAGCCTCATAAACGCACTAATATTAGGCACAACTGAAAGACAACCTTCCCCACATGTTCCAGAAGAGGAGCGTGCACCTGGGGATTAGCATATCTCTTTAATGGTTCATTTGTGTTCATTAAGTAATTAATTCATTTATCTGATTTGCAGAGTGATGCCCAAAGGTTGGACTTCTGTATCAACATCCAGCCTCCGAGTGAGTTTCTGGAATTACCATCTTCCCCAATTATAACGATCCCTATCTCCATTCTTCATTCCCGAGTCCCCAGGGGCAGCAGAGTACATCGAGGTTTAAGCCCTGCTCCCCAGGAAGCTGAGCCCGGGATGCCCACTCTGCAGCCCTCACACCCACCACATCCCTGCTCTGACATTCACCCAGGGACTCATAGGCCTCACTGTTCCAAACTCCACAACCTGCAGGCCCTGGGGCACCTTGTTGCTCCTGACTCCCACCAGAACTTGGCTTTCAGGAAAGCTGGGCAATGTCTGGAAAGTCAATTAGGAAGAACTGGGGACAGGCCAAGGACTCAGACTCAGTGACAACCACAGTGAAAATGAACAGGGAGGCTGGGCCCAGCTCTGCCTACAGAAGAAGGGATGCCCTGCACGTCGAGACAACCCTGCGCTTATCCTGATGTGCTCCCATCCCCTCCCTGGCATCCAGCTCCTGCATCCTCCCTAAACCATGCTGTAAGGCTGACAACCCCAGATCAACAAAAGGCACACAAGCAGGGACAGGCAGACATTTGGCCCCTACACCTGCGCACAGGGCGTCCCCAGCGCCTGCGGCACGGGTAACAGCACTAATTACAGGTGAGATGCTGAGCACCTCTGCTCAACACAGGGAGGCAGCCTGTTGGTCTCTGCCCTGGCATGGCCCTGGGGTTCTGGAAGGACCCGCAGGCCATGCAATGTGGACAGCCCTGCCTTTCCCTGCTACCTGTGGTGGTGGCACCGTGGTGGAGGCAGGCGGGTGCTGGGTGCTCACTCACCTTGTGGTCTAGCTCGGCACTAGCCTTTGGCTGTTGCTCCTGGCAGGGTGGCAAGGGCACAGAGTCCAGGTATTGCCTGAGAGATGATGGCCTCATGAGGCCCAGGAGCCGGCTGAGCGAGGACAGCTGGGGAGGAGAAGGGAGGCTGTCACTCACAGAGGGTGGTGGCCAAGAGCTCAGGGTGCTCCCGGGAATCGGCCTGGACACCTCAGCTGGTGGCAGTGTGTTAGGGCACTGGCTTCTGAGACACAGACCCACCTCTACCTTATGAACTGTGGCCTCTCGGATCCTGAGTGTTCTCATCTGTAAAATGGATCACACATACTTCCCAGGAGAGGAGGGGTACCCAAACATACCCAGCTCCCCCACGCCCCACCCACACACACACAGACCCACACACACTCTTCCCCCCACAGACCTGACACCCACCCACTCACCCACCCACTCATCCTCCCCACACCCACACATACCCAGGCCTCCCACCCCCCACCCACTCACCCACGTACACACAGACCCACATCCACACCTACTCACCCCCTCCACAGACCCCACATCCACACCCACCCATTCACCCACCCACCCACATACACACAGACCCCCCCACACATACCCACTCATATCCCCAGACCCCCACACACCCCCACCCACATCCACCTACCCACTCACCCACATACAGACCTACATACACACCCACTCACCCCCCCACAGACCCCCCACCCACAGATCCCCACCCACACCCCCCTACAGACCCCCACACACCCCCACCCCCATCTACCTACCCACTCACTGACATACACAGACCTACATACACACCCACTCACCCCCCCCACAGACCCCCTACCCATAGATCCCCACCCACGCCCACTCACACACACACTCACCCACATACACAGACCCCCTATACACCCCCACCCACTCATCCCCCCACACAGACCCCCACCCACACCCACCCAGTCATCCCCCCCACAGACCCTCACCCACACTCACCCACACCCATCCCCACCCCCTGCACTGCCGCTCTGCATCTGTGGGCCCACCCTCCCTTGCATCCCTCTCTTTTGGTTTAACTCTTCTCTGTGGAGGTTTGGAACACCATGAAGAGAGACCATGGACTAAGTCCCCAACAGTCCATCACCATGAGCAAGACCACCATCATCTTCATTCCGCCTGGCCTGTGTCTTCAGCCCCTGCCTTCCACTCCCCTTCCCGCTCTTTTCCTTCCAGGGGATTTTAAAGCAAATACATCGTATCGTTTTACCCATAAAGAGCTTCTACAGAAAAGATAAGGATTTCCCCCCAATCTAATCATAATACCATTTCTTTCCTAACAGAATCAACGAGACTTCCTTATCATCATCCAACACCTGTGTTCAGTTTTCTCTGTCTCTAAAATGTCCTCCAACAGTTGGTCTGTTTGAAGGGAGATTCAACACAAGGCCCACACACTGCTTTTGGCTGACTATGGCACCTAAGCTATTAGCCGCCCCAGCCCCCATTTAGTTTTTGAATAAACTGCCCAACCTCTCTGAACCCCTCTGGAGGGAATGTGACCTGCGTAAGTCCAGGTGTCTACAGTTAGCCGCTCCTTCTGGCCCAGTGCATGCACTTGATTCGGGTAGCCTGGGCCCAGCCCCAGCAAGGACTGCCCAGCTGCCCTGAAGCTAACTCTTGGCTGGGGCAGAGGCAGGCAGGCTCCCAGCCCTTGGCCTCTGTGAGGCCACAGCAGCCCTGGGGGCAGGGCGGGGAGTAAGTGGGAGCAGATCCAGGGTAGTTCACAAAAGCACCATCTCTTTAGATGGCACAGAAGCAGGGTGGCCATGGGCTAGGGGCTTGAGCCCTGCAGCCCAGCCCCCCTCTTGAGCTTAGCCTGGCTGGCACACCTGGCTTCCTCCGGTGACTCACCTACCACCTGCTCAGCACATCAGCCGGTTATGGGCTGAGACAGCCCACAAGAGCAGCTGGGCTGGGGGCTAGGAGTCAGGCCCAGGGCCTCAGCTTCTGGGAGGCGGCCAGGGCTTCTCAGCCTAGTTTCTGATCCTTTTGGGAGGGGGGAGGAAGGTTCTGGGCGAAGGGAGGCACCATCTGGGGCTTCACCCAAACCATGGCTGTGCCACCTTCCTCAGGCTTCACAAGTCAAGATAGTTTCCAGAACAGTTCTGCCCACTCAGGGCTCACAGCTGTGCAAGCATAGGGTCAGGCTCTGCAGCCCACACCCCCAGCGTGGCCTTTGGGCAGGCCTCGCCCAGCCGGGACCCTCCCTGCTACGGGAGGCCTGGGTGGGGCTGGGCAGGGGCGCACAGGACAGCACTCTTGCGATGCTTGCTCTTGTGTTTTTCCTCTCACTCATGAAAACAGCTTGGCTGTGCTCAGTGCAGCAAGCTGCTGCCCCTGCGATCTGCCTGTGCCGTTGTGCCTTCCGATTGTTTATTCCCTTTTGTTTCCATCTCTGGATGCTCCAGCCAGCCTCTCCCCCACACACAAACCCCTCTCCAGGATAAGGGGTTGTTTGGGCCTTGCAGGAACCAGCGGGGATGGGCCAGACCAGAACTCTCCCTACACCGACATCACTGCTGGCAGCTGGCTCTACAAACACTCGGCCGCTTAGGGCAGACACCTAGGGCGAGAAGCAATGATCCCTCAGGAAGACAGGCCTCCACCAGCCTTCTCAGAGGCAGGGAAGAGGTGGTGGAGGCTGATTTCCAGAGAAGCAACTGGCCACACAGCATGTTGCTCCTGGGTGCAAATCCTGGCTTCCTCCTCACCTAGGACAGGAAGCCAAGATCTTAAGTGTCTGCAAAGACCCAACGACCTGCCTGCTGCTTCCTGGAGCTGGTGCCCTGCCTGGGCCTTCTGACCAGACAGCACCTGCCTCTCTCTTCCTTCCAGCCGTTGCTCCACACCCACCTTCTCAGTGAGGCCCACCTGCCCAAGTTCCCATCTGTCTGCCTATCTATCTATCTAAACAGAATCTTGCTCCGTCCCCCAGGCTGGAGTGCAGTGGCACAATCTCTGCTCTCTGCAACCTCCACCTCCTGGGCTCAAGCAATTCTCCTGCCTCAGTCTCCCGAGTAGCTGGGATTACAGGCGGCCACCACCACGTCCAGCTAATTTTTGTATTTTTAGTAGAGACAGGGTTTCACCATGTTGGCCAGGCTGGTCTCGAACTCCTGACCTCAAGTGATCCACCCACCTTGGCCTCCCAAAGCGCTGGGATTAGAGGAGTGAGCCACAGCGCTTGGCCCCTTTGCAATTTACTTGCTTTTTATCACCTATTCCCCCCCACTCCCTGGAATGTAAACTCTCTGAGGGCAGTTTTTTCACTGCAGAGTCCCCAGAACCTAGCACCGTGCCTGGCACATGGTACATGTCTAGTAAGTATCTGTCAAATGAACAAATGATTGAATGAATAAATGAACAGTCAAGACTGCAGCTAACATTTTCTGAGTAGATGCAAACCTTTATCCCCGATTTGAGCCACCCGAAGCCCACGTTTTCCAAATCCCAAACTGGAAGACACACTTTGACAAGAGGTTTACTGTGTTGCAAGAAGTGCCCCAGGATAAGAAGCAAACTCCTGATTTCCTCCCCAAACCTGCTCCAGCTGCGTCTTGCCTAGGGTAGGCAAAGGGCGTCTCCATCCCGCCTGTTGCACTGACCTAGAGTCCTTGTCTCTGTTCTCTTGCATCGCACATCCCACTGTCTGTACTTGGGAAATGCACCTACAACCTGACCACTTCTCACCGCCCACGCTGCTGTTTCTCCAGGCCAAACCACTGTCATCTCTTGCCAGGATTACTGCAATCACCTCCTTCCTCTCCACTCCCAGTAATCTCTTCTCAACACAGCAGGCAGAGTAATTTTTAAACGTTGTATAAATCAGATTTTGTTTCTTCTCTGCCCAAATCCTTGCAGGGGCTCCCCACTTCTGCGCAGAAGTCAAAACCCTCACCGTAGCCTTGAGGCTCTGGCTAACTGAGCCTCCACTTGCCTGTGTGACCTCAATGCTGTAAGTCCTGTCCTTCAAGTTCAGTTCTCCAACGTGTGCTTCTGCTCCTGCTCCATGGGGCCTCCGCTGCAGCTTGTGGGAGATACAGAGCCCAGCAGCTTGGCCATCAGGGACTCCTGCCCAGCAGTGCCCTGCAAATTGCTGTGCCCAGATCCAGCCCCAGGTCCTCTGCTCCTACACCAGTCAATTCTAAACCCCTGTGCCCCCTTTTACAGTGAATCGATTGATAGGATTTCTCCAGCACTTGTGCACTGATGAGGAAAGGGAGGGACGGCCCTTGTCCTCCTGTCTGTGAACCGGGACTAAAGCCCAAGGACCCAGCAGGGCACTTCACCATGAAGTGGCGGGTGTGGTCCAGGATGTCCAGAGGCAAGGAGAGAGCTGGACAGGCTAAGGCGGTGCCCTGCAGTGGTCAAGGGCAGGACTTTAATCTCAGCTCTAGGCGGGGTACAGTGGCTTATGCCTGTAATCTCAGCACTTTGGGAGGCTAAGGCAAGAGGATCACTTGAGCCCAGGAGTTTGTGACCACCCTTGTCAACATGGCGAAACCCTGCCGCTAAAAAAATACAAAAATTAGCCAGGTGTGGTGGTGCACGCCCATAGTCCCAGCTACTCGGGAGGCTGAGGTGGGAGGATCACCTGAGCCAGGGAGGTTGGGGCTGCAGTGAGTCGTGATCACACCACTGCACTCCAGCCTGGGAAAGTGAGACCCTGCCTCAAAAATAAAATAATCCCGGCTGTACCACTTCCCTGTTGGGTGACCCTGGAAAGTTCCCCTATCTGTAAAATATGGATGACAGTAAGTCTGAGGGCCTTGGGCTGCTAGGAGGGGCGAGCACTGAGGACAGCAGCCAGGACACAGCTGTGCTGTTGTACATGGGAGCTGCCACTACTGCGGGTCGGGGGTGACAGGTGGAAAGGAAGAAGAGGCCCAGACACAGCAAAAGCTGTGTGCAGAGGGCAGGCAGGGCCTGTGAGGAGGCCCGATGAGAACATGCAGCACTGGCAAGCCCCGTGGAGGAGACATTGGGAAAGGGGCATGTGGGCTGAGTGGGTGGCTGTGGGGACGAGGTGGCCCTTTGAAGGAGTGTTTCAGGAAGGTCTGACAGGCCAGACTGGAAAGGGGAGTGCCTGGCAGCCTGAAGACCTGGGAGGAGGCTGTGAGCAGCCCTGGGCTTGCAGTGGAGATGGGGAAGGAGCTCCAGGAAGGCCATGGGCAGGCCCCTGCCAGTCCTTCCTATCCCTCCAGTCGCCATGAATCTCTCACTCCCTTTCTCCTTTTTGCAGTACAAGCACTGACTCAGCCTCCAAGACCTGGCTCAGGGCATCTTCTCTAGCAGCTGCCGCACTGTGCCTGGACAGAGTTAGTCACTATGGCCGTGGCCGACTTGCTCACCCCTCTCTTCTGAGGTCATCTGGTGCTGTCTCCCCAGTGCCAGTACCTGGCACAGAGCCTGGCACTCAGGTTGCTCAGCTAGTGTCTAATAAACACATGGGTGCATGGTGGGCATGCAGCAAGTGGGCTGGACCTGGCTTGGCCCTGACAGGCTGCAAGACCCTGGCCCCTGGGGAGCCTGGGAGACCTGCCTGGCCAGGATCTCTCAAGGGGAGGCAGCGCCACTCCATGTACTTTAAAAAAAAAAGAAAAAAAAAAGCGGGTCTTGCTCTGTCGCCCAGGCTGGAGTGCAGTGGAGCCGTCATGGCTCACTGCAGCCTTGACCTCCAGAGCTTAAGCCATCTTCCCACATCAGCATCCCCACCCCAAGTAGCTGGAACTAGAGGCACATGCCACCATGTCCAGCTAATTATTTTACTTTTTGTAAAGAACTCCAGGGCTCAAATGATTTTCCCACCTCAGCCTCTCAAAGTGCTGAGATTACAGGCCAGAGACACTGCCTCCCGCGCCCCCATTCCCCACTCTTTTTTTTTTTTTTTTTTTTTTTTAAGAGAAGGTGTCTGGCTCTGTTGCCCAGGCTGCAGTGCGGTGGTGTGATTATAGCTCGCTGTAGCCTCCAACTCCTGGGCCCAACGACCCAGCCCTTCCTCCATGACACTTCCCCTCTGCCACTCTGACCTCCACCAGGAAGGCAGCCCCACCAAGCTCTCCTCACTCTATGCACAGCTGCTGGCCAAGAAAAAACAAAATGAAGCAAAATGCCAAGCCTTGAACTGGCTCTAACTCTCTCTCTGGCCACCTGTGTCGCGCCCCCTCTGGCCTCCACTCTGCGCTGGGCCTGTCCGTCAGCCTGCATCCCAGAGCCCTCCCAGGCACCCCATCTTGTGCTCCCCCCTGCCTCTAACTGCTGGCTGTTCCCAGCAACACCGCTGGGTCCCTCTGTTCTTCCTTCCTCACAGAGACCATCTATGAAGTAACCTCAGCACCGGTCACCTCCTCACTGCCCCTCCCAAGGTCTCAGCTGGGGCACGTTCTCCCCATGCACCCCGACGACCCACCTGGGTGCCTGTCCCTTCCACAAGCGTGCACTGCCTTCCCGGGGTGTGCCAGGCACCGCCAGGTGCCGAGGGGCAGCAGGGGCCAGAAACTACGTGTTCCCTGTTCTTCAGGGGCTTATTTTCTGCTTGGGGGTAGGGGATGGAAAACACAGATGCTGAGCAAACAAATAGGAAAAGATCAGGGGGTGGCCACCAGGAGTGACTTAGGACAAGATGACAGCCAGTGCTGGGGCACTCTGGATTGGGTGGTCAGGAAGGCCCCTTGCAGAGGTGACATTTTGGCTGGAGTGGGAATGACAAGAAGCTCCAGTTCTACTAAGGCCTGGGGGAAGCATTCAAGGCAAAGGAGGCATCTGAGGCAAAAGCCAGGCCGAAGCCGCTCAGACAACCCAACCCCACCGGTCACCTCTCTGAACTCCCTCCTTGCAGTCACAGCACCTGGGACTCAGACATATGGTCCACCTCACCCAGGGATGTGCTGGAACATTGTCTCAGCCCTCTGGGCAAGGGGTTATGCTGCCTCAGTGGCTAGAGATGCACAGCCTCTAGCCAGAGCACCCCTAGTGTAGCTGAGCTGGAAGGGTCAGTTGTACCCAGCAGCTCTTCTCCCAGGATTCCAGGAAGATTACTGCGGAGGTGCGGGCGCGCTCAACCTCCCTTCCATCCATCCTTGGGCTGCCAGTGACCCCTTCATCACCCCGTGAAGTGACGTCCTCTGAGCTGCCAGGAGCCTGCAGTCAGAGCTTTTTGGAGAGAAGAGGAACAGGACAGGAAGGCTGAATTCTTTTTTCTTTTTTTTTTTTTTTTTTTAGAGTCTTGCCCTGTCGCCCAGGCTGGAGTGCAGTGGCGCGATCTCGGCTCACTGCAACCTCCGCCTCCCAGGTTCAAGCAATTCTCCTGTCTCAGTCTCCCGAGTAGCTGGGATTACAGGCGCCTGCCAGCATGCCCGGCTAATTTTTTGTTTTTTTAGTAGAGACGGGGTTTCACCATGTTGGTCGGGCTGGTCTCGAACTCCTGACCTCAAGTGATCCGCCCACCTCGGCCTCCCAAAGTGCTGGGATTACAGGCGTGAGCCACCACGCCCGGCTCAGAAGGCCGACCTCTTAATGCCCTTGCTGCCCCAACAATACCTAACCCTGGGGACTGAGGGGACACCAGAGGGAGTAGTTTTAATTTAATAGTATTTGTTTTCATCTTTACAAACAGTATTTGTTTTTATGCTTTACTATAAAAAATAAACAACAACAAAAAAATGGGCTGTGGGCACTGTTGGGGGGTTGTGTTTAATGAGTGTGGAGTTTCAGTTTGGGAAGTTGAAAGAGTTATGGAGATGGATGGTGGTGATGGCTGCACAACACTGTGAATGAACTTAAGGTCCCTGAATTGTACACTTAGAAATGGCTGAAACACTATGCTTAAGAATGGTTAAGATGATTACAAAAAAATTAAATAAATGAATTTAATTCATTTATTTGAATTAAATGCTCACTGCAACCTCTGCCTCCTGGGTTCAAGAAATTCTCTGCCTCAACCTCCCAAGTAGCTGAGATTACAGGTGCCCGCCACCATGCCCAGCTAGTTTTTGTATTTTTAGTAGAGACAAGGGTTTCACCACATTGGCCAGGCTGGTCTCAAACTCCTGATCTCAGGCGATCCCGCCCACCTCAGCCTCCCAAAGTGCTGGGATTATAGGTGTGAGCTACCACACCCAGCTTTTACTACAATTTTTTTTTTTTTTGAGATGGAGTCTCGCTCTGTCGCCCAGGCTGGAGTGCAGTGGCGCGATCTTGGCTCACTGCAAGCTCCACCTCCCAGGTTCACGCCATTCTCCTGCCTCAGCCTCCCGAGTAGCTGGGACTACAGGCACCCGCCACCACACCTGGCTAATTTTTTGTATTTTTAGTGGAGACGGGTTTCACCGTGTTAGCCAGGATGGTCTTGATCTCCTGACCTCATGATCTGCCCGCCTCAGCCTCCCAAAGTGCTGGGATTACAGGCGTGAGCCACCGTGCCCAGCAACTACAATTTTTTAAAAAGACAGGCTCTCAGCTCACTGCTCTGTCCTCAGCGCCTAGCACATGGCTGGCATGCAAGCGGTAATTCTTGATGAAAGAACATGAGTAGAGAGTTCAGAGCCAGCTTAGCTCTGGGGCCTGATGTTCCTGGCCTTTGGGGAAAGCCTCCAGAGCCCGCAGGCCATGGCCTTCCTGCCCAGGCCTGAAGCAAACACTCACCTGGGTCTTCTCTTGCCAGAGAGGGAGCATCTCCTGCTGGCCCAGCATTCGAGCAATGACCACAAGGCTGAGCTGGCTTCGAAGCCGCCTGGGGGAAAAGCGACAGCCTGAGAGAGGGTGTGCTGGAAGTCGGGGAGCCCGAGCAGGGGGCAGGATACCCATGGAGAGGGGACTTTGGGGGAGCCACCCTCCATCTGGGGTACCCCAGCAAAGGGCTTTCTCCATTGGCTTACAGCATTATGTATTCTAGGAGGAATGAAACTCTCATGATCAGAAAATTAAATAATAAATCCACACAAAAACTCAAGTCCCTGGTAATTTCAGAGGCCCACAGAGCTGGGCTTTTCTTAGTTTTTTATCCCCTCTGCCGATACATATCCATGGATCCATAGAGGCAGCAGCACTGAACTGCTTATTTTATTTTATTTTATTTTTTTTGAGACGGAGTCTCGCTCTGTCGCCCAGGCTGGAGTGCAGTGGCACAATCTCGGCTCACTGCAAGCTCCGCCTCCCGGGTTCACACCATTCTCCTGCCTCAGCCTCCTGAGTAGCTGGGACTACAGGCGCCCGCCACCATGCACGGCTGATTTTTTGTATTTTTAGTAGAGACAGGGTTTCACCATGTTAGCCAGGATAGTCTCGATCTCCTGACCTCGTGATCCGCTCGCTTCAGCCTCCCAAAGTGCTGGGATTACAGGCGTGAGCCACCGCGCCCGGCTGAACTGCTTTTCAATACGCCTCTGCCTCTTCTTTCCTTTGTGGCTCCACCTCTGCAGGGTGGGGGAGGCTGGGGGACTGACTTGGCCTCAGCAGGCCAAACTTCATGGTTTTCTTTTCACCCAGTATCCACTGGGCTTTCCTTTGGGAAATCCATCTCCTGCCAGGCTCCCAGGACAGGCACCTGACCCAGTCACTGAGAGGTGGCCTCGGGCTGTGGCTGAACTATCAGCAAAGTGCAGGCATGCAGGCCTTTCCAGCAGGGCCGCCACTACAGCCACTGGTGGCCATCCTGCCTCCTGGAGGGAGAATCAGGAAGAGGAAGCCACAGGGAGGCAAAGAGGCTGAAACAGAGCCCTGAGAATGCCCAGAGACAGCTGTGCCTGGAACCCCTGGCCCCTGGACCTCTCACCCCAGCCTTGCATGCAGAGAGGCTCCCTGGGTGAACGGGAACTGAGGCAGGAATGGCTTCCTCAAAGCTCCGGTGAGGCTGGGATCACAGAGGCATTAATCTAGGGTCTAAAATCCTGGGGCACTTTTAGATTTTCTTAGGAAAGAGTCAAGAAAGTCAGAGGACTCGACAAAGCAGCGGACTCTTGGATTTTTCAAAAAGCAGAACAAGCAGCAGCAGCACCGCACCCCAGAAGAGCCAACACGAGCTGGGGCCATGCCAGGTGCTGGTGGGGGCGCAGGGTTATGGGCACTCACACACAGCTGGCAGGATATTGATGGGTGCGCCACTGCCCAAAACTGGCAAGATCTACTAAAGATGTGTAGATGCCCACCCCATGCCCAGCAATCCTACTCCTAGGTACAAAGTTGCAAAAAAAGGAGAGGCACTAGAAGGTTTGCACAGCAGCAGCAGCAGCAGCAACAGCACAGTGGACAGACAGATCAGGCTGTATCCATACAGCTCAGTCCTACGGGGGGGTGTTGTGATTATGAATGAACCACAAGTACCTCCAACAACATGAACGACCTCCAGTGTGGTAGGAAAGCAGCCAGACACAAAAAATGTATCTGCATGGTCTCATTTTTTGTTTTGTTTTGTTTGAGACAGAGTCTCGTTCTGTCACCCAGGCTGGAGTGCAATGGCATGATCTCGGCTCACTGTAACCTCTGCCTCCCGGGTTCAAGCATTTCTCCTACCTCAGTCTCCCAAGTAGCTGGGACTACAGTCACGCACGCGCCACCATGCCTGGCTATTTTTTTTTTTTTTTTTTTTTTTTGTATTTTTAGCAGAGACGGGGTTTCACCATGTCAGCCAGGCTGGTCTCAAACTCCTGACCTCAGGTGATCCAACTGCCCTGGCCTCCCAAAGTGTTGGAATTACAGGCATGAGCCATTGTGCCCAGCCAACAGGGTCTCATTTATATGAGGTACAAACATGGGCATGCCAGCTACAGTACTCCACGCCTGCAGTCCCTGCTACTCAGGATGTTGAGGTGGGAGGACTGCCTGAGCCTAGGAGTTTGTGGCTACCTTGGGCAACACAGCAAGACCCCAACTCTTTTATGCCCGGGTTTAAGCGATTCTCCTGCCTCAGCCTCCCAAGTAGCTGGGATTACAGGCGCCTGCCATTACGCCCAGCTAATTTTTATATTTTCAGTAGAGACAGGTTTCAACATCTTGGCCAGGCTGGTCTTGAACTCCTGACCTCATGATCTACCCACCTCAGCCTCCCATAGTGCTGGGATTACAGGCAACCCCAACTCTTAAAAAAAAAATGCAAATGGCAAACTTCAGCTGTTGGAAGTCTGGATACTCATGACCCTGGGGTGGGGGTGGGGGGCAGGTTCTGATCATGTTTCATTTCTTGACCTGGGTGCTGGCTTCACGTGCATTGGACTTGTGAAAATGCACTGAGCCATACACTTAACTGTCTTTGCTCTATTGTTTGTATATTGTAGTTCAATAAAACAATTAAGAAAAAAATTCAGGCCAGGCACAGTAGCTCACGCCTGTAATCCCAACACTTTGGGAGGCTGAAGCGGGTGGATCATTTGAGGTCAGGAATTCAAGACCAGCTGGGCCAACATGCTGAAACCCCATCTCTACTAAAAATACAAAAATTAGCTGGGCGTGGTGGCACACACCTGTAATCCTAGCTACTCGGGAGGCTGAGGCAGGGAATTGCTTGAACCCGGGAGGCAGAGGTTGCAGTGAGCAGAGATCACACCACTGTACTCAAGCCTGGGCGACAGAGCGAGACTCCATCTCAAAAAAAAAAAAAGAAAAAGAAAAAGAAAAAAAAAGTTCAGCTGGAAGGGAGATAGGATTGCTAGATTTAGCAGATTAAAATATAAGATGCCCAGTTAAGTCGGGTGCGGTGGCTCATGCCTGTAATCCCAGCACTTTGGGAAGCCGAGGTGGGCGGATCACCTGAGGTTGGGAGTTCAAGACCAGCCTGACCAACATGGAGAAAACTCGTCTCTACTAAAAATACAAAATATATATACACAAAAATATACATATATGTGTGTATATATATATATATATATATATATATATATATATATATATATTTTTTTTTTTTTTTTTTTTTTTTTTTTGAGATGGAGTTTCTCTCTTGTTGCCCAGACTGGCATGCAATGGTGCGATATCGGCTCACCGCAACCTCTGCCTCCTCGGTTCAAGCGATTCTCCTGCCTCAGCCTCCGGAGTAGCTGGGATTCAGGCATGTGCTACCACGCCCAGCTAATTTTTTTATTTTTAGTAGAGACGGGGTTTCTCCATGTTGGTCAGGCTGGTCTTGAACTCCCTACCTCAGGTGATCCGCCTGAGTGTTCTGCCCACCTCAGCCTCCCAAAGTGCTGGGATTACTGGTGTGAGCCACCGCGCCCAGCCAATACTTTTTCTTTTTCTTTCTTTTTTTTTTTTTTTGAGCAGGAGTCTTGCTCTGTTTCCCAGGCTGGAGTGCAGTGGCGGCATCTCAGCTCACTGCAAGCTCCGCCTCCTGGGTTCAAGCGATTCTCCTGCCTCAGCCTCCCAAGTAGCTGGGATCACAGGCATGTACCACCAAGCCCGACCGAAAATAATTTTTCTGGCATAAGTTTATCCCATGTGATATGTGCATCGTGTCTAGCAACCCTGAGAGGGACCAACCATTCCCCTCCATGCCTGACTGTGAAGGCCTGATGTGAACCATCGTGGGGGTGCCCTGACCCTGGGCCCCTTCAGCCTCAACCCCCTCCTGTGCAGCACCACTGTGTACTCACTCAACACTTCCCACTTCCCCCACACTGAGCACTGAGGAAAGGCAGCGCCCACCCGGACTGAACCATGGGATAACTAACAGAAGCCCCTTATCCCCTCTCTACGGCCCCTACAACAGACCCCCGTGGGTGCAGGCCACCCCGTGGCCCCACACCCAGAGCCCCAAGCTTCAGGTTCTCCCCCACGCACAGGCCTTCGCCTCCCTGTCAGACAGGGCCAGCTTTCCAGCTGTTTGGGAGCCCCAGCAGCAGCTGGGCCGGGAACACAGTGGGAGGTCAATGGCCCCTCTGAGCTGCTCCACAGTGAACTCAAAGCCAGTCAGAAGTCTGCATCTGGGCTTCATTAATCCAAAACTTGAGGCCTGCGCGGGAGCTCGTTTACTCGTTTACTCACAGCGGGCGAGGAGGGCCTGCCCGGCCCGGGGGTGAGGGGAGCAGGCAGGCCGGCAAAGCAGTGCCAGGGGTGGTTCCAGAAGGGAAGAGGCGGGCAGGGTGGGTCAGGATGGGGCTGTTATCCAGAAATGAAGAAAAGCACCACAAGAAGCACCAAGAGGGTGCATGGATGAAAAGAAACCCACATGTGAGTGGCGAGCCCCCTTGCTGTCCCCGCCTGCCCACTGCCTTTCATCCTGATGGCCCTCCCCGCCTTTTAAACCCCGTCCTGCATTCTTAGTTCCCACTGGGACACAGCAAGGAGGGGGCAGGGGGCGGGGCGAGACCATTTTTTTATTTTACAGACTGAGAACTTATTCCATGGAGAAGAAAAAGAAAAGCCTCACCCCACCACCACCCAGACTGTGCAGGGCACAAGCAGAGGGGCTGGCTGAGGCTGGCTGTGGGCTCTCCCTCCCATAGAAGAGGCCTGACCCCACCTGGCAAGGCCTCCCCGGAACTCCAACCAGGTTCAGAGGAGGAGGCAGAAGCCATGGGGCCATCCCAGCCACTGTCATATAAGGCAACAGGCTCCAGCCCTGGCGTGCACCAGCCAGGCCAGGCTAGGCCAGGCCAGCTTCTGCCTCCGCCCTGTCCCCCTCCACCCACCAAGGGCCTCCACAAGACCAGGACACTGGATTAGCACTCAGAGGAGTCGAAGGCACTGAGACATTCACAAATGACTTTTCCAAACCCGCAGCAGGGCCAGAAGTGGAATGCCAGCGCTCTGCTTCCTAGCCTCCGCAAGGGGCACCCAGGAAGGCAAAGGCACCAACCACGTGGGCTGCTGGGATGTCGGGCAGTGACATAGGCCAGCACAGCCCCTCTGGAGCCCCTTGTCTTCACTCCCTGGGAGGAGAACTGGGCCCTGCCAAGACTGAACTGCCCTAAAAGGCTGTCAGGCACCTGGCCAAAGGCATGAGCTGCCTTTTCCAGTCTCCAGGGCAGCTCAGGAAGCAACGGCAGTGGCCTGTTCCACCGTGGCAATGCTGCCTGACATGCTGCCTCAGGGCGTCCGCCTGGCTCGCACCCCGGGCCTCTTGTCCATCAGGCTGCCTGTCAGCCACCTGCTCGGCACTCCTTCCCTGGACTCTTCATTGCGCACTTGCCAGGTGGGAAGAACAAGGGGGTGGGCTTAGAAGCTGGTTGTCCCTCCCGGGGGTCTGCAAGCCCACAGCCACCAGACTGCCTGGTCATCCACAGACCAGTCTGAGCACACAGAGTGTGGACGGGAATAGACGGCGGGACACAGTCGGCCACAGACCCAGACGAGTGGACCACCACAGGGCAACATGAGGAACCCGTCTATATATAACCACGCACATTGACGTGGAGAGGCCCCACAAACCAGGTGTTGAGCCAAGGAAGCCAGACCCAAGGGAGAATGCTCTGCATGGTCCCATTTATATAAATGTTTAAAAACAGGCAAAATTGGGCTAGGCACAGTGGCTCACACCTGTAATCCCAGCACTTTGGGAAACTGAGGCAGGAGGCTCATTTGAGGTCAGGAGTTCGAGGCCATCCTGGGCAACATAGGGAGACCCCATCTCTCAAAAACCAACCAACCAACAAAACAGGTAAAATGAATCTATGTGATGGAAGCTGTGAAAGTGATTACCTCTGCAGGAGGGAACGCCTGGCAGGGGCCTGATGGGGCTTCTGGGGAGCGGCAGACATTCTGTCCCATGGTCAGGTGGTACATGGATGATCTCTTTTGCAAAGGGCACGAAGTGTCCACCTATGATATGGGTCCTTCCATTCACACGTATTATAAGTAAATTAAAAGGTACACATGAACAATCATACCAACTTCCATTCTCATCTCCCTCTTTGTATGATAAAAATCACAGAACCTCAGGCTTAGAAAACACCTTGAAGTCTGCTGGGCGCAGTGGCTCTCGCCTGTAACCCCAGCACTTTGGGAGGCTGAGGTGGGAGGATCACCTGAGGTCAGTTCGAGACCAGTCTGGCCAACATGGTGAAACCCCGTCTCTACTAAAAATACAAAAATTAGCCGGGTGTGGTGACAGGTACCTGTAATGCCTGCTACTTGGGAGGCTGAGGCAGGAGAATCACTTGAACCTGGGAGGCAGAGGTTGCAGTGAGCCGACATCACGCCACCGCCCTCCAGCCTGGGCGACAGATCAAGACTCTGTCTCAAAAAAAAAAAAAAAAAAGAAAAAAGAAAAAAGAAAACACCTTGAAGTCACCTAATCTAGCTTCTGCATAGTTATCCATTTTAATTCTCTTTGCCACACCCCCAATAAGTGTTCACTTCAGCAAAGGAAGTGCAGTATCTGCCAAGACAGCCCAAATTCATTTACCGGACTAACCAAAGGAAATCGTTCCCATATTTTGCCAAAACCTGCCCTTCTGGGACTTCCACTCAAAGCTTCTGGATCCTGTCCTCTGGGGCCTCCAGGAGGGAGCTCTCCGCCAACCTAGGTCCTCTACGCTTGGAAGAAGTTGCCACATTCCCGTGGCTGCCCCTTCCTGCAGGTGCCACAGCCCCCTCATTCCCATCTTTTTGTATCTTTTTTTGCCATTTTGGTTTGGGTCCTCTGACGGCCCTGGGGGTTGTCAATGTTCCCTTTCAAGTGCGACACTCGGAGTTGAGGCTGATGCTCATTTTCTTGGCAGCCCCACAACACAACGCAGTTAACAGATTGAGCCCAAAGTCTTTTTTTTTCACACGTCTTGCTGTCAAATCCCATTTCCCAGATCCTGTTCTTAATTGTGCAGCTGGGCCTCCCTTTTCAACTCAGTCCATCATTACAGTCTGTTGAGATCTTCTGGGATCTTCGGTCTGCTGTCAGTTGTATTCATGTCATCTGTGAATCTGACCATTGTTCCATTAATAGCCTCATCCAAAACACTGGGCCTGCCCTGGCCAACCTGTGAGTGGAGACAGAACTCGGGGTGGTGACAGGGCCTGCCCTCTGGGCACACTCTGATGGCCAGCAGCACCTTTTGATAATGAGCCCACTTCATTCTGTCATCATTTGACCCGCATTCCTTCATGCCGAACCCAGCCTATGGTGACAGCCTCTACCAAATGCCCAGGAAACCTACATACAGGCACTGCACAGTCCTCTCTGGAGTATGATTCTGGTTGACCTGTGGAAAAGTGAGGCTTGCCTGGTATGATTTCTTGTTAGGACTCCTAGAAAGCAGTGTTTCCTTTTCTACGTATGTGCTCCCAAGCCGGAATCCCCTAGAGAATAACCTGGAGGAGCACATCAAGCACCATTGCCCCCATCTCCTGGAAGCCCTCCGCCTCCAAAAGTCCCCATGGAGCCACGGCCCCAACTTCATGTCTCCCAGGAGCAGTGAGACGCCGTCCCACCGGGGAGACGGCCTCCTCTGCACAGTGAGGTTGGTCATGCAGCCTCCCACACTCTCTTAGGCTTTAACCCCCTTCGACGACCAATATTTGATTCCAAATGAAAAACTGTTCTCCTTGACAAAGACGGCAAAAGCAAAATACGAATTGTGTAGTGTTGTTCCGTCTGCATCAGGGCTAACGTTTTACTGTCAGCCCCAAACCGCACTCCTTGCTTCAAAAGTAACTACACAGAAACTCCTTTTATGGCCTTCGGCATTTCCCAACAACACTCCCGCTGGTCCACGCCGTTTGTCCGGCTACCTTACTTTGGTGCCCTTCTTTCCAAACCTGAGACCACGAACAAGCTCTGAGGGGAGCCCCTGCAGCCTTTAATGCTTCCCTTCTTTTCCTCACTGGGCTCCTTTGTAATCCATATTCAAAGCTTCAGTGCAAGATCTCCCAGCCCACCTGAGACATCTCTCTTCTTAATTTTTTTTTTTTTTTTTTTGAGACAGTCTTGCTCTGTCGCCCAGGCTGGAGTGCAGTGGCGTGATCTTGGCTCACTACAACAACCTCAGCCTCCTGAGTAGCTGGGACTACAGGTGCACACCACAATGCCCGGCTAATTTTTGTATTTTTAGTAGACCCGGGGTTTCACCATGTTGGCCAGGCTGGTCTTGAACTCTTGACCTCAAGTGATCCACCTGCCTCAGCCTCCCAAAGTGCTGGGATTACAGGTGTGAGCCACCGTGCCTGGCCCTAGAATCTTTTTTTTTAAGTTCTACCTCTTTATGCTTCTTTGAAATCTACCCTCCAGAAGCAGACAAAGCACGAGTGTGCTGAGTGAGTCCCCCTGCCATGCCAGGCTCTGTGGACTCAGGGAGTACGGCCACAGCACCTGTCCCTCTGATGCTCACGGCCCGCGTCAGTGAGGGGGACAGCCTGATGGGCCTGCAACAAGGGCTGCTCGAAGAGGAGATGCCTTGGCCGGAGCCTCGTCTTGAGGCTGAAGAGATGTGAACCAGGCAGAGGAGGACAATGGGAAGAGGCCTCTCCAGGAGGAGACAGATGCGGAAAAGCTTGGAGGCAAATGATCATCTTGAGTTGGGGTGGCTGCCAAGTTCTAGGACGCGGCAAAAGCGTGGAAGCCTGCAGGGAGCAGGGTGGCATGTGAGCCTGGGAAAGGGGGCACCAATGCCCTCCAACCCCAGGCTGCACCGTGGCATTTCACCCTGAGGGGGAAAGTCTGAAAGATTTTATGCACATCAGCAATGCGAACACATGAGCATCTGAAGGACGGTCACACTCCGGGACAGCACAAGGTGGAGCTGGTGGAGAAAGCCTGGAAAGAGACAGTGGGATGCTCTGGCGGAAATCCAAGGGGGTTGCAGGAAGAGCTGCACCAAGGCAGCGACAGGGAGGGTGAGGAGGAATGAGCACTGTGGGAGATTGGGGAGCTCCAGGGCACCGAATCTGTCCATAGGACTCCAGGCCTGGGCAGTGGGCAGACACTGGTGCCACTCATGGAGCCATGGAAGACAGGGAAGGGGTCCTCCTGGGAAGGCGGTGACTCCTGCTTCCCACATGCTGAATCCCAGACATGTGCCACACAGATAGGTGCTCAGCAGCAAAGTCTGGCCACAGGTATTCATTTGGGAGCTGCTAGCATGTGCCTGGAGCTGAGGCCTCGGGTGCAGATGAGATGGTGTCTCAGGCTGGCTTCCCCAGAAAGTAGGCTCTGAAATGGATATTAGCAAGCAGGGAATTTACGTAGGGAGAGAGGATGCAGGGAATTTATGCGGGGAGAGACAAAGGAAACCAGGCTGCCACGCAGCCAGTGAAGGCCTCAGCTGACCCCACAAGGACTCCGGAGCCAGCAGGGTCCTTCGGAGACATCCTCAACTAAGGCAACGGGGAAGATCTTTGTGTCTCAGCACTGGGCTGCTGCCAAGGAAGGGGCCCAGCCCTGGTAAGGTGACCACCTTTGGCAGAGGTGACTCCTCTGCCACCCCCAGCAGTGGAAAGAGTGCCCCAGTCCTGGATCGGGGCAAGTGGGGGGCACCTAGCACCCCCGACTTCATGGGCCTGTGTCACAGTAAGGGCTAGGGTGGAATCCTGAGGCCCACCAAGACTCGAGGGCTGGTGGGGGAGGGGTATCCCTGAGGGCAGCTGAGGAAGCCAGGAGGGCCCTGGGAAGCCCAGGGAAGGAAGTGCTGGTTGCTCATCAGGAAGAGCCCGAGAGGTCCCTGGTGACGGAGCAGCTTGGCTGGAGTGCCTGGTGCCCCAAGAGGTGTCTCCTCAGCTCCTGGCCCTTTAGGTCCTTCAGACATCCCACCTGAGAGGGAGCCGCGTCCTCTCCAGCCATGTCCCCCTCCTGGCGATCATGGCCTGACCGCCGCCCACCTTCACGCTGCTGTCTGCCTCCCAGCTCCAGCCCAGGCTCCGGATGCGACCTTCATCTTGCCTCTTGTTCCTTCCTCCAGGTTTGGTGCCCTTCTGAAATCTCCAGGTTGACTGGGCCTTGACTGCCTCCTTCCAGACCTTCTGGCCTCACCCGCCCACAGTGAGAGCTCTCTGTGACACTCTGAGCTCCGAAGAATCCAACCTGCCCGAGGGTGGGCAGGATTCAGCCATGAGTGAAAGAGAACTGGGGGAGGAAGCTTGGAGCTGCGGCAGGAGCTCGAGGGAGATGTGGGTGGAGACAGAACGGCTGTTTTAAGGTAGGAGACGCAGGAACGCATTTATTTGCTGCAGAGAAAGCTAGTGAACAAAAAGCAAACGGTACAAGAATAAGGGATGACTGCAGAAGGTTTTGGGAGAGGCAGGACTGCCAGGATCCAGAATTAAGGGTGCAGTGGGCAGCAGGGAGGTGAGAACTGAGAGCACTGCGTTTGTCTAGTGGGGGTGGCTGTTCGCTGGGAGTGCAGAGGCTTCAGCAGCAGGAAGCATGGAGTCTGCTAAGGTCCCCAGGAGGCTGGCCAGGAACTCGCTGTGGCTCCGGGCAGCCTGAAGGGGTCAAGAGCCAAGGTGGGGACAAGGGACATGCATGTGGCATCACTGTTTGGCCGTGCAGTTTCAAGTCTGAGAACAGGCAGGCAGGGAGTCCACAGTGGAGAAGGGGTCCAGGAGCTGACC
This sequence comes from Homo sapiens, assembly GCF_000001405.40. Lineage (NCBI taxonomy): Eukaryota > Metazoa > Chordata > Mammalia > Primates > Hominidae > Homo > Homo sapiens. The sequence continues at coordinate 96,913,444 of NC_000002.12, forward strand.
CAGGGCCGGGCAGTGGTAAGGGGAGAAGGAAAGGTGGGGCCCTCTGGCCCCACAGTGAGGAAGTGAACAAAATGGGAGGGAAACGAGGGTTTCGAGGGAAGCCACGGTGCATCTGCGCCTGTCCCAGCTCTTATCCCCAGTGCGCAAGGACCTGACGAGCGTGAGGCTGCTCTCTCCCTAGCCTGTCTGCACTTCCGCTCCATCAGTCAGTTCCTCCTTGGTGGCCACACAGAACCTGCTTGGCTGGCTGCTCCAGACATAAGAACACTGAGAGGATCCTGGGGTGCTCCAGAATTCACAGGAAGATGGAGAACCTGGCCAAGGGGTGTGGAGCAGCAGGGTCCCTGGCCAGAAAAGCCTGTGAGGACTGCCGTCCCTGAGTCCTTTCCTCAGGAGCATCCAAGTGGTTAGGCCTGGGTCTCGCTCCCAGAGGTGGAACAAAGGAGTGCCTGACTCCCGGCTTCTGTGCAGAGGAGGGTGCGAGGAAGACGCCTCCTCAACACAGGAAGGAAGCCCACACCCCCCGCAAACCTCAATGTATTTCCATCACAGGAAGAGATCAGAAGAGAGCCAAACATTGTTGGCTTTTACTTATTTGCCAAATATTTACTCAGCACCCGTGATATTCTAGTCCACGCTCTGTTCTGGGTGCTGAGGATGCAGACATGGGGGAGATGGACGGGGCCCTCCCGCCCAGGGAGCTCATACTCATGGGGAGGGCTGGTCATAGTTCACTTCTGGTCCTGGTAGTCCGTGGAGAAAAATGAAGGAAAGGGAGGTTGTGCAGAGCCCTGAGGTGGCAGCTCATTTGGAAAAAAGGATCAGGTGAAACCTCTCTGAGGCAGTGACATGTGAGCAGAGACCACCATGATGAGAAGGGGGGAGTCTCCTACCAACGTGCGGGCATGAGGGAGGGTGGGCATCAAGACACAAGTGCCCAGTGCACCGCAGGGACAGGGAGAAGAAGAGCAGAGGGCAGGGCCACACCGCAAAGGGGCCTTAGCGGCCACCTTAAAGACTCCAGGCTTCCTTCCAAGATGATGCAAAGTCTTGGAAGATTCTGGAGCAGGGAAGTGACTCAATTGCTTATGACAGTTCTTTTATGGTTCAGTGTTTTAGGTGTCATCATAATGTTGTAATTATGTTTTAAAATACCCACCAAGGGCTGGGCACTGTGGCTCATGCCTGTGATCTCAGCACTTTGGGAAGCCAAGGTGGGAGGATCACTTGAGCCCAGGGGTCTAAGACCAGGCTGGGGAACACAGGGAGATCCTGTCTCTACAAAAACTTAAAGAAGTTAGCTAGGTGGGATGGTGCATGCCTGTAGTCCCAGCTACTCGGGAGGCTGAGGCAGGAGGATCACTTAAGCCCAGGAGGTCGAAGCTGCAGTGAGCCTGGATGGCACCACTGCACTCCTGCCTCGGCGAAAGAGATTCTGTCAACAACAAACAAACCACCAAGACCTTATCTTTTTAGAGACACGTACTGAATAAAATAAGTCTAATCATTTGCTCTGATTCACAATGATGTGGGGCAGGGGTGGGGGGCAATGGGTGAGGGAAGGAGGAGTCTCCACGGCTGTGTTTGCTGAGATGGAAAATGGGTACATGGAGTCCATTTTACTAGCCTCTCAACGTTTGTATATGTCTTGAAATTATCTATAACCAAATTTTTTTTTTTTTTTGAGACGAAGTCTCACTCTGCCTCCTAGGTTGGAGTGCAATGGCACAATCTCGGCTCACTGCAACCTCTGCCTCCCGGGTTCAAATGATTCTCCTGTCTCAGCCTCCTGAATAGCTGGGATTACAGGTGCATGCCACCATGCCCAGCTAATTTTTTTTTTTTTCTATTTTTAGTAGAGACGGGGTTTCACCATGTTGGCCAGGCTGGTCTTGAACTCCTGACCTCAAGTTATCCACCCACCTCGGCCTCCCAAAGTGCTGGGATTACAGGTGTGAGCCACCGCACCCAGCCAACAAAACTTTAAAAACTTATTAAATAGAAGTGATTCTGGCTAATTGGTGAGAACTGGCTGTGGGGGTAAGAGCAGGAGCTTGGAGGCCGACAGGGTCTTTAGAAAGGGGAAATAAGAGGATGGGCACGGTGGCTCACGCCTATAATCCCAGCACTTTGGGAGGGCGAGGCGGGCAGATCACAAGGTCAGGAGTTCAAGACCAGCCTGCCCAACATGGAGAAACCTCGTCTCTACTAAAAATACAAAAATTAGCTGGGTGTGGTGGCACGCACCTGTAGTCCCAGCCACTTGGGAGGCTGAGGCAGGAGAATCGCTTAAACACGGGAGGCGGAGGTTGCAGTGAGCTGAGACTGTGCCATTGCACTCCAGCCTGGGCGACAGAGTGGGAAAAAAAAAAAAAGAAAAAGAAAAAAAGAAAGGGGGAAATAAGCCCTAGGCAACCAAAAACACTCCTATTAACCTCACACCCAAAGATGGCCTTTCTTTTCCCCTAAACAGAATTGGCATCACACTTTACATATGGCTTCAAAGCCTTTTTTCCACTCAGCGTATTTCATTAACTTTCCCATTTTCCTGTGACATCATTTTTAGGTACCATATAATACTCCGTAGCACGGGCAGAACTGAATCGATGGTGGGGCACTGAGGCAATTTCCAGTTCTTCACTATCATGACATTGCTATGCCAAACATCCTTGTCAATGAATCTTTGCCATCTAGTTCCCCAGAAAACGATCTAGCTTTTTGAAGGGTGTGCACATTTTAAAGTCATTTGCTTGATTTTGCCAAACTGGCCTCCAGAGGGACTACTGACCGCATCTCATGAGCAGGGAAGCATATGCCTGTTTCCTCACATCCTGCCAACACTGGGCAGCACTGTCCTTTCGGATTGATTCTGGTCTGCCAGGCAAGGAACTCTACGTCATTGTCAGGGCTGGTTTCGTGAGCCGTTTTACGCAGGCTTTGTCCATTCCTCCATCTGACCAGGCAGCCTGCGGGAGCTGGCTTCATCTGACCTTCTGCTTTGAAGCAGCGCACACAGGATGTTTAATGAATAGCCGCAGGCAGTGAAGGAAGAGGATCCCCAGAGCCTGGGACATCAGCTTTCAGTAGAGTGCAAGCAGTTGCAGGAGCCCTGAACAGAAGTGGGGATGGCATGCTGCTCTTCCCAAAGCTGCCTGAGCTGCCCCAATGGCGCCACCTCCCAAGGTGGATGTTCCTCCAAGAACCTCCTCTTCCCCTTGGCTCTGTTTCAGGTGGTCTGCCTTAGTATTCACTTTCATTTTTCATGGTTAGGCCCAGCTCTTCCTTACATTTGCAGTGCATCCCATGAAGTCTTGAACGCTGAGGCAGGGGCTGCGGGTGTACTGCATGAGTGTCAGCAGGAGTTCTCGCTTTGTGCTTAACCAGTCAGTCGAGCAGACAAAGAGTGTGACAGCCCTTCGTACACCAATCTGCCCTTCTTCCTGGGGTCAGTCTGGGCACAGAGCCCAGTGGGGCAGCCACCAGTGAAGGCAGCCAGTAAGCTCTGTGGCCGCCGCGGGAAGCACAGTGGAGCAGCAGCTCACTGAAGACCCACAGTGAGTACAACGCGGCAGGAAAAAAGAATTAGGAGCCCTTTACAACCCAATCAGGGATGACGGCCAGAACACACCCTGAAGAGCAAAGAAGGTGCGGAAACGGCGGGTACGTGCACACGCAGACAGAGGCTGGCGGCCAGCCAGGTGGCTCTGGCTCAGGGGAAGAAGCGCATTTTCAACATCAAATTTGAAAGGAGTACTTTCAAAAAGGTACTCCTTGGTACCTTACGAATTTTGTTTTATTTGAATGCTTTTATCTATTTAGAAAAATAAAATCAATAACACTGATCCCGATAAGGCACCCTCCTTCCTAGTAAAGCTCTTGGCACAAAGCATCACCCTGCTGACGTGGCTGCCTGAAAGGCAGGCGCAAGATGCTCTGTTTCATTCATTTCCTGGCATTTAAAGGGCAATTGCCATGGGCCCTGGAGCTACCCACAGATTCCACAAAAGACACTGATTCATGAAATCACAGTTTAACATGGCTAGCAGATGAAGGAGTGAAGTCATAAACTTAGGATATGGAGAAGGTAGCTTCAAATCTGTCTTGAAAGGATGAATTATTAAGACCAAAAAGCTGAGGCATGGTGGCTCACACCCGTGATCCCAGCAGTTTGGGAGGCTGAAGTGGGAAGATCACTTCAGCCCAGGGATTTGAGATCGGCCTGCACAACATAGGGAGACCTTGTCTCTACTAAAAATTTAAAAATTAGATGGGTGTGTTGGCATCTGTCTGTAGTCCTAGCTACTAAGGAGGTTGAGGCAGGAGGATTACTTGATCCCAAGAGGTCGAGGCTGCAGTGAGCCATGATGGTACCACTGCACTCCAGCCTGGGTGACAGAGTGAGACCCTCTCTCAAAAAACAAAACAAAAGGCAGAAAAATTGACGTTGGGTCCCCACTGGCTGTTTGGGGATGGAAAAAATCAAGTTAGATCCTTCTCTCATACCAAGGACAAACAGATTTGAGTTGGGATTAAGAGCTGATGGACACAAAGTAAAGCCAGTCCTGAAAGAGAAGAAAGCACACTATCTTTATGGTCTTGGTGGGGAAACCCTTCGTCTTCCACATGGAAAGATTACATTACACAAAAATCCCAATCAATTCTCTGCATTATCCATAAAACTGTCCTGTAAATCTAAATCTATTCTAAAATAAAAAAAAAAAGGACTGAAAAAGTAAAAAAAAAAAGAAAAAAAATTCCAGTTCACTGAAAGGTACCATACATAAAGATTTAAAAAGGACAATCTATATAACCTTTGGAGAAAACATACTGTAACATAATAAGCAACATGAAGATCAACAGAGTTGATAAGAAGATAAATTAACTGATAGGAAAGTGGGTAAGAAATACCAAAAGGTAATTTACAGTAAGAGAAACACAAAAGGCCAATAAATACATGAAAAGATACTCAGTTTCACTGGCAATCAGGGAAATGAAAATTAGAACCACAGGATGATGTTTTCCACTCACCAGATTGACTAAAACTCAAAAACAAAACTGGGAATATGTAGTATTAATGAGAATGCAGAAAAATATGCACTTTCATACCTATTTGGTGGTGTTACTAATAGGTCCAGCTTTACATACTTTAGGGTTGCAATTTCACATCAAGGAATTTATCTCATAGAAATATCTGCACAGACACTAAACAGTCACTGGAAGAATGTCCAGTATTAGTAAGGGAGGACACCACCCCTCATGTTATCTTATGCCCAATTTCTGCCTCAAAGAAAAAGTAGGAGTTAAAGAAAAGAAAGAAATGAAATCAGTAGTCAGACAGCCCAGTGCTGCGTTCCAGGCCTGGTAGTTACAGACTGACCCCTGACTTAACCGGTTTATGTTATCTATAGATTCCAGACATTACACGGGACAGCACTGTGAAAAACCCTGTCCTGTTCTGTTCCATTCTGATTACCAGTGCATGCAGCCCCCAGTCACGTACCCACGGCTTGCTCAATCGATCACGACCCTCTCACGCGGGCTCTCTTAGAGTTGTAAGCCCTTAAAAGCGACAGGAATTGCTGACTCAAGCAGCTCGGTTTTTGGAGACGTGAGCCCGTCAATGCTCCCAGCTGAATAAAGCCCTTTCCTTCCACAACTTGGTGTCTGAGGGGTTCTGGACTGTGGTCGCCCTGCTACATTAGGAGACTACAGTGGCACACACACTAGGGAAATACTATGCAGCTGTGAAAAGAGTGAGGTTTATTGTGTGTATGTGTGAGAAAAACAACCACAAACACCATGCCCTGGATGGAGCAAATGAGAAACTGGCTGGACGAGGTGGATGAGGGGGCCTAGGGACCAGCCTAAGAATTTGCACCTGGCCCTGCAGGCAATGGGGAGCATGGTAAGGCAGAGACGTGATCATCACAGGAACCCCCAGGCATCTACAGAGCAGGCAGACTTTGGAGAAGAGGAAGAAATGCCTCTGCCACCCTCCAGGTGAGCCGGTGAGATGAAAGGAGGTGACTGATTTACGTGAGCCAGACATGGTCCTGGCTGTCACGGAGTTGGATTTAGGATACAGAAGGCAGAAAGGACAGGATTTAGGGACGAAAGGGGTAACAGGTGGGGATGGCAGAAACCTCTAGGACTGTAATTTCCAGCTGGCAAAGCAGAGTGGATGGGCGGTCTGGGGAGAACAGGGAATCAGGAGGCAGGGTCGGCCTCTCCATCCCATGAAGAAATACCAGGCTGCTGGGCTGCAGGCAGCCTCCCTCACTGAGGCCCCTGGAGTCCTCTGACAGAGCTTCCAGAAGTCCCATTCTTTCAGAGAGAGGATGAAACCTGCCCTCTCCCAACTGTGCACAGGCTGCCTCTCTGCCAGCCAGATTCCCAGGAAAGACAGAAAGAGATGGGACTGCCTGCTCAGCACTGAAGCGGAGCCCAGGACAACTGAAGGTAACTTAGTCAACAAGCAGAGCCTCTACCAGGCTGGGCCCTGGGGTGTGAGGCGATTCAAACTCCAAGCCGGCTCCCAGAGACCACCCTTGGAACAGTGCAGGGGAAGGGAAGGGGTCCCAGTGGAGGGTAACACAGAGGTGTCTGCCAAAGTTGAGGGGTAGGAAAGGAGTCATTCTAGGCAGGAGGAGCTGCAAAGGGACAGGCCCAGAAAGAGAAGGGAAGAGGGAGAGAGAAGAGCAAGGCGAGTGGATGGGAGTGGTCTGCTCCGGAAAGGGCAGGCAATCCTGTAAGACCGTAGCCAAAAGTGGGAGAAGGAAAGTGGAGAGAGAAGCCGGGCCAGATTCAGCCAATGGGCCTTATCTCCTCCTGGGCTGAGTTTGTTTACCCACTTCATTCATTCGAAAAGAATTTACAGGCCAGGCGTGGTGGCTCATGCCTGTAATCTCAGCACTTTGGGAGACCGAGGCAGGCACATCACGAGGTCAGGAGATTGAGACCATCCTGGCTAACACGGTGAAACCCTGTCTCCACTAAAAATATAAAAATTAGCTAAGTGTGGTGGCGGGCGCCTGTAGTCCCAGCTACTCGGGAGGCTGAGGCAGGAGTATGGCGTGAACCCAGAAGGTGGAGCTTGCAGCGAGCCGAGATCGCACCACTGCACTCCAGCCTGGGTGACAGAGCAAGACTCTGTCTCAAGAAGAAGAAAAAAAAAATTTACAGAGCGCCGAACAGCACGCTAGGCACTGTTCTAGATCTGGGACAATATGGCAGTGACCCTGACAAGGTAGCTGTTCTGGTAGAGGTAACTTCGAGGAAAGCCACAGCCATAAACAAGGAAACAAAGAGTAACATAATTTCTGGCATGGGTAAATGCTAGGCAGAAAAGAAAACAGAAGGATGAATCGAGAGTGTGCGAGTGGGAGTCGGGTGATCAGGGGACAGAATTCAGCTGAGGTCTGAATGACGAGGAGGAGCTGAAGACTGGGGAGGGAGCCCCAAAGAAAGGAGAGTGGGGGCCCTGCAGGCAGGAGCTAATTGCACAAGGCAATTGTTTTGCTAATAAGACCATGTTAAGAAAATTAAGCTTTTTTTCATTTGTAAAGAACTCATTAGTGAGTTATATTTTTAGTTCTCCCTCCTGGGGATTAGAAATTGGGCAGGGGAGGTTTGTTGGGGCTGATGGGGAGGACTCTGGATCCCTACAAGACCCCGAAGAGATGCGTGTGAGAGGGAGGAGGCAGCGGGGGAGCAGCACGCACCTGCTCCGGGAGGTCATGTCTGGGAAGAACTGCACGAGGGCCAGCAGGTTGTGGTGGTGGTCAGACACCCAGCTCAGGGTGCAGCACAGTTCCTGGAGCTGCAGGAGAACGGCACCCCATGGGCTACAGGAGGACACCGCCTTCCCCTTGCTCTCGCCACCCAGCCCGCACAGGGGAGTAAGTGGGCAGTCACGGAGATCAGGGACATTCCGATGACCTCCAGGCAGTGCCATCCCCACCCAGGGCACTCTAGGGGCCACCTTGGTCCCTAGTGATGAAGCTGTATGAGGACCAGGCTCTGGGCGTCTAGTACCTTCCCTGGCCACTCCCGGATGTTCTCCAGGAGCAAGAGGAGAAGCTGCTGGAGGTCAACTTTGGGCAGCAGGCGGAGCCCCACGTCCAGGCTGGTGCGGCACAGCAGCTCAATCAGTCCCATGAGGTTCTCATCAGTGTAGGCCCCCGGCTGGGCCTGGGCACACAGCGCCAGAAACTGGAGAGAGAAAAGAGGGCAGGGGTGGCCAGGGCATGGGGGAACGGGAGAGTACTTCGAGGACCAGTTCCCTGGGAGACACTTAGGCAGAAGGGATGGTACTGTGAGCCCCGCGGCCATGTTGGGTAGGAGCTCAGGAAACAGTGAGGCCCCTGCAGGGTCCTGGGTGGCAGGCACAGGTGTGGAGAGTGTGCTTGTCAGAGGCGTTTGAACCAGAGCAACTCCATCTTGAATAGGGGCTGGGTAAAACAAGGCTGAGACCTACTGGGCTGCATTCCCAGGAGGTTAGGTATTCTTACAGGATGAGATAGGAGGTTGGCACGATACAGCTCACAAAGACCCCGCTGATAAAACAGGTTGCAGTAAAGAGGCTGGCCAGATACCACCAAAACCAAGATGATGACCAGAGTGATCTCTGGTCGGCCTCACTGCTTATTATATGCTAATAACAGTGAATTAGCATGCTAAAAGACACTCCCACCAGTACCATAACAGTTTACACATGCCGTGGCAATGTCAGGAAGTTACCCTATATGGTCTAAAAAGGGTAAGAACCCTCAGTTCTGGGAATTGCCCACCCCTTTCCCAGAAAACTCATAATCCACCTCTTACTTAGCACATAATCAAGAAATAACCATAAAAATACTACACCAGCAGCCCTTGGGGCTGCTCTGCCTATGAAGTAGCCATTCTTTATTCTTTTACTTTTTTTTGAGACAGAGTCTTGCTCTGTCACCCAGGCTGGAGTGCAGTGGCGCCATCTTGGCTCACTGCGACCTCCGCCTCCCGGGTTCCAGCAATTCTCCTGCCTCAGCTTCCCAAGTAGCTGGGATTACAGGCACGCGCCACCGCGCCCGACTAATTATTGTATGTTTAGTAGAGACGGGGTTTCACCATGTTGGCCAGGCTGATCTTGAACTCCTAACTGCAGGTGATTCACCCACGTTGGCCTCCCAAAGTGCTAAGATTACAGGCATGAGCCACCATACCTGGCCTATTCGTTTACTTTCTTAATAAACTTGCTTTCATTTTACTCTATGGATTTGCTTCCAATTCTTTTTATTTTTGAGATGGAGTTTCTCTCTTGTTGCCCAGGCTGGAGTGCAATGGTGCAATCTCAGCTCACTGCAACCTCCACTTCCCAGTTTCAAGCAATTCTCCTGCCTCAGCCTCCACGCCTGGCTAATTTTTGTAGTTTGTGTAGAGACGGGGTTTTGCCATGTTAGCCAGGCTGGTCTCGAACTCCTGACCTCAGGTGATCCACCCGCCTCAGCCTCCCAAAGTGCTGGCATTACAGGCATGAGCCACTGCATCCAGCCTTTTTGTTTTTTTGAGATGGAGTCTCGCTCTGTCGCCCAGGCTGGAGTGCAGTGGTGCCATCTCGGCTCACTACAACCTCTGCCTCTCAGGGTCAGGCAATTCTCCTGTCTCAGCCTCCTGAGCAGATGGGACTACAGGTGTCCGCCACCATGCCCGGCTGATTTTTTTTTGTATTTTTAGTACAGATGGGGTTTCACCATGTTGGTCAGGCTGGTCTGGAACTCCTGACCTCAAATGATCCACCTGCCTCAGCCTCCCAAAGCGCTGGGATTACAGGCATGAGCCACCATGCCTGGCCCCAATTCTTTCTTGTACAAGAACTCTCTCTTGGGGCCTAGATCAGGACCCGTGTCCGATAACACAGTTTCTGTAGCATCCGGCCCACAGCCAGCACAGTGCCTGCCATGGTGCTGAGCTCGCCGGAGATTCTCCGTGATGCTCCTGGAATTTAGCTGCTGAATGGGTCTGAACTGTAAGCCGAGAGTGCCCTGCATGAGGCAGGCGGCTTGACTCACCTTGTAGATGTGGCCCAGGCTGATGTCCAAGGCAATCTCTTGGGGAGCGTCCTGCTCCTCATTCTCATTCAGGCCAGCCTCGCCTGGAAGCACCCTGTGGTAAGACAACAACAGTGACGATGGGAAACCCAGGAGGGGGCACAGGGGCAGGAGTGAGGCGCAAAGTGGGACACTGCTGCCCTGAGGCTGCTCATCCGCTGGACACAGCAAATTCTTCCACACAGATGATCTCATGAGTTTCTGAGGGCCAAGAATCCAGGGCAGCTCTGTTGGGTGGTCCTGGCTCGGGGGTCTCTCGGATGTTGCCCTCAAGATGTTGGGTGGGGCTGCGGTCACCTGAGCCTACAGGCTGGAGGGCCTGCCTCCCGGCTCACTCACCTGGTCACTGATCCACAGGCCCCAGGGCCTCTCCACAGAGTTTCTCCACATGGCCGCTGGTTCTCCAAAGCCAGTGGTGAAAGAGAGAGGGAGAGAGAATATGCCCAAGACAGAGCCACAACCTTCCACAACCTAACCTCGAAAGTGACATCCCATCTCTTCTACTGGTCACACAGGGCCGACCTGACTTGGTGTAGGAGGAGGCTACAGAACTATGTGAACTCTAAGAATGGGGGACACATGGAGGGGGGCTCCTTGGGGACTGGCTCCCACATGCTACCGTTCAGGTGAGGCCTCGAGCTTTAGTTTTCCAGGACTTGGAAACCAGAAAATCACACTTCCAATCCCCCCAAAGTCCGTGAGTTCTCCCTGGGTCCGTTCGACAAGGGTGAGCCTGCATACACTGCAAAGTGCACCACGTGGTAGCTGACACGGGCTGGCTCACAAGCCAGCAAGTATGGGGGAAATCAGAACAAAACATCCCTGAAAACCCCCTCCAAAGGTGTCACCCTGAGCTGATGTGCTGTCTGCTGATAAGACCTGCATGGCCAGTTTCCCCGAGTGACGGACCCAATCTGGCTGAGCACCAGATGATGTTAGAGACCAGGGCTGGGGAAAGAAAAATCCCCCCCTTTAAAGATCAAGCCACACGCAGGGTGGTGAGATGCTTACGGTGAGGGGGACCTCGGTGGGGCTTTGTGGATGGCAGTCTCATCACCCTTTCCACAAGCCTCCCTCCCAGGCACGCGCTCACAGGACGAGAGCCTGGGCGGGATCACCTTCATCGTATGGCCGAATGTACATTGTTGATTTCAAGTATGTTAAGTGAGCTTATGATGAGGGTCCCCTCTGCTGTCTCACCCACTTCTCCACTCTTAAGAAACGGCTTAAGGTTCCTGCTAACAGTGGTAAGTGAAGATATTGATGACAACCACACTGCTGATGACAGCAGGCTCCAGGCAGCCCCCTGGCACAGGGGAGGAAGAGCACTGTCCTACAGCTCCTGTGAAGTCTCTGCTCTTCTCTGCTTGGCACTGGCGCTGGGCTCAGAGGGGAAGGAGGAGAGATCTGTCTCCGAGGTACCAGGAAGTTGGTGCCGACAAACCAAACTTGGTGGGGGAGTGGAAACTGTGGCTGGGCTCAGTCCTTCTTCCAGATTTCAGCATTTATTAGGGCCCTAACTGAATGGGTAAGGCTGGCATTTGCACATCTGGGCGCAGGCTGGGCCTGCGCCAGTACGTGAGGGGAAGCTCTGGTTCGTACCAGCCTTGAGCGTGCAACACGCGCAGCCATAGGTGGGTGTGCTTTCAGGTTTCTCAGCACGGGGCACTCAGAGTCGACTACAAACATCTGCAGAAGAGAGACGCTGCCAAGGGGAGAAGGAACATTGAAGGTGTGAGGTGGTTACATGTGTTTTTTGAGCTGCAGAGAGGAGTGTGGCTGTGGGGAGAGCCCTGTCCTCCTTGGAAAGAAATGTCAGCCTTCCCAAGTGAATGCCTGGCTGGTCAGAGTTCCAGAACTTTGTGAGCCCATGGACTAATGGGCAACATAATGGGGGTCCTCTAATCCTCGCTTTTCAGAGGAATCACTTGACTAAACTGCTGGCATCTGTGGCTGCTGTTCTGAGCTGCAGCATCAGCTGATCCCCGAAACTCCACCACTGCTGCCAGCAAGGGGCCACAGCCCGGGAATTCAACGGCCTATCTATTATCCCTGCTCCCCTCCTGGGCTTAGCAGGTTAGAGTGAGCTGATGGTCCCACCATTGGACTCTTATGAGCAAAGCAGCTTCACTGGTCCCACGCCTGGCTCCAGGGTCTGTGGCCAGCACCTAGGAACTGGGTTTCTGTCTCGGAGACACCGTTCAATACTCATTAACCTTACAAGGGGCATGTCACTGGCCTCTACCCAGGTCTCCGCATCTTCTTCCCCCAAAAGTTGAAAAAATAATAAAGTTACCATCTGCATGGCATTCTGACATTCTCAGAGGGAAGATGGCAGGTACAGTGTATGAGCACCACTACCACCTTAACCAAGAGCTGCCTCTTTAATCAATTGCCCCCTCACTTGATAGGACGCCCTGTCAATGTGTTAATTGTCATGTATTTACCCCTTTGGTCTCTGCACCAGGCTGCTCCTTTGAAAACCAAGTGGCTGGCGGGGCATGGTGGCTCATGCCTGTAATTCCAGCACTTTGGGAGGCTGAGGTGAGTGGATCACCTGAGGTCAGAAGTTCAAGACCAGCCTGGCCAACATGGTGAAACCCCATCTCTACTAAAAATACAAAAATTAGCAAGCATTGTAGTACGCACCTGTAATCCCAGGTACTCAGGAGGCTGAGGCAGGAGAATCGCTTTAACCCGGAGGCGGAGGTTGCAGTGAGCCGAGATGGCATCACTGCACTCCAGCCTGGGCAACAAGAGTGAAACTCTGTCTCAAAAAAAAAAGAAAAGAAAACCAAGTGGCCAAGGCTTCTGGCACCAGGAAACAGCTCCAGACTTTTGGTCTTCAGCGGCCAGGCCTGCGCATCAGAGCAGGGCTCTAACTTCAGCTGGGCTTGGTAGCAGGAACAGCCTTGGAGGACCATGCACAGCTACCTAAAGACCTCCTTTGTGCTCCTGGGGGAGATGGGGGCACCTGGCAAGTCCCATTCTGTGTTGCAGCGTGGGCATGAGCCCCTCTGAGGATGCTGATGAGCTCCCCCACCACCCGCTTCCCATTCATATCCACGCTCCATCCTTTCCTTGAAATGTCCTCCTGTTTCCCCTCCCCAGTCTCATCATTGAGCAGAGGGCCACTGTTTCCAACAAGTTGGATGCCAGGAGATCTGCATGGCCCAGCTGCGGAAGGACTGCATCTTTCTGAAAGGAAATCTGGAAGCGCTAGATGGGAGATGGTGATGGCTTTTAAGGAAATCCGAGATTAGGAAGAAATGTGGGAAGACTTGTCTTTCTCAGAGCAACTAAAGAGACAGCCCAGTTACGGTGGGGACATGCACAGATGTCTGAGGCCCTCATTTTGAGCCCTGGCCATTGTGAGGCACTGTGGGTAGCCCAGGAGAAGCCCCAGAGGTATCCGTTCCCCTGGATGGAGGCATCCCTGGAAGTCAGCAGAAAAAAGATGCCTGGGCGGAGCCAGCTCGCACAAGACAGCCTCTGAGTTGGTGAGGAGCCAGGACGAGAAGGAACACAGGGAGAAGATAGCCTGCCGTGGGGTTTCTCTTGTGGCCCATGCATCCATGAAGGATGCCATACCCTTGGGGAGGAGATGCTGGAACCTCCTTGATGCTTCCCGAATACTCCGGAGGGGTCACCCTCCAATCCATGACACAACGCAGCAGCCCAGGAAACCTACCCAGGCATTTTCGCCATCCTCCTACCCCGAGGAAGACATGGGGAGGGGCTCCAGGCAGGAAAGCCTCCCCAGCCCTGAGGGGCTTGACCGGTGGTCCCCAGCCTGCTCCCAGAGCCAGGAGCAGGGAAATCAGCCCTGCGGCTGTCAGCCAGGTCCTCGAGGGTAGTTCTGAATCCTCTGATGGGAAATGGTGTCAACGCCAGGCCAAGGTCTGGGGCCCAAAAGAGGTAGATGTTAAAACGGTGTGTCTGGGACACGACATGAGGCCCTGGCAGCTCCCTGGGCCCGATCTAGGACAACACAGCCCTGCTTTCCTCCCACACAAGGCTTAACTGCGCCTGGGAAAGCTGAAGTCTGCGTGCCGGGGTTTGTGTCCCAAAGTACTTGAGATGATGTGTTTAAAGGGCCACAGTTCTCATCTCTCCTGCCCACTCTGCCTCTGGAGACAACGGATTTGTCACGCAGCATGAAGGGCAAGCCGCAGTCAAATCCTGGGAGAACCGGGAGGCAGTGGGGGAAGCAGCTCTTTGCAGAGCAGAGCGAGACCCAGTGGCTATGTCTCCAGTGCCGCCTCCCACTCCCAGGAGGACACAGGGACACTCATCACAGCAGTCACAAGTGGCTCTTCTGGACTCCACGGCCCCTGCCTGCCTCAGACGTTCATTTGTCTTTCTGAGTGTAATTCTCTCCCCCGCTCATCCAAGACGGTGTGCGATTGCAGCTCTGTGCCAGGAGGAGGCAAGTGGCTCATTACACCAGACATGGAGCTGCGAGCTCCGGGAGGGAAAGGGGCAGGAGCACGGCAGGCTGGCACATGTGTGGGGTATTTATAGCAGAGCTGAGTGTGGTTTGGCTTGGCAGACAATTGCTAAACACAGTCGTGGAACAGGTTCTTAGGAGAGCTCCCACTTTCCATGCAGAGGAACATCTGCCCGCCGAGGCGAGGGAAGGGGGGCCTGGCACCTCCTGGCGCTGACGGATTGTCAGCGGGAAGCATGGGGGGAAGTCCTATACAACAGCCCCTCCAGGCTTCAAAACACTCTGTTCCATCTCAAATCACCTTCTTCAAGGGTTCTCAAGAGAGTTTGGATGTGCTAAAATTTGTAGAACAAGATGACGATATATAACACTTTTACGACCTTAAGCTAAGTCGCCATCCGCCCACCAGAGCTATTTATGCATCACGTGGCACTCCTCCCCACAGGCAGGGACCAGGCATAGGCAAATGATCATGACTGTCCACGAGCAAGTCAGCCCGGGGCTCAACGGGGGCACTCATGACACAAAACTGAGGGTTGTGGGAACATAAAAGCATGCCCTGCTGTTCCTGAGTGGATATTAGGTAACGGGCCAAACAAGCGGCTTGAAGAGACTCAAGGGACTGGGACGTGTCTGCAAGGATACTAACCAGGCTGTGAAGTCTGGGTTTCACCAGAGAGTGGGGGCAGCGGGGGCTGAGTCAGGAAGTGCCAAAAACAGGCTCATCCATCCTGGGGGCTTCCCATCTCCCTGAGGCTGGGAGCAAGGAAATTCCTTCCTGGTGTGATACTCAGATCCTCAGGCGGGGGTGTGTGGTTGTTCTGTAATTCCCTACACATGGGATACAGCCTGAGTCCAGCAACTTCCAAACAAACAAGAGAACAGGTGGCTGGGCATGGGGTGGCTCATACCTGTAATCTCAGCACTTTGGGAGGCCAAAGCAGAAGGATCGCTTGAGCCTAAGAGTTCAAGACTAGCCTGGACAACGTAGGGAGACCCCCCCCCGCCACCTCTACAAAAAATTAAAAAATTCGCCAGGCGTGGTGGTGCGTACCTGTAGTCCCAGCTACTCAGGAGGCTGAGGTGGGAGGATCACTTGAGCCTGGGAGGTGGAGGCCGCAGTGAGCTATGATTATACCCCTGTATTCCAGTTCTGAGTGACAGAGAGAGACCCTGTCTCTTAAAAAATATGAAAGAAAAAGGCAGTGAGGAAGCAGAAGTACTCACCTGCCACCGTGCCAAAAGGGCCCCAGAGGGTACAGGGCAGGACTGTGGGCACCCAGGCTGTGGAATGCCTCCCTGACTTCTTGCAGTGAGGGGCACCACAGGTGCTTGTCTTCATCTGTCAGGCCAAAAGGGAGCAGAGAGTTAGAATGGGGAACGGAGGGCAGGGTGCACCACTCCCACTGAAGGGGCTGGCCGTGACCCCTGGCCCAAGATAACCAGTTTTTGCCTTCTCTGACACCACAGGTGTTATCTGGGGAAATGAAGCAACTGGTGGTTTCCAAGTACTTCTGGGGCTTTGTGAATTTCAATGTTTTCTTGAATATTCTCTTACCTGGTCTTCAAGGTATGGCTGCACTTGGGTCAACCACTCCCTGACCATCTGGCCATCCACATCAGGCAGTAGTCAGGGTGCTCGGCTGCCCACAGCCAAGTGACACGAAGAGTCCTGTGCCAGAGGCCCCGAGCTACAAGGCTCACTGGACACCAGGCTCACGTCCTTAGACTCTCTTGCTGCAAAGCACCGAGGCTGACACTCAGCCCACTGCAGCCTCTGCAGCACTCTTGCTGCTGCAACATTTGGGCATCCCTAGTCCACCATCCCTGCTGGGAGCACACCTCGCCTGCCTCCCACAGCCTGGGGCGTGTCTCCTAAGCAAGTGTGCGCTATGGGGACCAGTTTCCCTTGCCCAATTTAACCAAACATTCATGATAAAGTCTGACCACATCGGCCGGGCACAGTGGCCCACACCTGTAATCCTAGCACTTTTCAGAGACTGAGGCAGGCAGATTGCCTGAGCTCAAGAAGTTCGAGACTAGCCTGGGCAACACGGTGAAACCTCATCTCTACTAAAATACAAAAGAAAGTAGCCGAGCATGGCGGCATGAGCCTGTAGTCCCAGGATAATTGCTTGAACTTGGGAGGTGGAGGTTGTAATGAGCTGACATAGAGCCACTGCACTCCAGCACTCCAGCAGCCTGGGTGACAGAGCGAGACTCCGTCTCTCCAAAAAAAAAAAAAAAAAAAAAAAAAAAAAAAAAATCTGACCACGTCAGCAAACAGGGAGAACCTTACATACTCAGGTACTCAGGGCCTTTTTTTCTGTCAGACTACTTAAGGACATTTTTATAAGTGGGAGAGTAGAAAGATAAAAAAGAATGGGTCCAGACGTCTTCTCCAAGGATGGCTGCCCAAGACCTCCTGCCCCATGTGTTCTCTGCACCGTGAGCTCCCACACCTCATCCAGGGACAGAGCCTATGTTTCCACTCTGCTCTCATTCCTCAGCATTGTCCGACTTAGCAGTTGACTTGCTTCTCCTTCTGTCTCTCCCCGGTAGAACAGGAGTCCCACGAGGGCAGGGGCCACATCTGTGTTGGTCATCTCTACAGGCCCCATGCCTAAAAACGTGGCCGGTGCATGGAAGAATTAGAATGAATGAATGGAGAGAATCCAAAACAAATCTGACCAAGTACTACACAGCTAAGAGGGTGCTATGTTCTGAGTGTTTATGTATAGCCTCCAAAGCTCATATGTTGAAATTTAATCCCAAGTGTGATAGCATCAAGAGGTGGGGCCTTTGGGAGGAAAATTAGGTCATGAGAATGGAGCTCTCACAAATGGGATCAGTGCCCTGATAAAGGAAGAAGGCCTGAGGGAGCTGGTTGCCCCTTTTACCCTTCTGCCACATAAGGAATTGGCCAGAAGACCTCCTCTTTGGGGCAGAGAGCAGCTCTCACCAGACACCAAATTTGCTGGTACCTTGATCTTGGACTTCCCAGCCTCCAGAACTGTAAGCAATAAATTTCCCAGTTTATAAATTACCCAGACTAAGGTACTTTGTCATAGCATCTCAAATGGACCAAAACAGGGAGACTGAAAACAAGTCATAAGATGGGCTGGCAGTATCCAGAAGGCAGATGTTAAATTTGACAATGGGTGGGGCATCAGATTCAAGAACCTGGAAGCTGGGTTAGGGATACATCAGAAGCACATACGTGAGACTTCACCATTCTAGAGGGTGAGTGTCCCACCCTGAGGACCCACTTCAGCACACTCCACTGTGTTCAGGAACTAGCTAGGTGTGGAAGATAAAAAGGCAAGCTAGAGGAGACCTTGACCTCAAGGAGCTCATGGTCTAGGAGGAACAGAAGCCAGATCAAGAAATACAAGTGAATGTCTTTATGCAAAAATCAAAGCAGGTAAAAGGTACAGAGCCTTCTCAGAGGAGCAGGTGTTACTTGGAGGTGGTGAGCGGACAAGACAAGGAATATGAAATGTGGAAGGTGGAATGGGAATGTCTCTTTTCTGACACAGAGACAGAAAAGACGGAGGCAGGGCAGCACAAAGCAGCATGGCATGTCAAGACTGGAGGCAGAACAGGCACAAAGCAGGGAGGGCTGCTGCGGGGTGGGGACTTCCGCAAGGACCACCGTAAGAATCAGTTTCCTAAGCTCACTGAAAAGTGCTGGCAACAGTCCTGCCCAGCTGCAGTGCTGGCAGACGGCAGGATGGCGGGCAGAGGGTCTCTGAAACCTGCCCAAGGACATTTCTTCGGCAGGCATCGAGTATCCCTCTTTGGAAATGTATATGGGTTGAGACTCACCAAACAAGTAATTAGACTCTTGGAGGAGGAAAAACTTTCTTGTTTGTTTGTTTTTTTTTTTTTTCCTCTCTTGGGCAACTTAACAAGTAAAGAGTGGTAATGATACCCCTTACTCGCCTCACAAACGAGCTGGGAAGAATGAAGTCTGCAAAACACAATGAGACTCCACTGGAAAGAGAGAACTGTTCACCAGGGCCTTCAGGGGACTGTGCACGTATGTGCATGCACCTGTGGGCGGGCAGATGAACTTTCCAGGGAGGGGAAGACAATCAACCTAGGGCGAGGCCCCGGGAGGCCCAGGTGGGTTGGAACCTCCCGCCAGCAGCCTCAGACCCCAAGGAGGTTGTGCCCGCCTCCCCTTGAGATCCCCACCCCAGCCCACACAGAGGCATCTTCTGCTGTGAAACCTCCTGACTCACAGGCAGCAGTGCCCACTCTGCCAGCCTCCAGCTGGGCATCATCCCTTCTCCCCTCTCCTACCCAGCAACTGCTCCACAGCACAGCACGACCCAGGCCAAGGTGTCAGGAGCAGTGTCAGAGGAGGGGCCTGGGAGGCCTCGGGACAGTTAAGTCCCTATCAGCAGCCGTGGAGGCTGGTGACTTGAGGACAGGAAAATACCACCCCGGAGCCCATAATTAACACTGCCTAGAAGTGGGCCATGCACTCAGCTTTTCCTGAGCTCTGTTTGTCCCCGATGAGGGCTTTCTGGAGAGCTGACACAGAGGAAACTCAGATGTCAGGCTGCCAGGCTCCAGCTCCCCAACTCAGTTCCTCCAGACACAGAACAGTCATTTTAGGTGATGCCCAGGGGAGCACCGGAACACTGTGTCTTTTAAAATGCCAGCATGGGCCGGGCATGGTGGCTCACGCCTGTAATCCCAGCACTTTGGGAGGCCGAGGTGGGTGGATCACCTGAGGTCAGGAGTTCGAGACCAGCCTGGTCAATGTGGTGAAACCCTGTCTCTACTAAAAATACAAAAAAATTAGCCGGGCATGGTGGTGGATGCCTGTAATCCCAGCTACTTAGGAGGCTGAGGCAGGAGAATTGCTTGAACCCAGGAGGCAAAGGTTGCAGTGAGTTGAAATCGTGCCACTGCACCCCAGCCTGTACAACAGAGTGAGACTCCGTCTCACAAAAAAAAAAAAAAAAAAAAAAGCCGGGCGTGGTGGCTCACGCCTGCAATCCCAGCACTTTGGGAGGCTCAGGCGGGCAGATCACAAGGTCAGGAGATCAAGACCATCCTGGCTAACACGGTGAAACCCGGTCTCTACTAAAAATACAAAAATTAGCCGGGCGTGGTAGTGCACGCCTGTAATCCCAGCTACTTGGGAGGCTGAGGCAGGAGAACTGCTTAAACCCAGGAGGTGGAGGTTGCAGTTAGCCGAGATCGCGCCACTGCACTCCAGCCTGGGCAACAAAGCGAGACTCCGTTTCATAAAAAAATAAAAAAAAAAATTAAAAAAATTTGCCAGCATGAACAGCCCAAAGACTCTGGGCTCTGTGTAAGAGGCTGTGAGTCTGCAGGCGTCCCTTTAGGTTACCCTTCTGGGATGGAACTGACACTTGGGGGTATGGGGGGAAGATAGAGGAAGAAAATCATCAGGCCTAAAATAAAAGTGGCTTTTCCATCTGTGTCGTGGAAGAAGCTGTTAATTCACTACCGTTCTCCTGGCACCTCTTACATGGAATTGGAAATCCATGCACATCCCAAGAACCTCTTCGGTCACTGGAAGCGCCAGCCTCAGCTCCAAGACCTGGCTCCTGCCCCCCTTCTGGGCCTCCCTCGTGCCCTGAGTCCTCAGCCTGGGCCTTAGGGCTTTGGCGGCAGGAGACTGGGTCTGCAGGCTCCATTCTTATCCTCCCCAACCCCCAAATCAAACAGCTAATGAGCTCTGCTGGGTGGCTGCACTGGGAGGGCCAAGCAGCACCATCTGCCTGAGTTCTAGTTCCCTGAATCCGAGATACCACAGGAGGAGGGGAGGTCCCCATCAGCCTTAATGGGCAAGGGGGCAAGAGGGCCAGGAGGCTGGTTCCTAAAGGAAAGCAAGCTACCCATCCCACTGAGTCCGATCTTAACTGGAGTGCGGGGCTCACAATGTTTACGGGAGGCTTAAAATCCAATTCTTTCATATCCTCCCAAATCTAATCACTTATCTTCCCGCAGCACTTTTCTACTTAAATTTAAACTTGTTTCAATATTGCCAGCTTTAGTCAATTAGCTTTAGCTTTAGTCATTTCAACCGTGCATTCACTCAGCAAATGGCAAGCAAACACCAGGTGCTGTTCTAAATGCCAGGGACCCAGTGGTGAACAAAACACAAAGCAGCCCTGCTCTCGGGTTGTTGGTGTTGGGTGGGGGACACACAACGCACACATGAAAGATACATAAAGCCCAATGATGCTGGGTGGCATCCGTGGCTGGGAGGAAGGGTGGTCAGGGGACGCTGGAGCACCCTGAGTGACTTGGGGAGCCTGGCAGAGACCTGAGGCCAGGGAGCACGGCTGTCTTCTAGGTTGAGCAAGGAGCCCAGGGTGCTGGAGTGGGTGCAAGGCCAGGGGCTGGAGGTGAGGATGGAGAGGCAGATGGGGGCGAGAGAGAAGCAGATCAGCTGGCCTGGAAGACTGGGGCAAGGACCAGGGATGAAGGGAAGCCACTGGACTTGTAAACAGGGAGTGTCATTACCAAAGGGAGCCAGGTCCTCAACAACAACAACAAAAAAATCCTGTATCCCCACACTATGACATATCCATTTCCTATTTTAAAAACATGCACATTTTGTTGCCCCGATGACAGTGTAAGCACAGGATGCAGGCAGACCGGCGTTCTCCCAAAGAGTGCCACTGCCTCTCCTGAGAAAACCGTGTGTCTAGGGAGACACTGCGAAATGCTGACCGCTTGCTGTTCCTGGTCTCTCTCTCACCGGCTCTTTTCCAGATCTGCACCCACATTCTTTTGGAACCTTCTTTTTGTTTCTTCTCTACCCTGCAGCCAGCTCTGAGGGTGCCTTTCTTTCCTTTTTCTCCCCACTCACCCTGAGCCCAAGGCCTTTCCTGTGGTGCCCCTGACAACCTCCCTACCTGGCTATAACCAACTCTGCACCCGCCAACACCATCTCTATAGGCCCCTGGCCTGCTTATTCACAGAAATGTGTACAGGGCAGGTGATGCCATCCCCAGGGCACCTCTCCTTTCCCCTGCCCTTCTGTAACTCACACCACTGCCTGGTGTCACCTAATACCAGCAAGCACTCGAGGCCCCCGGTATGCGTGACAGAGCGACATTGTGCCAAACCACAGAACCACTCATATCTGCTAGAATTAGGTTTGGCTACAAATAACAAAATGGAACAAAATTAAAACAAACAAACAAACAAAAACAAAAACAAAAGAAAAAAACCCACCCGGCCTTCAAAAAGAATTTTATTCTCTGACAAAAAAGAAGTCTGCAAGTAGGCAGGTCACAGCCGGTGCAGAGACCCAACTGTACCTGCAGGATCTCAGGAGCCCGTCTCTCAGCTCTGCTGTTCTTAGCATGTGCCTCTCATGCTCCAGGTCACATCACGGTCCAGCACGGCTGGTAGAGGCCCAGCTATTACGGCTCAGCTCCAGGCAATCGCCTTCTCACTTGGCCACCTAAGCATGCATTCTTGGTTGTTTTTAAGGATACAGGGCTCCCTCAGCACGACTCAGGAAGGTAGCAGTAGCAAACTACCCTTCCAAGTTTGGAAAGCAAAAGGTTGAGACTGGTTTAGACTCAACCTAAGAGTTTCCCAGTAATGTCCCTAAATGAATAATCTATCAGATTCTCTCCCAGTTTGGATTTTCAGGTTTTAATTTTTGTTTGGAGACGGAGTCTTGCTCTGTCACCCAGGCTGGAGTGCAGTGGCACGATCTCGGCTCGCTGCAACCTCTGCCTCCCAAGTTCAAGCAATTCTCCTGCCTCAGCCTCTCAAGTGGCTGGGACTACAGGCATGCACCACCACGCCTGGATAATTTTTGTACTTTTTTAGTAGACAGGGGGTTTCACCATGTTGTCCAGGCTGGTCTCGAACTCCTGACCTCAGGTGATCCACGTGCCTCGGCTCCGCAAAGTGCTGAGATTACAGGCGTGAGCCACCACGCCTGGCCATTTGTTAAAATCCATAGAACTGCACAACACAACCCTAATTTAGGCTATGGACTTCAGTTAATAATGTATTGATATTGTAACAAATATACACACTAACATATGATGTAAATAATAGAGGAAACTGGTGGGTGGGTGGGAGTGGAGAATGAGTATACAGAAACTACTTTCTGATCAAGTTTTCTGTAAGCCCAAAACTGTTCTAAAAAATAAAGGCTATTAAAAAAAAATACAACAACAAAAGTATTCTTCTTTTTATTTATTTATTTATTATTTATTTATTTTTGAGACGGAGTCTCGCTCTGTTGCCCAGGCTGGGGTGCAGTGGCATGATCTCTGCTCACTGTAAGCTCCACCTCCCGGGTTCACACCATTCTCCTGCCTCAGCCTCCCGAGTAGCTGGAACTACAGGCGCCCGCCACCACGCCCGGCTAAGTTTTTGTATTTTTAGTAGAGACGGGGTTTCACCATATTAGCCAGGATGGTCTCGATCTCCCGACCTTGTGATCTGCCCGCCTTGGCCTCCCAAAGTGCTGGATTACAGGCGTGAGCCACCACGCCCGGGTTTTTTTTTTTTGGTTGTTTTTTTTTTTTGAGACAGAGCTTTGTTCTGTCCCCCAGGCTGGAGTGCAATGGCATGATCTTGGCTCACTGCAACCTCTGCCTCCTGGGTTCAAGCGATTCTCCTGCCCCAACCTCCCAAGTAACTGGGATTACCAGCGCCTGCCACCACACCTGACTAATTTTTTGTATCTTTAGTAGGGACGGGGTTTTGCCATGTTGGCCAGGCTGGTCTCGAACTCCTGACTTCAGGTGATCCGCCCACCTCATCCTCCCAAAATGCTGGGATTACAGGCGTGAGACACCACACCTGGCTAACAAAAGCGTTCTTTAAAAAAATAACAACAGGAGGGGGGTCTCCACACACCATTTCTTGGGCAGCACAGCAGACCCGGCACTGGAAGGGATGATGGTGGTTGCTCTCATCTCAATCAAGGACCCAGCTGAGAGCCTAACACAGTGGTTCACTGCAGCCTCAACCTCCTGGGCTCAAGCTATCCTCCTGCCTCAGCCTCCAGAGTAGCCAGGACTACAGGCACACACCACAATGCCCAGGTTTTGTTGTTGTTGTTGTTGTTTTAGTAGAGACGAGATTTCACTATGTTGCCCAGACTGGTATGGAACTCCTGAGCTCAAGCAATCCTCCTGCCTCTGTCCTCCCAAAGTGCTGGGATTACAGGTGTGAACCACCACACCTGGCCTGTTTGCACATGTTGGAATCACTTAGGGAGTGTCAAAAATTACTGCCACCTGTGCCCTACCCCCCAGCAATTGTGGTTTAATTAGTCTGGGGTGTGGACTAGGCTTTGGAATTTTAAAAAATTTCCAAGTGATTCTAATACACAGCCAAGTTTGGGCTCCACTGAGCTAGGGAAAGCTGTGGCCCTGGCTCCGGAGCATTACTCAGGGCCACACTCCCGTGCTCTGGTGGATGATGAGGGTGGTGGGGGTGGGCAGGAATCCTCAGATGCCAGCCCCGGCTCCCCTCTCGCCGCACCTGAGGCCAACTGCCCGTGGCTCAGTAGCCCAGGGGCTCTCAGTTCTGGATGCCCACTGGAATCAGGAGGGGAGGCTTTAAAATGCTAATGCCCAGGCTGTGCCTCAGACTGATCTCAGAGGGTAGGACACAGACGTCATACTTTTTAACGCTCAGCCATAGCTGAAAATTGCCAGGGCCGGAGGCTCAGTACTGGGGGAGCTGCAGCCATCCTCTGATCAGAGTCTAAAAGTCAAACATTAAGAAGTGTTGGGCTGGGCGCGGGGGCTCACATCTATAATCCCCACAAGTTGGGAGGCCCAGGCAGGCAGATCGCTTGAGCCCAGGTGTTCGAGACCAGCCTGGGTAACACAGTGAGACCCTATCTCTACAAAAAATACAAACAAATTAGCCGGGCGTGGTGGCACGCACCTGTAGTCCCAGCCACTCAGGACGCTGAGGCAGGAGGATCACCTGAGCCCGAGAGGTCAAGGTCATGGTTGCAGTGAGCCCTGATGCCACCACTGCACTCCAGCCTGGGTGACAGAGTGAGACCTTGTCTCAACAACAACAAAAAAGTGCTCTCCGAGTTTAAGTCACTTAAATTTATTTTGCACCTCATTTTAAAAGTGGGGGTTGAGAGTCCTGAGCTAAAGTGGTGGGCAAAACCCCCACTATTGCCTGGCCACCTCTCCTGCAAGAGGTCTGTGCACTTGGCCAAAGTTCTCAAAACCTGGAGCATCTCAGCCCCAGCTCCACATAAAAATCACCTGAGAGCTTTAAAAATTCCTGATGACAGGTACTGTCCTAAGGGAACGAACTCACCTGGGCCTCACGAGCTACTAATGGCGCAGTACCTGAGGGTCCCCTTGTATAGGTGGTGGAATGTAGTGGTGGGGACAGGAGCTGAGTGCGCCACAGGCAGGGAGACTCTGGAGATGCCTGCTGAGCTGGGGTAAAGCATGCATGCCTGCCCCCACAGGGCCAACAGACCTCAGGGCTTGAAGCTGGAGGACCAGAGAGCACATCAGAGCTTCTCTGGTACACCCAGCTCCACAGCTGACTGGCCACAGGATCAGAGCAGCTATCTGGAAAAGATGCTGCTGTCCACCGGGAGACGCAGTGTTTCTGGAGACCCACCCACTCATTCAACAAAAACCACCTGGGTCCTACAGTGTCCCTGCTCACACAGCTGCCAGGAACCCAACAGATAACTAAAACTAAAAGCAAAACAAAAACATGGTCCCCGTACTTTGGAGCTCACGGCCCATTGGGAGAGACAATATTAATCAAAGAACCCACCATCAACTATGACTAAAGCCACGAGTGGAAAAGGGAGCCAAGCGTAGAAGCAAGGAGGCGGCACACGCCCGCAGGGCAGGCCTCCTTGAGCAGGTGATGCCAGAGAAGTCCATAACAGAGAGGAAGAGATGGAGTTAAGAAGAAAGTCAGGCCGGGTGTGGTGGCTCACACCTGTAATCCCAGCACCTGGGAGGCTGAGGTGGGTGGATCACTTGAGGTCAGGAGTTGGAGACCAGCCTGGCCAATATGGCGAAACCCTGTCTCTACTAAAAATACAAAAATTAGACGGGCATGGTGGCACGTGCCTGTAATCGTAGCTACTCGGGAGGCTGAGGCAGGAGAATCACTTGAACCTGGGAGGCAGAGGTTGCAGTGAGCCAAGATCATGCCACTGCGCTCCAGCCTGGGCAACAGAGTGAGACTCTGTCTCAAAACAAAACAAGGCCAGGCGCGGTGGCTCACCCCTGTAATCCCAGCACTTCGGGAGGCTGAGGCGGGCGGATCAAGAGCTCAGGAGATCAAGACCATCCTGGCTAACACAGTGAAACACTGTGTCTACCAAAAATACAAAAATTTAGCTGGGTGTGGTGGTGGGCGCCTGTAATCCCAGCTACTCGGGAGGCTGAGGCAGGAGAATGGCGTGAACCTGGGAGGCGGAGCTTGTAGTGAGCCGAGATCGCGCCACTGCATTCTGGCCTGGGCGACAGAGTGAGACTCCATCTCAAAACAAAACAAAACAAACAAATGAACAAACAAAAAAACAAAGGCAAAGTCAGAGAGCTGCTGAGGGGAAGGAGGAGAGTATGCCAGGTAAAGAGGCTGGCACATGCAAAGGCCCTGTGGCAGAAGGAAGATGGAAGAAAAGAAATGCAGAGAGGTCGCAGCACAGAGAGTCAGAGAGGGTGAGGTAAAATGAGCTGGACAAGGGCTGGCTGACCACAGAGGAGATGGCACGCATTGCACACACAGTAGGAGCTTGGGCAGGCTTTCCAGCCCCCAATTACCTATAACATGGGACAATAATGGTATCTACTTGTAGGGTTGTTGTGGTGATTAAATGAGATAGGCCAAGCCCTGGGCTTGGTGCCTAGCACAAATTAAGCTCTCTGGAAATGTCACCTATTATTTTCAATTAAACTGCTTTTATTATCATATCCAAGAATAATGTTTTTAAAAAACAGAGATCAATTATGACGCTGAATTACTGTTATCAAATTCTAATTGGAGACTTTGAAAGGACTATGCCAAGCACATGACAGCTCTGAGGGAGCTGGGCCCTGGGGTCTCCTGGGTGGTCCTCCAAGTGTTTTCCTGCCCATTTGGGTCTAGACAACATTCTCACAGCACCAGCACGGGGACTGAGTGCAGCTGGCGTGGCAGACCTGGATCCCAGCCCGCCTCTCTGGGCCTGAGGACAATGGGACCAGCCCTGTGGAATCAGGGAGTAAAGGGCACCCGGCATGAGAACGGTATGGGGTCCAGGGCCCAGGCACTTAAGTGCTCCACACATATGGGCAGCTGCTGCTGCCACCGCCACAGGAGACGCGACCTGCAGATGAGAAGGTCGTGGGGCCTCCACTCCAGGGGCTCTGACTGGCTCGCTTCCCACCTCCTGCAGCAGGAGGCTGTCCTGCAAACCACAAGAGAGGCAGATCGGGTGGGGCGAGGACATCTCCTAATAAGATGGTGAAGAACAGAGAGTGTCAACCTGATAGACTAAAGACTGCTTAAATTTCAAAATAATTATTCCGTGTGAAATGTGCCAGACCCTCCCCACCCACAGCCCACAAAGAGTACCTACTGCATAATTCCATTTATATAAAATTCTAGAGAATACAAACGAACCTGTAGTGACAAAGTAGATCAGTGGTTTCCTACAGACAAGAGGTGGAGGAGAGATCAATCATGAAGAGGCATAGGGAAACTTTTGGGGGCCATGGAATATATTCACTAGCTCAATTGTGGCAATGATTTTACAGGCACATATGTAAGTGTATACATTATACACTTCAAATGTCTGCAAGTTAATGTATTCAGTTATGCCTCAATAAGTTTTTTTAAAGACGGATGAGCTAAAACAGAAATATGTATTAATTTTTTGTTTTTGCACCCCAGTGGCTCATCCCACCTCCAGGACCCTCACTCGGCGGACCTGTGGTCTAGAAAGCCCCACCTGACCTGCCTTGTGCAGGCTGTGGCCTCTCCAGACACCAGTGGGGAGAACTGGGAAACTCTGGGAAGAGCAATCGGCACTGGAGGTAATTTCAGATGGATACTAATGTGGCGAAAGAAATACGGTATAGATAAACATATAAACATACAAATATAGATGAAATGTGTATTGTGTATTCATTTTGTGCCGGGAAATAATCACAAGAAACTGTACTAATGAGTACTTGGGAGGAGGAAGTGGTTGTGGGGAGTGGCTGGCAAGAAGACTTTCACTCTTTATTTTGCATCTTTCTCTATTATTTAAATTTGCTAAACTTGGTACAGAGAGTAGTTTAAAAAATAACAACAGGGGTTACCTGGGTGGTAAGATTGCTGGCCATCTTGTTTCCATTTTATTCCTTTTACAAGAAGCAACTTTATGAATGCTTTCTGAGAGGAGGAGTGGGAAGGAGGAATAAAGAAAGGAAGGGAGAGATGAAGGAAAGAGAATGCAACAGGCAACGGCAGAAAAGAAAGTAACCCACAAAATGAGGCCTGTACGGAAACCCAAGGCCCCAGTGGCCACGAGGCCAGAGCTCGAGGAGAACAAAGGGAAAAGCATGATCAAGTGAGGAAGAACAAAGTGTCCTAAGACCCTGCTCAAGAACGTGAAATGAATTCTGTTCTTGGAGCTGAACGTCTCGCCCACTTTCAAAATATCCAAAGAATGTACTGGCCAGGGTCATTCTATTTTATTATATCCCCCTCCTCCTACACAAATATTATAGAAGCCAACAGAGAATGAAATGGGTAGGTAAAAATGGACAATTGTCTTGGAAGCAAATGGAAAAGAACCTACGCAAGCTCTACTCCTTTCTAAAGCGTTTTGATCTCGCTGATAGAGCTCCTTTTCCGAAGACATTGCTTCAAGACTGGCACTAGGTTAACGGACAGTCATATACCAGCTCAGCTAAAACATTTTTGTTAAAGAAACTTGAGGTCATTTCATTTCTCTTAATCAACTAGTTGCACAAGAGTATGTTTGCCTTCGAAACCAAATTCTACCACAAAAAAACTATCACAGCTAATAAACAAGTTCAGCAGGTTAATATATACAAATCTGTATTTCTACACATGAGCAATGAACAATTTGAAAAGGAATTAAGAAAACATCTCTACTTATAACAGCACCAAAAGAATAAAATACTTAGGAATAAATTTGACCAAAGAAATGTAAGACATGTACACTGAAAATTACAACACATTGTTGACAGAAATTAAAGAGGATCTAAATAAATGGAAAGACATCCCATGTTCATGGATTGGAAGACTTACTATTAAGATAGCAATAGTACCCAAAAGTTATCTATAGATCCAAGACAATCACTATTAAAATCCCAGCTTTCAATGTTGCAGAAATTGACGAGCTGGTCCTAAAATTCACATGGAAATGGAAAGGACCCCAAACAGCCAAAACAATTTTTTTTCAGACGGAGTCTCGCTCTGTCGCCCAGGCTGGAGTGCAGTGGTGCGATCTCGGCTCACTGCAACCTCCGCCTCCTAGGTTCACGCCATTCTCCTGCCTCAGCCTCCGGAGTAGCTGGGATTACAGGTGCCTGCCACCATGCCCGGCTAATTTTTTTTTGTATTTTTAGTAGAGACGGGGTTTCACTGTGTTAGCCAGGATGGTCTTGATCTCCCGACCTCATGATCCGCCTGCCTCGGCCTCCCAAAGTGCTGGGATTACAGGCATGAGCCACTGAGCCTGGCCAACAAATTTTTAAAAAGTATAGTTAGAGGACTCATACTTCCCAACTTTAAAACTTACTACAAGCTATAGTAATAACAAATTTAGAGTACTAGCATAAGGGTAGACATATAAACCAATGGAATAAAATTGAGAGTTCAAAAATAAACCCTTACATTTATGGTCAAATGATTTTCAACAAGGGTGCCAACAGAATTCAATAGGGAAAGAACAGTCTTTTCAACAAATGGTGCTGAGACAACTGGATATCCATAGGCAAAAGAACCAAGCTAGACTCCTGTCTCAAACCACATACAAAAATGAACTCAAAATGGATCAAAGACCTAAATTTATGAGCTAAAAGTATAAAACTCTTAGAAGAAACCATAGGTGAAAATTTTCATGACCTGAGATTAGACAATGATGTCAGTAATTTTGACACCACAAAAGAAAAAAATAGATATGTTGGACTTCACCAAAATTTTAAAATTTTGTACATCAAAGGACATTATCAAGAGATTACAAAGAAAACCCACAAAATGAGAGAAAACATTTGCAAATCACATATCTGGTAAAAAAGAGACCTCTTACCCATCAGCAGTCACTCCCCATTCCTTCTTCCCCTATCTCCTGGCAACTGTTAATCAACTTTTGGTCTCTATGGATTTGCCTATTCTGGACATTTCAGAATAGGCATGAAATTTTCGTATCCATTTTCTTATCAGCGCTTTCAAGGTTCATGCATGTTATAGCATATGTCACTCCTTCCTTTTTTATGGCTGAATAGTATTCCATTTTATGGATATAGCACATTTTAAGAGGTTTCTTTTTGGGGAGATGAAAATGTTCTGGAAGTAGACAGTGGTGATGATTCAACAACTCTGAGTATACTAAAAACTACTGAATCTTACATTTTAAAAGGGTGAGTTGTATGTTATGTGAATTGTATCTTTAAAACAACCAACCATTCCATCCTGGTCTTGACAAATATTAATAAAGCTCCATTGTGCCTGCAATGGCCCCCACTATCCTTCAAGACCTGGCCTTCAAGACCTCGTCTTATTTCCTCCTCTGCTCCCTTCAAGGAAAGCCCCTACTCTTCCACCTCGTCTTTGTTCCCACTGCTCCCTGCTTCCCTTGCATCCCTGTATACCCTGATACTCCGCCCAAAGGCTGCAGATCAGTGGTCTGAATTGAATGGAGTCTGCAGATGGGTTCGCGGTGGTTTTTTCTTGTTGTTTTAACTGAGTTAGTTACCAACAGGACATCTCACATAAACATCTATATCCCAGCTGGGCGCGGTGGCTCACACCTCTAATCCCAGCACTTTAGGAGGCTGAAGTGGGTGGATCACCTGAGGCCAGGAGTTCGAGACCAGACTGGCCAACATGGTGAAACCCTGTCTCTACTAAAAATACAAAAATTAGCCGGGTGTGGTAGCGGTGCCTGTAGTCCCAGCTACTTAGGAGGCTGAGGCAGGAGAATGGCGTGAACCCGGGAGGTGGAGCTTGCAGTGGGCCGAGATTGTGCCACTGCACTCCAGCCTGGGCGACAGAGCAAGACTCCATCTCAAAAAAAAAAAAAAAAAAAAAAGACTGGAAGAGTAAATCTCATGCATTCAACCCTAAAGGGATAGGATTCATGAGGCTGGAAATTCTTCAGACATAGCCGTGATGTTCAAAGGGCACTGGACAGACAAACAACATGGCAAGTGACCTCTAAAGCCCGTGACCCCAGTTCTAATGAAACAAAATGGAAAAACTGTTCTGATAAAAAGAGGGGAAAGTATGAGAAGCAGTGACCTCGTATGTCCCATCCTTTCCTTTGCTGCCTTGAACACTCTTGTCTCCTGAGAACACAGTGGTGGTGGCAGCTACGGCAGCCATTCTGCAACCCGGAGAGGAAGTAGTGAGAAGACACATGCAGAATCCAGAGCCCTGAGACTGCGCATCTACTGAACGTGTCACAGAATCACCTGCCTCTGAATTCCTTGTCATGTGAGCTAACAAACTGCTCTTGGTATTTGTTATCAATAGTCAAAATACGACCTAACTAAAATGTGGCTTCTCTTGAAAATGAAGAGGTTTGGGAATACCAGACCTGCGTTTACCTGCACCAAACCTGATGTGGACAGCCCCTTTACATCAGGCAGGAGCTCTCAGACTTTGCTCACTCAGTCCCCGTAGGCAACTGAGTTTGCAGTCTCTGCTTTCTGGTACAGATGGCTCAACTGTCTCATCTTCTACAAAGCACTTCCTGGTTCCTGCCTCCCCACATCCCAAACCTACCTGACTACAAGTAATTCCTCTTCCCGTTGCCTCCTTTCTGTCTCTGATGGTCGCTGCTCATTTAATCCCCTCCCACCTATTAGCCTCCTGAGAACAGGACTTTATTAATCCCTGATCCTCTCTTTGCCATCTAGCGAAGTGCTTGAGGAAGGAGGTGCTCAATGTGTCTTTGCTGAATAAATGAATGCTCACTGCAATGAGGCATGGCAATGTGCCAGAGTATCCCTTCTCTGAGTGCACTGAGCTCTCTGCACAGCTGACATGTACACGTGTTGCTTCTCAATCCAGGAATACAATTCTCCGTTACCGCCCCACCCCCCACACACACACTAGAGTGCCCTGGGACACTCGGGCCCTCAGCCCCAGTCACTAGAGCACACCCGTAATAGTCAATGCTCTTAAGTCCTGGTCCCCTCAACTCTTTCCTTACTCAGCAGGTTGGGATAAAGGCAAGTGCGTAAGAATCTCCCTAGGATAGTCTGGGAAGAACTGCTGGTCACCACAAACTCCAGGAAAGGATGGAAGTTTACACACAAACAAATCTCCTGTTTACATATGAGAAGCGGCTTGAACACACACACACAAACACACACGTGCGCGCGCACACACAAATCATAGATACGGGTGAAGGGAGGCAGCCCCAGTCTATCCTGAGCTCTGTGCCCCAGAGGCCTGCTGTCCTCTCAGACACTCAGAGCCCTAGGCTATTAGTGAAACCCTGAGGAAATGACTTCCTTCTGCATCAATCCTGGATCTAATTTAACCTTAGAAATGCTTCCTGAAATGGCAGTTGATCTTTAGTCCTGACTCCTGGCAGATTCTCTCTGGGCACCTGGCCCTTTTGCTCTTGACCTAGCTTTTTTTTAAGTTGTGGTAAAATACACATAACATAAAATTTACCATCTTAACCATTTCTAAGTGCACAGTTCAGTGGTAGTAAGTACATTCACGCTGTAGTACAATCACCACTACCATCCATCTCCGAACTCTTTTTTCTTGCAAAACTGAAACTCTGTACTCATTAAACAGTAACTCCCCACTCTCTCCTTCCCCTAGCCCCCGGTAACCACCATTCCACTTTCTGTCTCTATGAATTTGACTACCCTGGGTACCTCATATACATGGAATATGAATTTGACTACCCTGGGTAACTCATATACGTGTTTGTTCTTTTGTATGTTATTTCACTCAGCGTAATGTTTTCAATGTTCATCCATCTTGTAGCATGTGTCAGAATTTCCTTCCTCTTTTTTTAAAATAATACATCATGGACATTCAAAGAATTTCCTTCCTTTTTTAAGGCCAAGTAATATTCCACTGTATGTATGTACCACATTTGGTTTATCCATTCACGGGTGGACACTTGGGTTGCTTCCACCTCTTAGCTATTGTGAACAATGCTGCTAAGAACCTGGGTACGCAACTATCTGCTCAAGTCCCTGCATTCAGTTCTCTAATGGACCGGGCCTCTCACTTTCCCCATACCAGTTGAGATCCCGACCCCAGGCATGGAATTCTGTAGGCCAGTCCCTGGTCCCCTGGGCAGGGAAACACAATCCCAGGCTGGGCTCTCAGGTAGTGGCCACAGGAGATGCTCTGGAGTTAGAAGAGCCAGAGCTAAGCTGACAGGGGACTCAAGAGCTTGTTTCTGATCCTTCCTAATGGGGAGCGCATCAGAGACAACGTGGCAAGAAGCAAAGGAGAGTGGGGCATCCCCTCTGCCTCAGCGGAGGAGACACATACCACTGCAGGGAGCAGGACAAGGGAAGCCTCTGTTCCCCTAAAGGGCAGGCATGCCGCAGAGGCGGCCCCTGGGGCTCCAAAGTGCATCGGGGGCTACAGGGGCAGAGGTTACGAAAAGGGAGAGGGCACTGAGACTGGTGCTACTCAGAAGACCTCGCTTAGAGGGCTCCATGGAGGGCAGGGGCGGAGGAGTCTGGAATGCTCTAATTTGACAGATGGCTCCAGCTCAGCCAACTCCTGAAGCAGAAGAGGCACAAAAGCAGAAACTTAAAGGGCTGGGGGCTCATGGTACATCCTTGGCCTTGGCCTTCAGGGCCATGTGCTTTCTTGCTCTGGGGTGAGCAGCCTACAGCTGGGGCAGAGGCGGGGTCTGACCACCTGGGAGTCCCTCTTACTGTCTGCTTAAGCAACTTTCAACTGGTTACATGATATTTTTTGGTGCCAAAGTGTCTAGGTTCAGGTACCAAATGATGACAGTCTAGGGAGGGTGCAGCCACTAGGGGGGGAAATTAATTCCTTCTGTGGAACTCTGAACATCCAAAAGCATTATAAAGAGGAATTAAATATACCTCCTAAATGCCACAACCAAGGCACCAGCTTGAGGCTCTCATTCCCACCCAGACCAAACTCAGGGGCACTGTGGATGTCCTATCAGCCAAAGAAGGCTGTCAGTGAGGGAGACAGCTTCAGACTCTTCCCTTTGGTGACTCCAACCCAAGGAGCACCCTGATTTGATGCGGATATTCCTGGAACCCTCTCAAGCTAACCGGCGCTTTCAGGAAGGACTTGGGGGTGAGCTGTCCCCTCAGACCTAGAGACTGTCTCAGTCTGAACCCACTGTCCTGGACTGCTCTGGGATCCCAAGAGCCTGTGAGGTCAGCCTGGCCGTGGCCACAGGGGCTGAGATCTGAGGCCAGTTCAAGGTGCCGAGGAGCCTGT
The DNA here is from genome assembly GCF_000001405.40 of Homo sapiens. NCBI lineage: Eukaryota > Metazoa > Chordata > Mammalia > Primates > Hominidae > Homo > Homo sapiens. The sequence continues at coordinate 96,947,641 of NC_000002.12, forward strand.
TGGTTCAGCTTTTTACTAATGCTGGAGCCTGAGCCAAAGATGGCCTGATGCCTCTACACCCTGGATGCAATGTCCCACCAGCATCTCGCCTGCAGCTGGGCTCTGGGCACTGAGAGTCACGTATCACAGGCTTGGGAGCTCAGTGCGCCAATCTCCACCCTGCATCCCAGTACTGACCAGGCTGAAGGAAGATTCCATCCACAATGAGATCCCACAGAAGACCAAAGGCTCCCAAAGATGTTTCTGGAGGCCATGTCAGCAGCTAGGTGGAAAAAAAAAACAAAAACAAAAACCTGGTGAGCTGGGTCATTCCTAAGAAGCAATAGTAGCAAACTTCTATTACTCCACGTTAAATAAATCCCATTTAATTCTCATAAGTCTGTGTGGTAGAAGGACATTGTCATTGTTGCCAATTAGAGGATGGAAAACCAAGCTCAGAGAAGTCAAACAACTTTGCCAGAGTCACACAGCCTTGAGCGGCAAAGCCAGCACTCAGGCCCAGACACCCAGGTCTGTGCCACTTGAAACCTCCTACTCCGTCCACCTCCTGGCATGGGGGTCTTGGTCCCTCTGCCCCTCGCTCCCTGTGGTCATAGCCATGCCCCTCCAGGGCAGGGCCCAGCGTAAGGGGAGAGAAAGCATGCCTGCACTCATCACAGGCAGCAGGACAATCACAGGGTGGGCCCTCTCTGTGATCCTCAAATCATTTCCAGGTCAGCGCCTTAACACACTGTCATCTGAGACCACCAGCTTAGACGGTCCTTGGTACTGAACACAGGTCCTCAAACAAGGGCAGGGTGGTCATTTCTGGGATCCTTATCTGAATGCTCCTGGAGCCTGACAGTCAGAAGCTGGGGTTTGGAAACATGCAGAGAGGCTGACAAGGGAATAAGCAATGGGACAGCAGCAGCCCACAGGTGCCATCTGGTCTAGGGGCACTCACCAAGTTCACGACAGTGGCAGCCATGCTGTGCATGACATCGTTCCTCCCCAGTACCCAGAAAAGTTTGCCTTGTGGGCACTGTGGGCACATCTCCTTTCAGGACTGAGGCTCTTGTTCCTCCAGGGGCTGGGCAGTGTCGCTGCCAGGGCCCTGAGCCCAGGACCCTCTCTGAGCCTTGACCTTGGAGGGAGCACCTAGTGCAAGGTCACAGCCCTCACCAAGTGTCTGCGTCTGATAATTGGCCGAGGCTGGAGACCTCGCCTCAACTGGGTCAACTCTAAAGGGGTCACCGGGCTCCAGAGCCCAGTGGGACTCCTGGGGGCAAATACTCTCCCTCCCTCACAGGTGTGGTTCCCAAGCACGCCCCCCCCAGTAAGCCTGCGTGGATGCCCTCCGGTCGGCATCTAGAACTCTGCCTTTCTCCTCCTGTTGTAACTTCCTACAACATTTTCATGGCTGAACACTTGAGTCTCTCCCAACAAGAACATACATTCATTGAGGGTGTACACCTCCTGCTGATGTCCACTCTCCCGGCAAGGCTGGCCCACACGAGGGCACAGCTCAGCCAGTGCCCATGCACACCCTATTAAAGCCCCAGGGAGGAGTACACGGGATCGAGTCCCTGAGAGAGAACTCAGGCTGTCCTTTCCAAGAACATCGAAGGAGCAGGGTTGGAGCAGTCTGCCCCCCTCACCCACGCCCTGGCTCAGTAGGGACCCCAGGTACAGGCATGGCCCCAGCAGCCCTGGGACCCCACTTCCCGAGTTGCCTTTGACTGGACAAGGGGACCACTTAACCCCTCTTAGCCTAACCAGATTCTCCTTCCTGAGGAACCAGATTTGGGAAAAGGGTCTGGCCTTACTTGGCCATGGAACCTGCAGGGAGACAGCAGCAGAGGCCAGTCCTAGGATCCCAACCCTTCCCCATCCCTGGGTCCAGCTCCTCCTGGGGCCCAGCATGCCCCTACCCTGGGACCTCAGGAACCACCCTCGCACCTGCAGAAGGGAGCCCCCATGGGTTTCTGCCTCCCACAACCACAGTCCCCAGTAACTGCTCGAGGTTCTAAGTCCCCTGAGGACACTGCCCAGAAGGCCCCCCAAAGCCAGTGCACCCCTTTCATGGATCTGGATTCAGCCATGGGGGATGGGAGCTTTTGTCTCTCCTTCCTGCAGAATGTGAACTGGAACTCTGCACTAACAGCGTGCCTCACAGAGGACACCCAGGCCCAGAGCAGAGCTCTGTGGGGGCACAAGGACAAGGCAGCTCACGGATGTCCCACTTAACTCCACATGGGCCCATCAGGCCTGGCTCCGAGGCACAGAGCTGATGCTAAGAAACCTGTCTGTAGCGACACAGGAGTAGGTGGCAGGGCCAGAACTCACACCAAGTCTGTCTGTCTGACCTCAGGGCTGGGTCCTGCACTCCTCTCCCCTCCAGCCCCCTCGCAGCATGATGGAGACGGGGAAAGAGGCAGGGGAAGGCTCGTCTGTGCCTCCCAGGATGGGGGTCTCTGAACCTGGAAGAAACCGACACGCCCCCGGGAAGGCACTCCACGCCAGTGTCAGGGTGACGCAGGGCCCCTCTGTGGGTGCCGTCTCAGATGGGTCCTTTGTGCCTCCCAATGCTCGATTGTGTGTTCCGTCACACACTGTGCAAGGAGCAGGGGCTGCACCGCCAGCGTGGGGAATAATGGCCCCACTGTTCCCCATTACTCACCCACTGCTCCTTCTGGGCCTTGGGTGGGGGATTGGGGGCTGACAAGGTTAGCAGCTACATACCAGGGCCCCAGAAGCTGCATGTCTTCCTCCTCCGGGGTAAGGAGGAGCAAGGTGAAGGACCCAGAGCACGAAGGGAGAGCTGGAGGGCTCTCTCTGGACTGCAGCCAGCCTGCCGAGGCCAAGCAGTTCCTGGAATAATCCGCCCCACATGATGGCTCTGATTTACAGCTGGGGTCCAGGCTCCAACTGGCAGGAATGGGACCAGCTGGAACTTGTGACCCACCTGTCCCCAGACAGGGACGATTCTGGGTGGGGACCAAGGCCAGGACGGCATCCTTATGCCTGGCATTCAGATCACAGCGGTTGGCTCCTGTCCCTGCTGGCTTCTCACTGCCTCTCTCTGTGCAAAGGTGTCAAGCCCTGGGCAAAATGTATGTTCCCCTATGGCAAAACGCTCTAGCAGCAACCAGGAGGGAAAAAACAGCACAGCCAGAGCAGCCGTTCCAGGTTTTCCCAGCCAAGCTACAACTGCACACAGGAAGCACACGCTCAAACGCCCAAGCACCCTCGGCTCCAAATTCACGAGGGATCCAAACCAGGCACTGCAGGATTGCCGTGGGCCCTGAACGGCCCTCCCGCTGCGTATGGGATGAGGGACCTGTGATCGCTGGTGAAGAAATTAGCTTTGTTGCATAGGAAGCACTTGTTGAGGGGCTTGGACCGATTCACTGAGAGGTTAGACCGTAAGTCCACTGGGTACACCAGGTCCCTCAGGAAAGCCACGTGAGGGCACAGGCAGCACCCAGAGACACACACCTTCGGGGGAAGCAGAGGCTCCCAGCGCTCGCCGCTCTGGGAGACCACAGGCGAACCCCCTGCACCTCCCTGGCCTTGGCATTCTTAGCACCATTGTGGGGATCGATGCCCAATCAGCTCTCCTCCCTCCTCCCAGCCTGAGCCCAGCCAAGCAGCACCTAAGGCAAGAAGAGGTGAAGTGCCCACCCCTCAGCCTGTGGGCCTGCCGGGCCACCAGACTGCAGCGCTCCCGCCACCTAGTGGCAGGCCTGCGGTCCTCACCTGGAACAGCCACTGGAGCAGGGATACCGGGCAGTCAGGCATGTGCAGGTAGAGGATGTTCAGGAGGCCACTGCGCAGGAAGGAGAGCTGTTGGGCTGGCGGGGAGCTGGGAGGCAGAGGGCTGAGGTTAGGGGAGGCCTCTGTGCCAGCACACTTGTCTCGGTGACACCGCGGGAGGCTGTCACTACCCAGCTTCACTGGCTGTTGGGAAGCATATCTGTAACGCTAGAGACAAATGTGCTTTTCAAGCCCTCAGTGCATGATCTGTCAGAAGGAAAAGAACCCAGGCTAGCATCAGAATCACCTGCTCTTCTTGAATGTTGCGTGAACACACCTCATGGTGTTTAAAACACATGGCGGGTGGCTGGAGGCAGTGGCTCACGCCTGTAATCCCAGCACTTTGGGAGGCAAAGGCGGGTAGATCACGAGGTCAGGAGTTCAAGACCAGCCTGGCCAACATGGTGAAACGCTGTCTCTACTAAAAATACAAAAATTAGCCAGGCATGGTGGCATGTACCTGTAATCCCAGCTACTCGGGAAGCTGAGGCAGGAGAATTGCTTGAACCCGGGAGGTGGAAGTTGCAGTGAGCCAAGATCATGCCACTGCACTCCAGCCTGGGCAACAGGGCAACACTCCGTCTCAAACAAACAAAAAAACATGGTGGGGCAGTGCAGTCTGCCCTTTCCATTTGACCACAGGGGAAAGTGGAATATTTGCCAAGGGTGTGGAAAGGTGAGGAGTGAGGCCAGGAGTGGGTGTCTTAGCCTCGGGTTCCTCCAGCTGCAAGGGGCGGGCACGATTACCCCCACGAGGCCAGCGTCTCGCGATCTGGTTACACAGGGCGTTTCTGCTCTGCCTTATGTTTTTCAGATACAAAGGGGACACCTGAGAAGACCGGAAAATAACAGAAAGGGGCCCGGGATGAAGACATTCTGGGAAGGAAATACCAAACAAGAGTTCCATAGAGGATTCTTCAGAAACCATGTGAGCTGCAAGTGTCCCAGATTCCAGGGATGGGGGCGTGCTCAGACCAGCCACGCGGCTGTGGCTGTGACCGTGTGCCCATTCACACCACCCCCTCGGGCCTCTTCCTCCTAACAGGAGCTCTCAAAATCGGCGCTGGTGTGGAGATGAGCCCTGCCTTGGGGACCACTGACCCGGTAGATCACCTTGACCTACAAGATTCCAGATCTTTGCAAAATGAGTTGTTGAAATGTTTCATATGGTTGTAGGGCCTCTGGTAGAAGGTGCTTCAGAAGTCATTTTATAGGGGGTTGGCTGGACTTTGTCACCGTTCCTGAGCTCCTGGTCATCCCCAGAGAGCCTGGGTTTGGGGTAGGATTCTCCTACGTCCTGCGCATTTTGTGACCACCATCTTTGCTTGCTCTCTCTAGACCACGTCCCAAAGATCATTAACATGGATTCCAGGAAATGAAAACGTAAGTCACATTTGTTCTTCTTTTTAATGGCCCAAATGCATGCAAAGAACATTTCAGAAAGTACTTAACGTTGCCACCCTAGATAAAAAGTTTTTCAGTCAGCCCAACCTCCTCCTTCTGCTTCTCCTCCTTCTCCTTTAAAAAGGACATCATTTTTTAATCTGCCAGGAACAGAATGCTACAAAACAAAGATTATCCTCTGAGCCAAGCTGCTGTCTCTCTGAGAATGTCCAGGCAGTTTACAAATTGCATGTTTTTTCTCTAAGTCATTTAAGTTCAGAGGAGAAAGCAGCTTTGTTCCTGTGGTTGTGAAGTTTACCACCCTGAAATAGACCTTCGTTTGTACATACAAATACACGTGCACCCCAGGACTGCTGGCATGCTCCATTCTATCCACGTGCCCGGTCACATGGAGACTTTCAGGGACTGACCCCAGCAAGACGCATGGTTCAAGAACATGCACAGCAGCCCGAACGCAGACAATACCCATGTAAACAATGTCTGGAGGACCTTGCAAGTTGGCAGAACCCCGACAAGGGCCATGTGGTGAGGAGGCTGGCGCTTCAGGGACTCTGAGGAGACGCTGGCTCTGGCATTCTGCTGGAGGGGGCACCCCGCCAGTTTCTTAGTGGGAGAATTGATTGTACAAGGCCCTGTTGGCTCAGATCAACACATTTCTAACTGCTGCTCCAAGGGAGAGACCCCACAGTTGCAACATCTCCCTTCTGCTATGTGGGCTTTGCAGTTTCTGCCAGAGAAATGATTGATTGGCCTCTGAGTTCATTGCTGCTGAGAAAATTTTGTCTATGGGACCAGGAGCAACAGAAAGCCAGAAAGGACATAGTCCTGCTCTGCCCTGAGGTGACTGGCTTTCAAGGAATTCTGTGTTTAGGGTTAGAGGCAAGGACTCCCCTCTGCAGGCCGAGTGCATGCTCGGTGGGACGGGAGTGCTGCTTCTCCTTGGCTCAGCCACAAGCCCTTCCACGCCCTTCAGGTTATCACAGGGTGACCTCAAGCTTGGCTGCTGGGCAGGGAATGGGCCTTGTGCACAGACAATGCCTTAACTCTGGGGAAAGGAGGAGGATCCCAACAGCAGCACCTGGGCTGGGAAGCCTGGAGGAAAAGGGAAAAAGGAAAGGGGGTGGGAGGTGTGTGCAGTGAAAGCTCAAACGCCTTGGGTGACAGAATTGGCTGTTGTCAGAGTCACGTCCCCACATCAAGAACACGGATGCTGGGTCCAAGGGGGTGCCTCTGTCCACGGCCAAGCCAATGCTGAGGTCCGAAGTTATCCTGAGAATGTTGGAGGGCCCTGGAGGGAGAGACAGAGGGACAGAGCCTCCATCGGCAGCAGATACCATGCAGGCCTGGCTGAGTGGGAAGCCCCCAGCTGTCAGACCTGAGGATCCCATGAAGGGAGGTTCCCATCGGAGTCCTCAGCTGTGACTAGAGATGAGGAGGGAGCTGCTAATCCCCAGCCATGACAGCAATGACAGTGGGCAGGTGTCTGCCTCCACCCTCGCCGCCCACTGGAGCAGAAGGAAGCGAGGGAAGGACATCAGCTACAACGGGGAAACCCGCAAAACCAGTGACAGGAAATGGGGGCAGCTGGGCTCAGCACACGGGCCTTCCTAAGCAGAGCTCTGACCAGCTTCATCTTGGAATTTCTGTTCCTTATCACACCCAAGGGAAGATTCTTCCCGCCTCAACCTCCTCATTTATTTTATGGGCAGCAGTCCCAGAGGGCAAGGTCTCTAAATGCCTTTAGAATCCCAAGTGATGGCCGAAGGATAAACACCAAGTGTAGTTATTTATACGTATCAGCTCCTGGGCCTTTGCCAAGTTACTCAAATCAGTCTGAATAAAATGCCTAAATACAATAGAAACCAATAGCAACCAAAGCGTTCACCTATGGCCTTTTGCTTTCTCTTTCTTTGTTTAAACATAAGAGAGGCCAGATGCAGTGGCTCATGTCTATAATCTCAGAACTTTGGAAGGCCCAGGCAGGAGGATAGCTTGAGGCCAGGAATTTGAGACCAGCCTAGGCAACACAGTGAGACCCTGTCTCTAAAAAAAAATACAAAACTTAGCTAAGCATGGTAGTGCACACCTGTGGTCCCAACTACTTGGGAGGCCGAGGCAAGAGGACCTCTTGAGCCGGGAGTTGGAGGCTGCAGTGAGCTGTGATCGTACTACTGCACTCCAGCATGGGCAGCAGAGCATGGGCCTGACTAAAAACAAGAAAAAAATGAAATAAAAATGAGTGTTGGCCGGGCATCGTGGCTCATGCCTGTAATCCCAGCACTTTGGGAGGCCAAGGCAGGTGGATCACCTGAGGTTAGAAGTTCAAGACCAGCCTGGTCAACATGGTGAAACCCCGTCTCTACTAAATATACAAAAATTAGCCATGCGAGACCGGGTGCGGTGGCTCACGCCTGTAATCCCAGCACTTTGGGAGGCCAAGGTGGGAAGATCATGAGGTCAGGAGATCGAGACCATCCTGGCTAACACAGTGAAACCCCGTCTCTACTAAAAAATACAAAAAATTAGCCAAGTGTGGTGGTGGGCGCCTGTAGGCCCAGCTACTCGGGAGGCTAAGGCAGGAGAATGGCGTGAACCCAGGAGGCGGAGCTTGCAGTGAGCCAAGATTGCGCCACTGCACTCCAGCCTGGGAGACAGAGCAAGACTCCATCTCAAAAAAAAAGAAAAAAAAAATTAGCCGTGCGTGGTGGTGGGCGCCTGTAATCCCAGCTACTCAGGAGGCTGAGGCAGGAGAATCGCTTGAACCTGGGAGGCAGAGGTTGCAGTGAGCTGAGATTGCCCCATTGCACTGCAGCCTGGGCAACAAGAGCGAAACTTCGTTCCAAAAATAAATAAATAAATAAGCGAGTGTTACCACAGGCAGAAACTCAGGGATCCCATAATGGCCCTGCTTGCTACCTCCGCTTGCTCTTTATTTTGGGGGGCAGATGCAGCCAGCTGGAAGGCTCAGCCCTCTCCATACTTCAGAACTGCTGGGTTTATTGCACCTGGGCTTCAACCCTGGCCTGTTCCTCCAGGAAGAGAAGCTAGTGGCAAAACAAGAGGCGGGGCTGCCGGGCCTCCGGGAGAAGCTGAGCCTCATCCACCTCCTTCTTCCCCTGCCTGCTGGATATTCATGGAGGAACGGCCTGGCCCATGCATCGGGCTTGTGGAAAGCACGCTGGTCCTCGCACCAACAGTGGCAGATGCACCCAGAGGACAAACGCACACCCCAATGTCCTTGCAAATACTGTGAGGGGCCTATGACTAACTGAGCAGGGCAGACAAACTCCACCCTTCCAACTTCCGCCCCCGAGTGGGATGTGGGCTTTGGTCCTGACACTTTTCCATGCAGGAGCATTGGATTTCCTTTTGAATTACTGTCAAGGGTGGAGGAAAAAAGTTCAGCTCCTGCAATCAGCTGTTATCAGCTTCCGTCATAATGACATGTGACTGTGGTGGCAGGGGACTGACCCTGGGATGCACAGCTAGCTTGGTGATGGATGAGCAGGTCATCTGGACCACATGCACTCCCAAGGCAGGCTCCCCGGGAAGAGGGTTCTTGCACATAAACCTGGATAGGTCCAACAGGACAGCTGCTGGGACGCAGACGCCAAGCCCACCCAAGCTCGCTCTGCAGTCTGAAACAAACTGCTTAATTTGTGCTATTGCCTACTTTGTTCAGAGGGAAGAAAGATATTTTCCCCCTTTCACAGAAAGGTAAGGAGAAGTGAATCTATTTCAAGAGTTGATTTTTTAAAAAATGGCATTTACTTTCCTCTCTTCTAATGATAAAAATGATATACGTTCACTGTAGAAAGTTAGGAATATAAAGGTGGTATAACGAGGAAAATGAAAACCTAGCTGTCAGCTCCCACAGCATGAACTTTCTCCCACCCAAGTACTAACCAGGCCGGGCCCTGCTCAGCCTCTGAGATGAGAGAACATCCAGCATGTTCAGGGTGGCATGGCCACAGACCACAGCAGCAACTTTGTGTATGGAATTGGACTGACAGCTTTTTATTTATTATTATTTTTTGAGACAGGGTCTCACTCTGTTGCCCAGGCTGGAGTGCACTGGCATGATCACGGCTCACTGCAGCCTCAACCTCCCTAGGCTCAAGCAATTGTCCCTTCTCAGCCTGCTGAGTAGCTGGGACCACAGGTGTGCTATCACCCATGGCTCATTTTTTTTTTGCATTTTTTTGGGTTGAGACGGGGTTTCTCCATGTTGGCCAGGCTGCTCTAGAACTCCTGAGCTCAAGCGATCCTCCCAAAGTGCTGGGATTATAGGCATGAGCCACCATGCCCCGGCTGACTGCTTCTTAAGAGATCCCCTTGTCACCCGCCTCCATGGCCATGTTTCTGGCTGAATATGGTAAGGTTATTATTGAATGACTGACTAGTGTTTTCCCACTCTTATGTCTGGCCTTGAAGTCCTTGGCACAAGGAGGAAATGAAAGATGACCCAGGGCTAAATGGTGACCTCCAGGAAGTGGGCCTCGCCACTGCCCGGCAGAGGTCCCAGGACTGAGACCGAGTCACACAGCGGGCATTCCCTCCAGAAAGCCCAAAGCCGATTCCCAAGACTGCAGATCTGAGGCACTGGCAACACCCTCTCTACTGAGCCTCATTAGCATATCTGAGGGAGGAGGGTCTGAAACCCTCACTCCAGGGAAGCTGGGCAGCCACCTGGCCCCATTTGGCAGGCCTGCTCTGATCCCAGGTCACCGCTCCATGGGCCATCTCATCTGTCAAACACTTCCTGCACGCCATCCACTCTAGGACAGAAAACCTGCTGTCGGCACAAACTCCAAGGCTGAAGCAGCCCAGGAAGACGCCTTCCTTTCTCCGCTGTTCACCTCAGTTCCTGCCCAGACATTCTTTGGCTCTCTCCTTTCTCCAGCTCTTTCTTCTTTTCACCATCTATCTATTTATTAAATACCTTTCCAACATGGTGATGTGAACCCTTACTAATGTTCTTACACTCAGACCCAATAACCTCACACTGCAGCTATGAACACATTTTAGACCTCCAGACAAATACTCCCCAATATTCCCCGCCGTATTATTTATAATAAAGGAAGGTTGGAAAAAACTTTTATGTTCAAAAAATGAGAAAATGGTTAAATATGTTAGGGCATCAATGTAATAAAGTATTAGTTCATTATTAACATTTTATCATCTAATTGGAATGTTTGGACATTGTTCAGATTCTGATTTGAAGAATCTTTTTTTTTTTTTTTTTTTGAGATGGAGTCTCGCTCTGTCCCCTAGGCTGGAGTGCAGTGGCACGATCTCAGCTCACTGCAAGCTCCGCCTCCCGGATTCATGCCTATTCTCCTGCCACAGCCTCCTGAGTAGCTGGGACTACAGGCGCCCGCTACCACGCCCAGCTAATTTTTTTGTATTTTTAGTAGAGACGTGGTTTCACCGTGTTAGCCAGGATGGTCTCGATCTCCTGACCTCATGATCCGCCCGCCTCGGCCTCCCAAAGTGTTGGGGTTACAGGCGTGAGCCACCACGTCCGGCCTGAATAATCTATTAAAGACATCTAAAGAAAATTGAAGGCCAGGCGCAGTGGCTCACATCTGTAATCCCAGCACTTTGGGAGGCTGAGGCAGGAGAATCACTTGAGCCCTGGAGTTCAAGACCAACCTGGGCAACATGGCGAGACCCCCATCTCTACAAAAAAATACAAAAATTAACCTAGAGCGGTGGCACACACCTGTAAACCCAGCCACTCAGCAGGCTGAGGTGGGAGAATTGCTTCAGTCAGAGGGGCGGAGGTTGCAGTGAGCCGAGATGGCGCCACTGCACTCCAGCCTGGGCGACAGAGTGAGACTCCATCTCAAAATACTAAAAAAAAAAAAAAAAAAAAAAAAAAAAAAAAAAAAAAAAAAATTGAAATCTGAGCATTAACTGATATTAGCACTATTAAGAAATTACTATTTCTTCAGGTATGATAGTAATATCGAAGTTATGTCTAAAAATAGAGTCTTATGTTTTAGAGACACAAACTGAAGTATTTGTAGATTAAATTTTCTGTGTCTGAGGATTTGCTTAAAAGTATTCCTGAGGTGGCTGGACACGGTGGCTCATGCCTGTAATCCCAGCACTTTGGGAGGCCGAGGTGGGCAGATCACAAGGTCAGGAATTCGAGACCAGCCTGACCAACATGGTGAAACCCCGTCTCTACTAAAAATACAAAAATTAGCCAGGCATGGTGGCAGGTGCCTGTAGTCCCAGCTACTCAGGAGGCTGAGGCATGAGAATCGCTTGAACCCAGGAGGCGGAGGTTGCAGTGAGCCGAGATCACGCCACTGCACTCCAGCCTGGGTGACAGAGCGAGACTCAGTTTTGAAAAAAAAAAAAAAAAAAAAAAAAAAAGTAATCCTGCAATAATGGTGTTGGTAGGCAGAGGTTGAGAGGAAACAAGATTGGCTTTGAGTTGATCCTTGCTGAAAGTGAGTGATGGGTGTGTGGAGGGACGTTATATGGTTCTCTATACTTTGATATGTGTTTGTTAACTTTCCACGATAAAAACTTTCAAAGGAAGCATATCAGAATGTTAACAGTAATCTTTGTATCATACAATAAGACGGACTTGGAATTCATGAAATAAACATAAGCCCTGTATAACTGGAAAAGAGAGCAAGACTCTGGCATTCAAGTCCTAAGGTGGCCGAAGAGACCACAGCAGCAGCTCCACCTCTGTGTTCCTCACCAGGTGGGCAAGGACAGCCCCTTCTCCACCGCCCTGGCCTCCAGCCCCACAGGGCACCAGCCTGTGTGAGCACCCAGCAGACGCCGCTGCACTGAACCCTGAGGACTTTCTTTCCTCTTCTTCTTGGATATATTAGCTCATAATTCCAAGTGTTGGATAAGGTTGTGGTAAATCTTTTAAAAATTCTCTCAAAAAGCAATATAGTCAATGGTTACGTGATAATGATCATGCATTTACTCCCAAAAAGAATAAGACAGCTGTTGTATTGTTAGAGCATGTGCCTGCAGCTGGGGACACGCTTTTCAGTGTCTGCATCACACACACACTGAAGTGCCTCCAACAAGTATGTGGAAGGGCCCATCACGTGCCCTCGATGGCCCAGGAAGGGGCCAGTGCTGATGGAGACACAGCCCCAAGGCACTCATGGTGAGTCTGCTGTTCTGTGACACTGGGGTGTAGGGGAGGGAAAAGCAACATGAACCTGTAAATGCACAACTGGCTATCTGCTATAATGTGGGAATTTTTTAATTATGTGCAACAAAATTAGTAAATGAAATACTGTAAGTAGACAATGTCACCTATATCTCTAAAAACTGACACATTCAAATTGGCCTGATCACCTCTTCGAACTTCCCCCTTTGGGGTGGCCCTTATCCCTGGACTCCAGGAGGGAGGGGTCCTGGACAGGCTGCGCCACCCCCTCACCCCTCCTCCCCACACTTACCTGAGGAACAGCCCTTCCAGGTGGCTGCGTGGCTTCAGGAGTGAGGAGTCCAGGATGCATGGCAGGGGGTGACACCTGGGCAGAAACACAGTCTCACCTGGATGGACCGGCGGGATGGTCTGCAGGGACACTGAGTACTTTTCCACCAGCATCCTGGCAAGGCAAGGGGCAGGAGGGCCGGGCATCAGCAGATGCACCTCGGCCTGAGGCATGGCCATTAGCCCAGGGAAGGATAGAGGGGGGCCACGGGCTCCCTGCCTTGCAGTCCTTGCGGCAAACCAAGGGGACAGCGCCACCTGCTGATGGAGGAAGAGCCCACCTAGGCACGCAGGAGCCCTTCAGTCTCCCATCAATAAGGCCTATCCCTTGCTCAGGGCACCAGTCCAGCAGCCAGAAGACCCAACCCCACCCACTGGATCTGTCAGGTCAGACTTCCACTGCACACCTACAATGCCAGGTACGGAGGGTGAGTCAGGAATGGACCACCCAGGAAGGGCATAAACAAATCACGGCAATCCCCTCTGGCGAGTGGACAGAGAGGCCTACAGGGCGGCTCCATAAGGGCCCAGGAGAGGAGCGCTGGGTGCGGCCAGTGTCGGGGACGGCATCCTGGGAGGGGCAGGAAGGCTGGCAAGCAGGTGGCATGGGCGTGGGCGGAAGCAGGAGGGTCTTGAGCCCATATGAAGGAGCCTGATTCTCTCTCAGGGCCAGCAGTCCTCAAGCTCCAGGGCTCTGAGGACCACCCAGACAGCTGCTGCAATGCAGATCCTGGGCCCGGTCCGGCCCAGAGAGTCTGATTTAGTGGATGGGAGCTGGCCCCATGGACAAAGAAGGGACGAGGAGAAGGGATACATTTCAACAGTATCGGAGAGAGGTGAAAACTGTCAGGACTTAATGACCCATTGAAATGAGGATGGGGAAAAGGGAGGCAGCGAAGATGTTTCCCAAGAATGAGCTAAATCTACATAAAGAAGGACTGGCAACGTGGCTGAGCCCAAGTTCTTGGGTGAAAACAGCAGCAGAGGGTGTGTGTGTGTGTGTGTGTGTGTGTGTACACACACACAAGCCTACACACATATGCACGGACACAGACATGCTCAGACACGTGCAACGCCCACCCCCAGCATATGACATATCCCACTACAACTGAGGGTCATCCCAGGGAGCAGAATCAGAGGGAGGGGAGAGGAAAAGAGGGCAACTTCCTCTTTACTTCATATAACTATGTTCTGCTTCATTTTATAGCAATATAACACAAATTTAACAACAGGAACAATAAAATAAAACAAGCTCTGGACACTGCCTCTCTTCCTCTAATCAGGAGACGGCCCATTCCCTGGTTTCCGGCTAGGCCCACTGTTTGGGACAGCAAACCCAGGGGCAGAACAGCCCAGGGGCCCCCTTAGGATCTGGACATGAGCAACTGGCACTGGGTGTGGTGTGGCGTCGCCTGCAGCCCACCAACCTAGCACATGGAACCTGTCTCACTTTCTGGCCAAGTGACCCAAGGTACGGCCCTGACCCACATCACAGGGTGGTCCTGAGAATGAAATGGCACAACAAATGGGAACGATGCTGCAGACCCGGGAGGACTCTGACCCTGCGGGCTTCAGGAAGCATCTCACCAAACCACCACACAAACGGTAAAACAATTTCCTGTTTGGTTCATGTCTTTGCCATTAGTTTTGTATCTATTGCTTAAATTGTTTTTTAGTTTGAAAAAATGAACAAATTATTAAAAGCCTAGGCCAGGTGCGGTGGCTCAGCACTATGGGAGGCTGAGGTGGGCGGATCACCTGAGGTCGGGAGTTCAAGACCAGCCTGGCCAACATGGTGAAACCCCGTCTCTACTAAAAATACAAAAATTAGCTGGGCGTGGTAGCCGGCACCTGTAATCCCAGCTACTTGGGAGGCTGAGGCAGGTGAATTGCTTGAATCTGGGAGGTGGATGTTGCGGTAAGCCGAGATTGCACCGCTGCACTCCTGCCTGGGTGACAGAGCAAGACTCCATCTCAAAGGGAAGAAAATACAAAAGGGAGGCTGAGGCAGGAGAATTGCTTGAACCTGGGAGGTAGAGGTTGCAGTGAACCAAGACTGTGCCATTGCACTCCAGCCCTGGCAACAGTGCAAGACTTCGTCTCAAGAAAAAAAAAAAAAGAAAGAAAGAAAGAAAGAAAAAAAAGCCTATAAGAACTAGGCTAATCTACAAAGGGGTCCTGTCCCTGTCCCTAAAACCATCTTTTAAAGGGACTTCTGTGATGCTGGCTGTAATGTATGTGCATTATTAAGAGTCCTGAGGCGACTCTTATACATCTAATTGGGGATTTCCTGTGCAGCCTAGAGCTGAGAATAAAGGATGATGTTGTGGTTTAAATATCTGCCTCTGCCCCAGGCTCAGCACACACGCAAGGTCTTTTAACTTTAAGAAATGGAGAATTGAGGATGTCACCCATTCAAGATGCAAGCCGATTGTTAGAGCATGCACAGATGCTTGCTCGGGACTGTCAGGGGTCCTTTCTGTGACGGGCAGTTGTGGCAATTAGATGACGCCTTGTCTGGCAGGCAGTGGTCAGCCCCCACCCTAAGCATCCCTTCCTGACCTGCACCCCCTTCCCTGGCCCTATTCAGGGATGAAGAGGCTGCTGGCTTTGTACACTGGTGAATGACTTTTGTAAAGCAGAAAGCTGAACAGTCCCATCCAGATGATCCCACATCAAAACCACCACCTCAAAGTGGCTGCTGTCAAAGAGGCTTTCTCAAAGCACCACTAGAAAACGTCATGCGCCCAGCAAATTACCAGTGTTTTCAAAGCCAGGACTACCTTCTGCGTTAAGCTGGTTGCACAGATAACTTCCTTTCTGTGAGGAGTTTCAAAACATCCAAGCCATGACTTCCGGAATGCTGGAGGTACTCAGTAGAAAGATACAGAGCTGGAAGAATTACTCTTGCTGCAGAGATTTTTAAAAAGGTTTTAAAAGGTTTGATTCCATGGCTATGTAGCTAGTGAGTGGAGAACCTGGAAACCAAATCCATGCACCTCAGCTCAGAGAGAAAGTTGCTTTCATCAAATATAATGCTGCCAAAGTGCTCTTGCCGAGGAAGGCCTTTGGCCCTAAACACGCTAATTAAATTCAGTCTACATGCCCCACCATGCCCATCCACATGCTTCCTGCAACATCAGACAGGAAGCAGCACCTGCCTCGTGGGAGTCCATGTGGGACGTCATGGCCGGCTGCCTTTCCCTGGAACTCTGGGCAGTGTGTGAGGAGCTCTCTTTGTCCACCTGGGACGGCTGCTCAAATCCCAACACATTCCTAAACTTTCACCATAAAAACTGGCACCAGTCAGGAGGCAGGGGTCCTTCTAATTTGGGCCAGGCAAAGTACAGCCTGCAGGCCGAGTCCTGTGTGGGGCCTGTTTCTGCAACAAGGGCTCACTGCAGCACAGCCATGCGCCTTCATTCACCCAGCATCTGCAGGAGCCTCCTGCTGCAGCAGCAGAGTTGACAGAGACCACCTGGTCCTCAAGGCCTAAAATATTTGCTATTTACAAACTTTTCACAAAGTTTGCTGATCCTTGATTTAGTCAAGAGATGATTATCAGGCTGGGCACGGTGGCTCACGCCTGTAATCCCAGCACTTGGGGAGGCCGAGGCAGGCAGATTGCTTGAGCCCTGGTGGCCAGGTGTTCAAGACCAGCCTGGCCAATGTGGCAAAATCTTGTCTCTACTAAAAATATAAAAATTAGCCAGGTGTGGTGGCCCACACCTGTAGTCCCAGCTTCTCGGGAGGCTGAAGCATGAGAATCGTTTGAACCTGGGAGGCGGAGGTTGCAGTGAGCCAAGATAACTCCAGCCTGGGCGACAGAGTGAGACTCCATCTTGGGGGAAAAATAAAATAAAAGAGAGAGATGATTATCAGAAAAACTTCAAAAAAAAAAAAGGTAAATGGCCAGCCCAGGTGTGACTCATAACTATCTCTGGGCACCCATGTAATGTGGGGATCCTAAAAGCAGGCCACATCCCTCCACCAGGAACTCTGTGTGTTATCACTCAACAGGCCTTTAAAGAGTGAATGCAGAATGCTAACCTAGGGCGTGCAACTGAACTTCGCCCATGTGGTGCTTAGACCAGCACTAAATAATACCTCGGCCAGGCTCACAGAAGCAGCAAGGCCCAGGTGGCAGAGGAGACGGGGTGTATTGCCTGACCCACCCTGGCCACACAGCTGGGGCCACCTCCTCCCCTGCAGCCCAATGCACATGTTCTTCAAGTTTCCCCTCCAGCCTCCCTAGCATCGATTCCCCGCTCCCTTGGTCACTACCATTGGCCTACAGACGTGCTGTTACTCTATCAAAGAAAGAGAAACAGAAAAGCCAGAAAGAAACCACCCCACTGATCTGACCCCACTTCCCTTTTCAGCTACTGCCCATTCTTCTCCTTCGTCCCTTCTTGTTCTTCCAGGAGCCCACTCCAGTCAGGTTAGCCTCCAGCAGAGCTGCTCCTGTGCAGGGCACTGTGACCTCTAAATCATACGTCAATCATTCCCACTCTGGGCCAGCAGCCTGGCACCCAGGCATCTGGCTTCCCTGCAACCTGCTCCATCTCCTTTGCCATCTCCTCCTTGTGGCTGCCAAATGCTGTGGGCTCCATACCCTTGGGCCCCTGCTGTTCTCTCTCCCCAGGTGATCATCCGGTTTGGTGGCTTTATTTATTATTTACTTTTATTTTTGAGACGGAGTCTCGCTCTGTCGCCCAGGCTGGAGTGAGGTGGTACGATCTCAGCTCACTGCAACCTCCACCTCCCGGGTTCAAGTGATTCTCCTGCTTCAGCCTCCTGAGTAGCTGGGATTACAGGTACGCGTCACCACGCCCAGCTAATTTTTGTATTTTTAGTAGAGACAGGGTTCAGGGTTTCACCATGTTGGCCAGGCTGGTCTCAAAACTCCTTGGCTCAAGTGATTCACCTGCTTCAGCCTCCCAAAGCGCTGGGATTACAAGATGAGAGCCACCATGCTCTGCCCTGGTTTTGTGGCTTTAAATGTCATACGTACACAGTGACTCCCAAGCTTGCCTCTCCAAGTAGCCTCCCTGATCTTGCCCCAGGATGCCCCAAATGAACCCTTGATTCCAAGCCCACCCTACCCGCAGCATGTAGCGCAGTCAATCAGTCTCCCCCCATTTTTTTTTTTTAAGAGATAAGGTCTTGCTGTGTCACCCAGGCTGTGGTGCAGTGGTGTGATCACAGCTCACTGCAGCCTCAACCTCCCCGGCTCAAGTGATCCTCCTATCTCAGCCTCCCAAGTAGCTGGAACTACGGGCATGTGCCAACACATCTGTGTACTTTTTAAAAATGTTTTAGGACAGACAAGCTCTCCCTGTGTTGCCGGGGCTGGTCTTAAAACTCCTGGGCCCAAGCAATCCTCCTGCCTTGGCCTCCCAAAGTGTTGCAATTACAGGCATGAGCCACCGTGCCCAGCCTCCCCCAATTTATTTAAAGATAACTCCAACCTTCCAGTTGCTCAGACCTAAGCTCCGGGGGTCCCTTTTGAGTCCTCTCTTACTCCTAGACCTTCCATCCATTTGTCAGCAAATCCTGTCACTTCTACCCTGAAAATACACCCAGAATTTGCCCACTCCTCAGTGTCCACCCCATCCTCAAGCACCGTCATTACTTTTGGATTCCTGCCAAGGCCTCCTCTGCTCCTGGTCCCCTCCCTCCTGCCCTGGCCTCCACACCTAACTGGTCTATCCTCAACACAGCGGCCAGAGGGTCCTATGCAGACATGTGTCCAATTAACTCAGAGGAAAGCCTCCAAGAGCCAGTGCCTGCCCCTGGCCTCCCTCACCTCCTATCCCCCACCAGCCCCCTCCTCCAGGCTCCCACACGCCAGGTGCACTCCCACAGCAGGGTCCCTGGAACTGGCTCTCACCTCCTCGAGGTGCTGCTTAGAAGACCTGCTCACAAGGCCTTCCCTGAGCCCTCATCACAGCCCACACCCTTCCCAGAGCCCACATCCCTTCATCATCAGAGCCCACACCCTTCATCATCAGAGCCTTCATCATCAAAGCCCACATGATTAGAGCCCACATCATCAGAGCCCACACCTTTCCCAGCACTCCTTATGCCCCCAGCGTTAGCCTTTCTCAGGAGCCCTTGCAGCACAACTTCACTGATCTTATTTACTGCTTGTCTCCGGAAGGAAAGCTGAAGCAGTGGGAAGGCAGAGATTGTCTGGTTTTGTTCCTGCCACATCCCGAAGCTACAGCAGAGCCTCGCACATAGTTGGCACTCGATAAATGTCTGCTGGGTGAGTGGATGGATGGACACATGGACAAATGGGTGAATGGATGGTGTTACAGGCTTATGTTTGTGTCCCCCCAAAATATATGTGTTGAATCCTCACCCCCAGGGTGAAGGTATTAGGAAGTGGGGCCTTTGGGAGGTGATGAGGCATGAGGGTGGAGCCTTCATGAATAGGATTGGTACCCTTATGAAAGGGCCCCAGAGAGCTCTCTTGCCTCTTTCTGTCACGTGAGGACACAGAGACTTAGGCAGTCTGCAACCTGGAAGAGCGCTCTCACCAGGACCGACCCTGCTGGCTCCCGGGTCTCAGACCTCCAGCCTCCATAACTGTGGGAAACAGACTTCAGCTGCTTAGAAGCCACCAGTCTATGGCCCTTTGTTCTAGCAGCCCCAACAGACCAAGACGGATGGAAAACAGTGTGCCCTGAAGATGGATTCGGTTGTGGCCCTGGGCATCTCTGATGCTCCGAAGTAGAGATGAAGCCAGCCCTCCCTCCAGCCAATGGCCCAATTAAATCAGGGCCCCCACTCAGAGCTACTTTCTCTTCTCCAGTTAGGGGAAGATGAAAAATCTCACATGGTCGTAACCTCCCCTTGAAAGCAGATTTCATTTAGATTGTGGTTTTGTGTAGTTATTTTCCCGAGATCTGTTTCTAAGAATTTGGGCAGATAATTGGGGCAGAACAAGCTGTGTTTTATGATCCCTGTGTGGCAAAGGCTCAAATGAGACCCTGATGCACAGTAGGTGATCAGATCTTTCTTGAATCAATGAGTGAATGTGGCTTTAAGAGAAAGAGGTAGCTTTAGAATTCACAAATAGTACACAAATCACTGTACCATGTTGGTCAAAACTCTGTCCAAAACCAGAGGGGGTTGGCACCTCAGTCTTTCCCCTTCGGAGGCTGGTGCCAGGCCCCTGCCCCTCACCTGTGCTCGGGTGTGAGTGGCACTTCCTCTTCATCAAGATCCAAGGAGTTGAGATTGAGACACTCCTGCAGAAGCAGCCTCTCTCGCTCCTGCTCCAGGGCCTGTTCCCTATAGGAAGTCGAGGGCCAGAGCCGGGGGTCAGTGTTGTTCCCCATCGTGCAACCCTGTCACTGGGCTGCAGGTGTTGCCACCAACACAGCAAGACCAGAGGGCTGCGCCGTCCTGGCTGGTCTCCTTGTGAAGCCGCTCACACAGATTTTTAAGGCAATGGGGACGGGTTGCATTACATAGACTGTGCTTTCCCCAAATGAGCAGAGAGGAGCAAGCAGGCCAGAAGATGGTTCTCACCACACAACTTCCAATGCATCTTTACTTGTGTACCCTGTTTGGTCTTTTTTTTTTTTTTTTTTTTTTTTTTTGATACCAGACATCACTGTGTTGCCTAGGCCAGAGTGCAGTGGCTTTTTACAGATGCAACCAAAGTGTATCGCAGCCTCAAATGCCTGGGCTCAAGCAATTTCCCACCTCAGCCTCTCAAGGGACAACAGGCAAGCACTCGGATTCGTTCTTTTTTTTTAAACACACCAAGGCCTAGGGCTAGCCCTTCTGCTCCTCAGCCACGTGACCAGGAAAGATCTCGTGCCCTGGCTCCTCGGCATCCCTGACACGTGCATGGCCTGACTCTGCAGCCACTTAGGGCAGCCCCTCTGCTCCTGCTCATTCCCTTTCTCTCTTTAGCCTTCCGGCCTCACTCCTGGGGCTCTGTTTTCCGCCACCAGCCCCTGCGCGCCTCACTTCAACTGGCCCCCACAATAGGCCCCACACACCTGTTACCTTGCCAGAGCCCCAACCCCTACCCTCCTCCCGCCCTGCAAACCAACACAGCCTTCCTTGTCCTTGCGCCCAGGCTGTGGAGAGAGCCCTGGGAGCCTCCCCAGCCCCTGTCTGGTCCCTCCAGGTGCCCACCCTGGTTGGGCCCATGGGTCCTCAGTTCTCTAACATTTTCTCTCCACCCCAGGCCTGTCGTGAGCTCAGATCCTGCTAGCCAGCCACTCACTGAGTGATTTCTAGCTGAATGTGACTGGGCCCCTCCAATGACCCATGTCTACCAGCCAGGCCACCAGACCCACCAGAAGCCCCATCACCCTCCTCCCAGGGGCCTCCTGGCTGTGAGCCCGTCCCAGGCCCCCTCAGCCCCTCATCACTGTCCTGCTCTTGCCCTTCCCATCCCTTCTCCAAATGCAGCCTGCAGTTTCTTAAACAAGAGAAAACATATCTCTGCCTGCTTCAGTTTCTCCCATGACTCAGCCTTGTGTCCAACAAGGCCCCTCAGGCTCCAGCCCCATGCACATCTCATCTTGGCTGCATCTTCTGCCTCGCCCCTCCAACCCCTCTGCACTGAGAATTTGGGTCCTAACCGGCACAGTCTGTCTTATCCACCTTTACATGTGCAGTCATCCCCCTCCCACCAAACAAAACTTCCTTTCTTGCAAGGTTCAGTGACAAGGATACATCTGGGAGCCTTTTCCGACTCCGGGTTAAGTTAGGTGTCACTCTTCTGGGCTCCTCCACGGCAACATGACAGTGTGGGTAGTATGAGATCATTATGCTAAATTGCCAGGGAAGCAGGGGCTGCACCATCAGCTCCACTATCCAGAGCCTGGCATGGTGCAGCACACAGCGTCCTATGGACTAAATGTCTGTGTCTTCCCAGAATTCCTATGTTGAAGCCCTAACCCCAGTATAGCTATATTTGGAGTAAGAAAGTAATTAAGGTAAAATGAGGTCATAGGACAGGCCCTGATCCCACAGGATTAGTGTCCTTAAAAGAAGAGACACCAGAGAGCTTGTGCTCTCTCTGCCACGTGAGGACACAGCAAGAAGCAAGAAAGAGTGCCCTCACCAGGAACCGACTGACCAGAACCTCAATCCTGGGCTGCTGGCCACCAGAACTGGGAGAAATAACTGTATTGTTTAAGCCCCCAGTGTGTGCCATCCTGTTACAGCAGCCCGAGCTGACTAGCACAGAGCAGGACCCTCCCAATGCCAGGCACACCGACAAGCAGTCACGAGGAGGCCCCAGCTGCTCATTTTCCTGCCAATATTTTCAAGCGTCTACTAAATGTACATCACCATGCTGGGCACCGTGGAAATATATAGGCATGGTCCCTTCCCTAACGTACAATCTAATGGGAGAAAATCACTCAGGTGAAGGAGCTGAACAACACAAGTTCCCGGGTCGGAGGAGCCCAGAGGGGCTGCACAGCAGAGGCAGATGAGATGACTCCAGGGCGGGCCAGAGGGCCAAGAATGGACCAAAGAATAATTCATCCCAGTGCATGAGGAGCTCTCTGCCAACAGGGCTGGGAACTTTGAGGAGGGTGGAAAGAGTGGGTATCAGTCCTCCCACCAGGAGAGCTGGGTGTTCCAGGGTGGCATCGCCCCCGCCCACACTTAACTTCTGCAAACACAATGGACATGCACTGAACAAAAACAACACAACACAACAACGGGAGAGGACAAAGACTCAGGAAGTGTGAACAACCTGCTCACATGCCACCAAAGAGCATGCCCCCATGAAGACGACCCCTGTCTGTCCCCAGCCACCTGCACCTCCCTAGGGATTTCCAATCTCATCAGACGTGACTGTTGCCTTCAGCGGTCCGTGGAAACTACTTATGGCAGACAGGGAGAGAGCTAGTTAGAAGCTAATATGCTGGGAGAAGGCAGGTGTGAAACTCAGAGAGGATGGGAAAATGGGCAACGCGTGCCTGCACACTGGGGTAGAAAGCAGCGGCAGAAATGTTAGGAAGTCCCGTCTGCCCAGCATGACCCTCCAGCCACAGCCAGGCTGTAACCCTCAGCCACAAAACAGTCTGCTTTTCCACTTCCCTCTCACATAACCCTTGAGTGGGAGGAGACACCCTCAAACTGGCAGGAGTTGGGCAGAATGGAGCCAAGGTGGAGAGGGGACCCAGAAGGAGGGCTCTGTTCGTGGTGGGAGTCTGGGGGCTCTCTGCCTTGGTGATGCCACCCCCTGCCCTGGCGACCTGCCTGTTACTGATCAGAGCACACAGGGCAGGCTGAGTCTGGGTGGGAGGCCGCTGTACTCCGACCAGACTCTGCAGTGAGTCCCGGGACTGCTGCCAACCCTGCAGAAATAAGCACCCCATGACAGGCCACGCCCTGTGCTCACCTCTTCTCCTGCAGTAAGTAGTCCAGGTTGTTGAAGTAGCTTCCTGAGCCCCCCCAGGAAAACTGGAGAAACAGGACATGGGAATGAGGACGACAGAGAAGTACAAAGATAGAGGAGAAAAAAGAAAAAAAACTAAATTAAGCCCTTTATTTATTTTGTTTGCTTTTCTGAAAAGATACTATGTTTACAGGATTAAAAAATCAAAAAGTATAAAGGCGCAGGGTAAAATGTCTCCCTGCCCCCATCCCCACCCCCAGCCACCTGTTCCCTCCCCACAGGTGCCCATGGGATAGGCATTCCTCATGTGCTTTCAGAGACACTTCACACAGAGACAGCAAACAACACCACATCACAGGCGCCAGCACACCACACCACACAGCTTATCCTGCACCAGGCTCTATCCTGCACCACACACTTTTCAATCTCAATGATCTGACATCATTCCCTATCAAAGCCAAAGAGCTTCTCTCCCCCTCCCTATCTGCTCCCTTTCCCACTGTGCCCCTCCCCATTGCCCTCTCCTCCTCTCCTCTCCCTCCCTCCCTCTCTCTCCTTCTCCCCCTCCTTCCCTCTCTCCCACCTCCCTCTCTCTCTCCTTCCCTCTGTCCCCCTCTCCCTTGTGTCTCTGTCTGTCTGTCTGTCTGTCTCTCTCTCGCAGGCTGTTACAAACAGCTGAAACCCATTCTTAGAATAACTGTTCTCGATCCACAGCCTGTAAATGTCCCACAGTCTACCTAGCAGCAGGAGCTTACTCCCAATTTGAAGTTCATCATTGAAGTTCCATTTAGGACTCCCGATCCACTGGACCAGAGTCAGCTTGAGTCTCTACAGACAACCAAGCCCAGACCTCAGCTCTGAGATCCCTCCTTGCTCCGGGGCCATAACCCTAACCTCAGCCATGAAAGCCTCAAGGGGCCCCATGAAGTGGCATCGAATTTGTTGCCACCCAAAGCCATTTGTCAGCAGGAGTTACTGGTGGAGACACAGGGCGAGGTGCATCCTGGCCTTGGGGGCCTGCGCTTCCAGCCATGAGGGCCCAAGGGCTGAGCAGGGATGGTCAAGGTGAAGTGTCCGAGGAAGAGCAGCTGGGGCGTGGCTCAGGAGAGGGTGGCCTGGGGTGACTGTAAAAGGGTGGCTAAAGATGGGTAGCCAAGGAGAAGAGGCCAAGGGTGGACACAGGCTCACCTCTGGGGCCGCAGCCTGCTGGCTCAGGCCTGACGTGTTCCAGAACAGCTTCTCTGGCAAGGCCAGGCCCCTCTTCGGGTCCAAGTCCAGGTGTTCCTGCTCCAACTCCTCGGGCAGCTCACCAGCCAGTCTCCTCAGGCCCTGGGGGCCCACCACACCCACCCACCTCTGGGCCGGGGCCTCCCGACTGGCCTGCAGCACCCTCGGGTTGAGGAATTCCACGGGCGGGGGGCTCCAGTCAGTGGGAAACGTTTCCCCAGGTGCCTGTATCTTGGGCTTCTTTGGCGATGTGGGAGCTGGAGCCGAGGCAGGGCTGCAGGGCCGCCGGGCAGGGCAGCGGGGCCCCTGGTCCAGGGGATGGTCTGACAAGCCATCCTCCAGGTTGTACAGGAGGATGGGCACGGTGGCGGCAGCCTGCACCCCTGCAGACAGGACAGAATACTGTGGTCCCTCTGCCCACCTGCCACTGTCCCAGACGTCAAGCCACACTGGGTAAGGAGAGCAGCAAATGGGTGAGAGAACAACTTGGGGTTGCTGTGGGAAGGATGCAAGGGAAATCCTTCAGCCATGGGCTCTCCACTTCCTCTCGCCCCCAAACCTCAGTGGGGATTTACCTGTGCAGGTGAGAGACGCCTACCTTCTCTCAGAGGAAGGGCTAGCACCGTCTCCTGGGGCCCAGCCATCTGCAAGCCGTGGGACATCTGTCCTGGAAGGAAGCGCCTGTGAGGGCAGGTGAACCTCCAGAAGAAAGCTAAAGGTTCTAAACCCCGTGATTCCCACAGAGGAGGGCCTGGGCCCACTGTGCCCAAGAGGGTCCGCCCTGAGGACTGGCCTTCTGATCCCACCAAGGTCAAGTTGCTGAGATGGAGAGAACAATCTGACTTCTCATTTCAAGGACATGATGGGCAAATGTGAGGATATCAATTTTCTTTTTTTAGACGGAGTCTCACTCTCTCGCCCAGGCTGGAGTGCAGCGGCGTGATCTTGGCTCACTGCAACCTCTGCCTCCTGGGTTCAAGCGATTCTCCTGCCTCAGCCTCCCAAGTAGCTGGGATTACAGACATGCGCCAAGGTGGACGGATCACCTGAGGTCAGGAGGTCAAGCCCAGCCTGGGCAACATGGTGAAACCCGTCTCTAGTAAAATAAAAATAAAAAAAATTAGCCGGGCGTGGCGGCGTGTGCCTTAGTCTCAGCTACTCGGGAGGCTGAGGCAGGAGAATTGCTTGAACCTGGGAGGTAGAGGTTGCAGTGACCCAAGATGGTGCCACTGCATGCCAGCCTGGCAACAGAGTGAGACTCCATTTCAAAAAAAAAAAAAACCAAAACCAAAACAAAACCAGCACAGCTCAGCAGAAAAGCTATGTTCTGAGATGACGCCCCACCCATCTTACTTACTTGGTGCCACCCTGTAAGTCTGTTTGTTCACAAGGTATGGAACAGGGATGTCTGGTTCCTGCCATTTCCCAAGCACCAGCACAGACCTGGCCCACAGTAGGTATTTGTGCATTTTCGCTGAATGAATGAGTGATTTAAGAGGCCCTGGGGCTGGCCCAACAAGCGTCCTCCAGTAGGAGGAACTGCCTGTCTCCAGTCAAGATGGACCATGGCACACACACAGACATCTCCCATTGGATCGGACCCAGGCTCAAACTGCAACACAGATGAAAGGCTAATAAAGAGTCTAATGATCAAAGGAAATCGCAGTTTACAAAAAACAAACAACAAGATTCAAACTCAATAGTGAAAGAAATTCAAATCAACATGACTATGACACATGGTCAATAAATAATCAAAACATTAAAATTTTATAATAATGAGGCTGGGTGCGGTGGCTCACATCTGTAATCCCAGCACTTTGGGAGGCCGAGGAGGGTGGGTCATCTGAGGTCAGAGTTCGAGACCAGCCTGGCCAACATGACAAAACCCCATCTCTACTAAAAATACAAAAAAAATTAGCCAGGCATGGTGGCACACGCCTGTAATCCCAGCTACTCAGGGGGCTGGGGCAGGAGAATCACTTGAACCCAGGAGACGGCAGTTGCAGTGAGCCAAGATTGCACCACTGCACTCCAACCTGAGCAACAGAGTGAGACTCTGTCTCAAAATACATAAATAAATAATAAATAAATAAATTTAAGATATGAATTATAATCTCCAGGGTAATCACTAAGGAAATAACTTAAAAATATACAGAAAAGGGGCTGGGCGCAGTGGCTCACGCCTGTAATCCCAGCACTTTGGGAGGCTGAGGTGGGCGGATCATGAGGTCAGGAGATCGAGACCATCCTGGCTAACACAGTGAAACCCCATCTCCACTAAAAATACAAAAAATTAGCCAGGTGTGGTGGTGGACGCCTGTAGTCCCAGCTACTCAGGAGGCTGAGGCAGGAGAATGGCATGAACCCAAGAGGCGGAGGTTGCAGTGAGCCAAGATCGTGCCACTGTACTCCAGCCTGGGCAACAGAGCAAGACTCCATCTCAAAAAAAAAAAAAAAAAAAAAAAAGGAAATGAGGAGGCAATTAAAACAATATACTACAAGAAAATAAACACAAAAGGCATTAATGGAAGAAAAAGAAAAATATATAGAAAACAAATAGCAAAATGGCAGAAGTCATTCCTTATCAGTAATTAGTTCAAATATAAACGGATTAAATTCTCCAATCAAAAGACAGAGATTGGCAATATACATTTAAAAAACATGATTCAACTACATTATGATATGTGGAAGACACAAATAGGTTGAAAATGCAAGTATGCAAAAAGATATTCCATGCAAATAGTACTAAAAGAAAGCTCGGGTAGTTACACTAATAACAGACTTAAGTGACTTTAAGTCACACAAATAAACTTTAAGTCAAAAAGTACAAGAGACAAAGATTATATATTGACACAAGAATCAATCATCGGCCAGGAGCAGTGGCTCACACCTGTAATCCCAGCACTTTGGGAGGCCGAGGCGGGCGTTATCACTTGAGGTCAAGAGTTCGAGACCAGCCTGGCCAACATGATGAAACACCGCCTCTACTAAAAATACAAAAATTAGCTGGGCTTGGTGGCATAAGCCTGTAATCCCAGCTACTCGGGAGACTGAGGCAGGAGAATCGTTTGAACCCGGGAGGCGGAGGTTGCAGTAAGCCTAGATCGTGCCACTGCACTCTATCTAACCTGGGTGACAGAGTGAGACTCTGTCTCAAAAAAAAAAAAAAAAAAAAAAAAGAACCAATCATCAAGAAGCTATAACAGAGATGTAGTCAAAGAACAAAAAACTTCTGTCAGATGGGGGAATGAATTCCAGAGTTCTACTGTATAACATGACAGAATAACAATGTACAGTATGTATAGTTATGCACTATGTATAGTTATGTATAGTACACTGTATAGTAACATATAGTATTCTTGAAAATTGTTAAGATAGGAGATTTTAAGTATACTCGCCAGAAAAATATGGTTAGTATGTAAAGTAATACATATGTTAATTAGCTGGATTTACCTATTCCACAGTGTAAGCATACTTCTTTCAAAAATTGTTTTAATTGATGCATAACAGATGTACATATTTTGGGGGTACATTTGATAATTTAACACATGCCTATAATTCGTAAAGATCAAATCAGTGTAACTGGGATATCCATCACCTTAAATGCTTGTCTTTTTGCTCAAAACATTCCAATTATTCTCTTCTAGCTATTTTGAAATATACAATAAATTATTGTAAACTATAGTCACCCTACTAATCTACTCAACACTAAGCCTAATTTCTTCTATCAAGCTGTATATTTGTACCAATTAATAAACCCCTTTATCTTCCATCTACACATTTCAAAACATGTTACACTAAATGTACCATAGAAAAACATGTTACACTAAATGTACCATAGTTCCCCCTTATCGATTTCACTTTCCAGTTTCAGCTAACTGCAGTCAATCACAGTCTAAAAATAACAAGCGCAGAAGGCTTGCCTTGGCCTCCCAAAGTTTGGGAATACAGGCATGAACCACCGCGCCCGATCTAATATACTACTTTCAATAATAAAACAACTACACAGAAGGCCAAAAGAAGGTAGGGGAATTGAACAACACTATAAACCAACAGAACACTTTACCCCACAACAGCAGAATACACATTCTTCCTAAGTACACATGGAATATTCTTCAGGATAGACCATATGGTATATGATAGGCCATAAAACAATTCTTTTTTTTTTTTTTTGAGAGAGAGTGTTACTCTGTTGCCTAGGCTGGAGTGCAGTGGCACAATCTTGGCTCACTGCAACCTCCTCCTCCCAGGTTCAAGCGATTCTCCTGCCTCAGCCTCCGAGTAGCTGGGACTACAGGTGCGTGCCACCATGCCCGGCTAATTTTTTGTATTTTTAGTAGAGATGGGGTTTCACCGTGTTAGCCAGGATGGTCTCAACCTCCTGACCTCATGATCCACCTGCCTTGGCCTCCCAAAGTGCTGGGATTACAGGCGTGAGCCACCATGCCTGGCCAAAACAATTCTTAATAAACTTAAACATTGAAATCATATAAAGTATCTTCTGACCACAATAAAAACTCCTAGGTATAATATCCAAAAGAACTGAAAACAAATATCCATACAAAATCTTGCACACAAATATCCACAGCAGCATTATTCATAATAGTCAAAAAGTGAAAACAGGGCTAGGCATGGTGGCTCACGCCTGTAATCTCAGTACTTTGGGAGGCCAAGGCGGGCAAATCACTTGAGGTCAGGAGTTCAAGACCAGCCTGGCCAACATGGCGAAACCCCATCTTTACTAAAAATACAAAAAAAATTAGCCAGGTATGGTGGTGGGTGCCTGTAGTCCCAGCTACTCAGGAGGCTGAGGCAGGAGAATTGCTTGAACCTGGGAGGCGGAGGTTGTAGTGAGCTAAGATCATGCCACTGCACTCTGGCCTGGACAACAAAGGGAGACTCATTTTCAAAAAATAAATAAAATAAAATAAAATAAATAAACACATAAAACCTTCTAGAGAAACTCGATGTGGGCTGGGCACAGTGGTTCACACCTGTAATCCCCAGCACTTTGGGAGGCCAAGGTGAGTGGATCACCTGAGGTCAGGAGTTTGAGACCAGACTGGCCAACATGGGGAAACCCTGTCTGTACTAAAAATACAAAAATTAGCTGGGCGTGGTGGCAGGCACCTGGAGTCCCAGCTACTCGGGACGCTGAAGCAGGAGAATTGCTTGAACCCGGGAGGCAGAGGTTGCAGTGAGCCAAGATCACGCCACTGCACTCCAGCCTGGGTGACAGAGCAAGACTCTGTCTCAAAAAAAAAAAAAAAAAAAAAAAGTAAAGAAAATACAAAAATTAGCCAGGCGTGGTGGCATGAGCCTGTAATCCCCGCTATTCAGCAGGCCGAGGTAGGATAATTGCTTGAACCCGGGAGGTGGAGGTTGCAGTGAGCCGAGATCACACCACTGCACTCTGGCCTGGGCGACAGAGCGAGACTCCGTCTCAAAAAAAAAAAAAAAAAAAGAAAAACAACAACAAAAAGAAAAACGTGAACGACCGTGCCTTTTGGGAATTTTTTTTTTTTTTTTTTGGTGGGGAGGGTCAAGAATTAAAATTGCTCTTTAAACAAACTTTTACTTAGGGATCTCAGATGAGTCTGGAACATTTGCCAAAGACAAGAAAACTCTACCAACTAAACCAAGCAAACGTTTTAGTGTTGCAAAGTCCATAGGGATGGTAAGAATAAAATAGGAGAAGCAGCAGAAACTGCTGATGCACCAAGAAGAATTCCATACAGCAAAGGCTGCACGCAATGGGGGAGGGGGAAGGAGGGAAGGATATTTCCTCCTTTTTAGATCAGTTTCTTTTCTGAGCACAAGTGCTTTCTGTGTCATCCTAACAATGTAAGAGCCCACTAAGTTTAGGACGCATAATACCGGCCTTTGTTCTACTCCAGCGTTGACGGTTTTTGCTGTTCCAGTTTTGGCTGCTTCTCAAGATCACGAAGCCCAGGGCACTCTGCAAGGGTTTCTGCAAGTTCAGCAGTTCATCGCTGGAGGGTGGGGCGGGCGGGGGAGGGGGGCGACCGGCAAGAGGGAGCACTTTGAAGTCCATCAGAGGAGAAAACGTCATTGCTAACGGAAAAAAAATGACACAACTTCTCAACTATTCCTCTTCATCCTCACATGCGTCTTCTCCACACTGATGACTCAGTTCTCTTCTTTCCTCACCTTAGTGCACGGAAGTCGTCTCATCTCAGCATCCTAGCACTCAGCCCATGGCCTGATGCAGAATGGATTCTCAGAAAATTAGGTGTTTGGCACTACTATACATTGACATGCACCATACCAAATGTTTGAATGCTTCTATGAACATCATCTTCCTTGACTTTTACATACACAAAATCACACACACATTTTTAAAAAAATAGATTCAGAGGGTACATGTGCATGTTTGTTACATGAATATACTGCATACTGGTGAGGTTTCGGCTTTTAGTGTGCCCATCACCTGAATAGTGAACATTATACTCAACAGGTAATTTTTCAATCCTCACCCCGCTTTCAACCTCCCCACTTTTGGAGTCCCCAGTGTCTGTGGCTTCCTTCTGTACATCCAAGTACACCCAGTGTTTAGTTCCACTTGTAAGTGAGAATATGTGGTATTTGACTTTCTGTTTCTGAGTTATTTCATGTAGGATACAGGCCTCCAGCTCCATCCTTGTTGCTACAAGAGATATGATTTCTTCTTTTTTTTTTTTTTTGAGACGGAGTCTCACTTTGTCACCAGGCTGGAGTGCAGCGGCGTCATCTTGGCTCACTGCAAGCTCTGCCTCCCAGGTTCACGCCATTCTCCTACCTCAGCCTCCCGAGTAGCTGGAATTACAGGCGCCCGCCACCACGCCCGGCTAATTTTTTCGTATTTTTAGCAGGGACGGGGTTTCACCATGTTAGCCAGGATGGTCTCCATCTCCTGACCTCGTGATCCGCCCGCCTCGGCCTCTCAAAGTGCTGGGATTACAGGTGTGAGCCACTGCACCCGGCCGATTTCATTCTTTTTTATGGCTGCATAGTATTCTATGGTGTATGTATCACTTTTTTTTTTTTTTTTTTTTTGAAACAGAGTCTTGCTCTGTTGCCAGGCTGGAGTGCAGTGGTGTGATCTCAGCTCACTGCAACCTCCACCTCCCAGGTTTAAGCAATTCCCCTGCCTCAGCCTCCTGAGTAGCTGGGACTACAGACACACACCACCATGCCTGGCTAATTTTTTGTATTTTAGTAGAGATGGGGTTTCACCACGTTGGCCAGGATGGTCTCCATCTCCTGACCTCGTGATCTGCCTGCCTCAGCCTCCCAAAGTGCTGGGATTACAGGCGTGAGCCACTGCGCCCAGGCATTTTTTTTTTTTTTTTTTTCCTGAGACAGAGTCGCACTCTGTCATCCAGGCTGGAGTGCAGTGGTACGATCTTCACTCACTGCAACCTCAATTTTTGTACTTTATTAGTAGAGACGGGGTTTCATCATGTTGGCCAAGCTGGTCTCAAACTCCTGACCTCAAGTAATCTGCCCGCCTTAGCCTTCCAAAGTGCTGGAATTACAGGCATGAGCCACTGCACCCATCCTATATCACATTTTCTTTATCCAATCATCTGTTGATGGACACTTAGGTTGATTCCATAACTTTGCTATTGTGACTAGTGCTGTGATAAACATATGAGTGCAAGTGTCGTTTTGATATAACAATTTATCTTCCTTCAGGAAGATACCCAGTAGTGGGATTGGTGGGTTGAATGGTAGTTCTGTTTTTAGTTCTTTGAGAAATCTCCATACTGTTTCACATAAAGGTTTGACTAATTTACATTCCCACCAACTGTGTATAAGTGTTCCCTTTTCTCTGCATCCTCACCAACATTTGCTATTTTTTGACTTTTGAGTAACAGCCATTCTGACTGACGTGAGTCGGGATTGCACTGAGTCACATTTCTGTTGAGAATGTACCTACATATCATATTGATGGGTCACAGGGAATAGGTATGTCCATTATAGTAGATAGGGCTAAACAGTTTTAAAGTTTTATCCTCCTACTAGCCACATGTCAGAATTCTCCTGTTCCATCCTTGTCAATACTTGAGATTGCTGGTATCTTAAATGTTTGCCATTCTAGTCAGCGTGTAATGGTGTTTCTTTGTGGGGTTTTTTTGTTTGTTTTTTTGAGACAGAGTCTCTCTCTGTCACCCAGGCTGGAGTGCAGTAGTGCGCAATCTTGGCTCACTGCAACCTCCGCCTCCCCGTTTTAAGCAATTCTCATGCCTCAGCTTCCCAAGTAGCTGGGATTACAGGCATGCACCACCACACCCAGCTAATTTTTGTATTTTGAGTAGAGACAGGGTTTCACCATGTTGCCCAGGCTGGTTTAGAACTCCTGAGCTCAAGTGATCCTCCCACCTCGGCCTCCCAAAGTGCTGGGATTACAGGTGTGAGCCACTGTGTCCGGTCTCCTTATGTAATTTAAAATTTAATTTTAAAAAGAATTTTGGAGATGAGGTCTTGCTCTGTCACCCAGGCTGGAGTGCAGTGGTGTGATCATAGCTCACTGCAGCCTAGAACTCTTGGCCTCAAGCAATCCTCCTGCCTTAACTTAGCCTCTTGTGTAGCTACAACTACAGATTCATGCCATAATGCCCAGGCAATTTTTTATTTTTTGTAGAGGTGGAGGTCTTTCTATGTTGCCCAGGTTGGTCTCAAACTTCTGGGCTCAAGTGATCCTCCCACCCTGGCCTCCGAAAGTGCTGGAACTACAGGCATGAGCAACCGAGCCAGCCTCCTTGCATTTTTTAATTTGGGTTTCCCTGGTTCTAATGAGGTTGAGCACCTTTTCATATGGAGTCCTGACCTAGATATCTTTTTTTTTCAATTTTTACATTTTAAATTTTTGTGGGTACCTATAGACATCTTCTTTTGTAAAGTGCCAATTCAAGTCTATTGCCCATTTTAGATCTGTGAAGTATTCTTTACACAGTCTTGAAATGAGTCTTTGATCAGTTATATGCGCTGCAAATATTTTATTCCACTGAATGGCTTCTCTTTCATTCTATTTATTTTTTTTCTTTGAGACGGAGTCTTACTCTGTCACCCAGGTGGGAGTGCAGTGGTGCGATCTCAGCTCACTGCAACCTCCCGGGTCCAAGTGATTCTCCTGCCTCAGCCTCCCAAGTAGCTGGGATTACAGGCACCCGCCACCATGCCCAGTTAATTTTTGTATTTTTAGTAGAGATGGGGTTTCACCATGTTGTCTGGGCTAGTCTCGAACTCCTGGCCTCAAGGGATCCACCCACCTCAGCCTCCCAAAGTGCTAGGATTACAGGTGTGAGCCACCGCGCCCAACTCACTCTTTTTTGGTAATCTCAAATGGGTAATACGTTGACTTCGTAACGAGGTCTCAGGGTGGCACATCTCACACATGCACGTGAACACTCAATCATCATGCTTATGAACCACAAAGGATCATTTCACTCTATTAATGGTATATTTCGATAAAGAAAAGTCCTTAACTTTAATGTAGCCCAATTTATCAACATTTTCTTCTGCAGTTGGTGCTTTCTGTATCCTGTTTAAGAAACTGTCCTCTTTGGGAGGCCAAGGCAGGCAGATCACGAGGTGAGGAGATCGAGGTCACCCTGGCCAACACGTGAAACCCCATCTCTACTAAAAATCAGCCAGGCGTGGTGGTGGATGCCTGTAGTCCCAGCTACTCGGGAGGCTGAGGCAGGAGAATGGCGTGAACCTGGGAGGCGGAGCTTGCAGTGAGCCGAGATGGCGCCACTGCACTATAGCCTGGGTGACAGAGTGAGACTCCGTCTCAAAAAAAAAAAAAAAAAAAAAAGAAAGAAAGAAACTGTCCTCTAGGCTGGGCACAGGGGCTCACACCTGTAATCCCAGCACTTTGGGAGGCTGAGAAAGGCAGATCGCTTGAGTCCAAGAGTTTGAGACCAGCCCAGGCAACACAGTGAAACCCTGTCTCTACAAAAAAACGCAAAAATTAGCTGGGCATGGTGGTGTGCACCTGCAGTACCAGCTACTTGGGAGGCTGAGTGGGAGGATCATCTGAGTCCAGGAGGTCAAGGTTGCAGTGAGCTGTGATCGCACTACTGCACTCCAGCCTGGGTGACAAAGTAAGACCCTGTCTCAAAAAAAAAGAAAAAATCTTCGTTTATTCCAAAGTCATGAACATATTTTCATATGCCAGCTTTGAGAATTTTTATTATTTTGTATTTCACACTTGGATCCATAACCCACACAAGAAACATTCTTCACTTTTTAATTGATGTATAACTTACAGTACATAAATATATATATTCATATAGTATATGTACATACTTTATATATATTATTATTTTATTTTAGAGACAGGGTCTGGCTGTGTCACCCAGGCTGGAGTATAACGGTGCAATCTTGGCTCTGCAACTTCTGCCTCCCAGCGTCAAGTCATCCTCCCACCTCAGCTTCCCGAGTAGCTGGGACGACAGGCGTGCACCACCATGCCTGGTTAATTTTTGTATTTTTTGTAGAGATGGAGTTTCACCATATTACCCAGGCTGGTCTCGAACTCCTGAGCTCAAGCAATCCACCCGCCTCAGTCTCCCACAGTGCTGGGATTACAGGCATGAGCCACCGCACCTGGCCTAATTTATTTATTTATTTTTGTTAGAGACAGAGTCTGTCTCTGTCATGTAGACTGGAGTGCAATGTCATGATCACAGCTCTCTGCAACCTTGAACTCCTGGGCCCAAGCAACCCTCCTGCCTCAACCTCCTGAGTAGCTAGGAGTGCAGGTTCACACCACCATGCCCAGCTAATTTTTTTTTTTTTTTTTTTTTTTTGTAGAGACAGGGTTCTTGCTATGTTGCCCAGGATGGTCTTGAACTCCTGGGCTCAAGCAATCCTCCTGCCTTGGCTTCCCAAAGTGCTGGGATTACAGGCGTGAGCCACTGCACCCAGTCTAATTTATTTTATTTTAGAGATATAGTCTCTCTCTGTCACATAGACTGGAGTGTACTGTCATCATCATAGCTTCCTGCCACCTTCAGCTCTTGAGCCGAAGCAATCCGCCTGCCTCAGCCTCCCGAGTAGCTAGGACTGCAGGCACACACCACCATGCCTGGCTAATTTTAAAATATTTTTGTAGAGACAGGGTTCTTGCTACCTTGACCAGGTCAGCCTTGAACTCCTGGGATCAAACAATCCTCCTGCCTCAGCCTCCCAAAGTGCTGGGATTCCATGAGCCACCATGCCTGGCTCTAAATGCACAAATCTTAAGTGTTCAGCATGATTGATTTTTATGTACATATGTGTACATTTAGTATAAATGTGTGTCTGTGTGTGCATATATATACACATATACATACATATGGTAACCATTACCAGATCAACATATTGAATATTTCTTACATTCTAGAAGTACCTCCTCCAGTCAATAACCCCAAAGGTTATACTACTCTGCCTCTATCACCACCGATTATTTTGCCTGTTCTTGAACTTCACATACATAAAATCATATATATATATTTTTGAGACATAGTCTCGCTCTGCTGCCCAGACTCGGATGGTGTGATAACAGCTCACTGCAGCCTCAACCTCCTGGGATCAAACAATCCTCCTGCTTCAGCCTTCTGAGTAGCTAGGACTACAGGTATGTGCCACCATGCCCAGCTAATTTTTATATTTTTCTGTAGAAACAGTTTCATTGTGTTGCCCAGGCTGGTCTCAAACTCCTAGGCTCAGGTGATCTGGTCACCTCAGCTAACAAAGCGCTGGGATTACAGGCGTGAGCCACTGCATCCAGCCAAATCATCAATTTTGTGCACTTCTGCATATATTTTATTCAACATTATGCATGTGAAAATCATCCACGAACTACTGCTAAATGTATGTTGTTGCATGCTATATGCCTGTAGCAGTAGTTCATGCAGCAGTTCAGTAATCTTTATTACTATACAATATTTCATCATATGAATAACTACTACTTATTTATCCATTCCGCTGTTGATGAGCATTTGAGTTATTTCTTGTTTCAAGGTATTATGAATAAATCTGCTATGAATTTTTTTTTCCAAGACAGTTTCGCTTATTGCCCAGGCTGGAGTGTAATGGCACAATCTCGGTTCACTGCAACCTCCGCCTCCCGGGTTCAAGCGATTCTCCTGCCTCAGCCTCCTGAGAAGCTGAGATTACAGGTAGGTGCCACCACACCCAGCTAATTTTTAGTAGTGATGGGGTTTCACCATGTTGGCCAGGCTGGTCTCGATCTCCTGACCTTGTGATCTGCCGCTTCAGCCTCCCAAAGTGCTGGGATTACGGGTGTGAGCCACTGTGCCCTGCCAAAGTGGTACATAAAAACTTTCACTCCGCCACCAGGAAGACAATTTGCCCAACCTGTTCAATACAGTTCCCGCTCAACAAACCCCAATTTAGCATCTTCTATGTGTCAGGCAGTATGCTGAGCATTGGGACCTCAAGGATGAGGAAGATGCAGTCTCTGCCCTAGAGGAGCTTACAGCAGCAGGAAGTTTCTGTCATAGGACAGACCCAGGGCTCACCAAGACTCAAGCAGATGATGAAGCCTGGGGCTCACTGGCCCAATCAGCGTATTCAGACTGGCTGGCTGCTTATGAGGCTCTTGGGCCAGGGCTGCCTGCTCAGTGGGCAGCTGACTCTAGCTGCTGCAAAATGCCTTTCACTCAAAGGTGCTATCTACCAGTGATTATATGGCATTCCAATTTTACCTGGAAGGGAGATGCAGCTACCAGCTGTTTCTTCCCTCTCCCAACCACAAAGTAACACATTTTTCATTTGTCTATCTGTTGTTTCCAGGTTTTTGCTTTTGCCAATCCCCTCCCTCACATGCCTTGAAACAAGCACTTTCAAAGACAAAGACATAAACAACAAAAGGGTGCAGGCTGAGGTGGGTCATCTTCTCTGCCTGCGTCTCCAACTCTGGATCCTGCAGTTACTGGACTCAGGCCATGGCTGACTCCTTCATCACAGCTAAGATGCTGCTGGGTTTAAGGCACTGTGACTTTCTGTGCCACTAAGACCGACAAAAAGCTGCCAAGTGAACGATGACACAAAGAAAGACACAAACTGTGGGACCCAGCCCAACTTCAGAGCTGCTAAAATGTGAACAAAAATGCATCCCGGAATGGATGGAAACCGATCATTCTAGTTGGTGTGACCTGCTCCAGTGCCTACAGTACGTGTCCTGACAGCGTGGGAGGGGATATGAAGGCCCCCCAGTCAAACAGGAGACAGCGTTAGTCTCCAAACTTAACTTTGTTATCTCTTTCCCTCCTGGGGCCCAATACCCGCCAGCCAGGACCTGTTTCTCCTCCATCTCACATTCTTTCCAGGTTCAGGACTGAAGTCGTCTTGTTCAGCTCCTTGACTTGGCCATGCTCACTCTACAATGCAGCCCATGGATGGCGCCCCCTCTGCCCAGCACATCCCTCTGCCTGGGCTCTTGTCTCCCCGAATCCTGCAAACCCCAGCCCCAGCCTTTAGCGTTCAGCCGCCCTCCCCGCTTCCCTCATCCTCCCTCGCGTCCTCGCAGTGAGATTTCAACATGTCATCTCAGTTTTTTTGTTCTTTTACTTTCCTGACTACAAGAAAAATAAAATAATCTGTCTTAAAGTGTAGCATGAGGCCAAATAATTACGGAATCCCAAGTGCTTTGGGCCCTGATGTCAAAAGAGCCAAGATGAATTCAGAATATTACAATGGTGCTGTTTCTGCGAATACTGCTTTTTCAAGACGCCTTATTCCTAACATCATGTTTTATATCCATCCTTTTAAACAAATATTTAATAGCTTGGGAATGCTGGCGAGAGCAGCGGCTCCTGTCAGCAAGGACTGAGCTCACAATTTGAAAGATGAAAGGAGATGCGTTCTACCCACAAAGAAAACGGTCTCCAGCATCATAAACTCCACATCCATCAAACCGGGCAGGGGCTGGGAATAGAAAGCCTTTCTGGAAAGAAAACACCAGCTACCCTTTGCACCCTGGGGAACATTAAAAATCAAAACAAAACATGCCACATCAACCAAAACATAAACCAGTTCTCAAACCAATCTAAGGTTCCACCCCACCAAGGCCGGCCGCGCAGTGGCCTGTGGAGAGGAGGGCCCGGCTCACGTCGGAACCCGAACCACGCGGGGTCGCAGGAACCTGAAAAGCGCCAGAGTAGCCCGGCGGCCGCACCGGGGCTGACCTGCAAGGCCTGGACCAGCCAGGAGTCCCAGGGAAGTCGAGTGCTCTCTGAGCGCTAACCACGCGCCCCTGCGGTTCCTCGGCCTCAGTTTCCTTACCTGTAAAATGGAGCCGCTGATCCTGCCTCCTGAGTTGTGGAGCGAGGCCCGCACCTGGAAGCCTTGGCCACATAGGGCGGGAAGGGCAGGGCTCCGGGGTGAGGGAGGGTGGCGGGAATTCGCACGGCCTCAGAGGACGGGGCCAGCTAGCCGGGAAAGGAAGCAGGAGCAGGCTCCCCAGGCGGCGCAGTGGGAGGACCCCAAGAGTTGCGTCCCTAGATCCAGGGCCGCCAACGTGGAACCTAAAGATCCAGTTCTGGGGATTGAGTTCCGACTCCAAACCAAGCGGCCAGCTCACAGCCGCCGCCGCCGCCAGCTGGGGAGCTCGCCGGCCAAGTGCGCACCCTCTTCCTGTTAGCCCTCCACGTGCGCGCCCTCTTCCTGCTCGCCCTCCACGTGCGCATCCACGTGCGCGGGAATTGGCTGGCGGAAGCTCCTGCCCCCAGGCAGTCCTGGGTCACGCGCACTTGTAGTAGCTTGCATTTACCAAGACAGTGAGACAGTGGCCTGGCGCGGTGTCTCATGCCTATAATCCCAGCACTTTGGGAGGCTGAGACGGGACGATTGCTTGAGCCCAGGAGTGAGAGACCTGCCTGGGCGACATGGCGAAACCCCGTCTCTACTAAAAATACAAAAATTAGCCTGGCGTGGGCAGGGCGCGGTGGCTCACGCCTGTAATCCCAGCACTTTGGGAGGCCGAGGCGGGCGAATTGCCTGAGGTCAGGAGTTCCAGACCAGTCTGGCCAACATGGTGAAGCCCTGTCTCTACTAAAAATTAAAAAACATTAACCGGGCTTGGTGGCTGGCGTGCGCCTGTAATCCCAGTTGCGCGGGAGGCTGAGGCAGGGGAATTGCTTGAACCAGGGAGGTGGAGGTTGCAATGAGCCGAGATCGCGCCACCGCACTCCAGCCTGGGCAGCAGAGCAAGACGCCGTCTCAAAAAAAAAAAAAAAAAAAAAAAAAAAAAAAAAAAAAAAAAAAAAAAAAAGCCGGGCATAGTGGTGCAGTGCCTGTAGCCCCAACTACTTCAGAGGCTGAGGTGAGAGGATCACTTGAGCCTGGGAGGCGTAGGCAGAGGTTGCAGTGAGCCGAGATCGTGGCACTGTACTCCAGCCTGGCGAAAGAGCAAGCCCCCATCTCTAACACACACACACACACACACACACGTGTGAGATAGCTGTGTCTGTTTGGCAGTGATGAGCTTCCCTTTATGGGAGATTTACATAATTATTCATAAAGGAGCGGGAATGGGCATTACTGTTAAGCATGTTACGGGGTCTCCCAGATGTGCATGTGCGTGCTAGTACACCACATCACATGTCTCATTAGCATTTTAATTCCTCACCCAGGGGTGTGTTTTTTAGCATTAAAATGAGCATAGGTCATTCCAAGGACACTCTAATCATGGGTTTCTGCACTTGTGTGAATTTGGGGATTTTCCCTTCTGCTGTTCATCCTCTTCGCTGCAGGATGTTCTAACTAGGAGCCTGATGCAGTTTATGCACCAGTGGGCGGTTTGTTCTCTACATCAATCTGGCAAGTTCATTCCCCTTTAAAGGAGGCTATGACCACTGTATCTAACCGACCTCATTTTCCCCCTCAGAGACTTTGGGTCCATGTTCTTATGAAATGTGGAGGGCTGGGTCATTTTTTCTGGAGCTGCTTCGTGCTGAGACAGGACCAGGGCCCGAAAGTCTCTTCTTGCCTGATTTAAAGTGATAGGGGTCATATCCTCCACTGGGATAAGTTGAAATCCTTGCATAACTATCAATCTAGGAATTGTTGTAACCTAGAAGACACAGACTTTAAAGGAGCTTAAACAAGCAAGGACCAAAGGTCAGTAGTAATAAGATGGCTATTGTAGGTCCCATGAAAGGTAGCAGAATGAAGCATCACATCATTATTCAGCAAGCAGAAGAACAAAAAGAGCTCCTACAAATAGGAGACCTGAGATGGGACTACCTTATGTTAAAGTAATATTAATCTCTTTATTTGGGGTGTTGGCATCTTTTCTTGAAAATGAATGTTAGGTCTTCTATAGGCTTACAAAAGGATTTTTAATTTTTAGTTGTTGATGTAGAGTCCTGTGGAAACGTAAGGGAAACAGTTTTTATCCTAGAGAGATGCACCCAGCTGGCAATGTCCTGGATTCTCTGGACTATGGTGTGTTATGGTGGTCAGCTGGGCTTTTGAGAGTGCTCCTATGAGAAGGGGTTCAGTTGGTTTCATTGGTTTTAAAGAAGCCCCCAACGAGGGTAGCAACAAGGGAGTTAGGCATTCACGTCCTTGAGTCTGCAAATTAAAGGTTGGGTGGCTGGGCACGGTGGCTCACGCCTGTAATCCCAGCACTTTGGGAGGCCGAGGCAGGCGGATCACGAGGTCAGGAGATCAAGACCATCCTGGCCAACATGATGAAACCCCGTCTCTACTAAAAATACAAAAAATTAGCCGGGCGTGGTGGTGGGCGCCTGTAGTCCCAGCTACTCAGGAGGCTGAGGCAGGAGAATGGCATGAACCCAGGAGGCGGAGCTTGCAGTGAGCCGAGATGGTGCCACTGCACTCCAGCCTGGGCAACAGAGTGAGATTCCATCTCAAAAAAAAAAAAAAAAAAAGGTAAAAAGGTTGGGTAAAGTATCTGGTCCGGGTTTTTCATCAATTCCCGTGGCAGTGCAGTGTTTGGCCTATTTGGCCTACTAGGGTCGACGGCAGAATGTAAGGACTGACAGGCTGGTCCCTGTATGTAATAGAAAATTAGCTACACCTGCCACGTGCAGGGTCACTGGATTCCTCTGTGGTAATGGGGACTGAATGACAGCCAGTGTTAGCCTTGGGTCTCCTCAGTCTTTAGTCAGGGCCATCAAGGAATTGGAAGCCCCTGTCTCCCTACGGAGTTGGGGGCAGTCCTGCTTCCGGTGACTGGCATCTCTGCATTGTGGATATGGTCTAGGTGGAGCGGACTTTTGGGCATTTTGTCCCTTGGTCTGGCAGTTTTGGGGCCAGTGTCCTGGTTTTAAGTGTAGCAGGTGTCCCCAGATTGGGGCTTGGTCTGGACTGGCTTGTTCTCTCTGATAGCAAGGGCCAATAATCGGAGGCCTGGTTTATGTCTCTTGCCTCTTCCCTCTTTCACTTTTTAGCCTCTTCTACTCTGTCTCATTATAGAAGACTTCAAAGGCTACATTAATTAGCTCATTCATTGGTGCCTGGGGACTTACAGCCAGTTTTTGTAACTTTCTCTTAATATCTGGAGCAGATTGACTAATAAAATGAGTCCCCAGAAGAATTTGACCTGCCTCAGAGACAGCATCTACATTGGTATATTTTTCTAATGCCTTTACAAGGCACCCCTGTGAAGACTCAAAAGGACCATATAATATTTCAAAGGTGCTGGGTTGCAGATTGGTCTTGGGAGCCGCTCTTACTTGGAGGAACGCTAGAGGCAATCACTTTAATAAGGACTCAGAAGTCTCTTGCCAGAGCTTCGCCAGAGTTTTCTTTACAAGTAGCTTTTTCTAGCTTTCCTGAGGATGGAGGTCTCCAGGAAGCATGTAAATGATCACTTACTCCTAGAGTGGTAGCACTTGCTGGGTTATTTTGGAAACAAAGGAGGGGCCATTGTCGCTTTGGAGTGACATAGGTAGCCCAAATCGGGGAATGATTTCTTTTAAGAGGCACTTGTGCCTTTTCTGTTTTGGTGGAGTAGGCTTCAATCTATCCCATGAAAGTATCTGTAGAGATCAGTAAGTGCTTAAATCTTTATACTGGTGGAACTTAGGGAAAGTCTAACTGTCTGTCTTCCCCTGGGTACCTTCCTCTCCTCTGTACTGGCATCAGTAATGGAAGTGGCCTTATTTTCCTTTCTGGGTTATTGATAGAGTAAAGTGGTCTCGCTGTAGTGTGTGCTTTTACAGTAGTAGCTAAGCCTGTTCCCTTAAGGGTTCATGTGACCAAAGCGTTAGAGAGCCCCTTCCTAGGTGTCTGTAACCCCCTTTGATTAATTTGCATTGATGACCTTGAGGTATTAAAATTTTTGAATTTTGGGGCCGGGCACGGTGGCTCACGCCTGTAATCCCAGCACTTTGGGAGGCTGAGGTGGGCAGATCACGAGGTCACGAGATCGAGACCATCCTGGCTAACACGGTGAAACCCTGTCTCTACTAAAAATACAAAAAAATTAGCCAGGCGTGGTGGCGGGCGCCTGTAGTCCCAGCTACTTGGGAGTCTGAGGCAGGAGAATGGCGTGAACCCGGGAGGCGGAGCTTAAAGTGAGCCGAGATCGTGCCACTGCATTCCAGCTTGGGCGACAGAGCAAGACTCCATCTCAAAAAAAAAAATTTGAATTTTGGGTCCACCATCATTAGGGTCTTGGTATTATCCCTGTTCAGTTGCCCACTCCCTTTCAGTTTGTGTGTGTGCAGGCACTAGCTCAGGAGCCATAGTTTCTGGGATGGGAGCCCCTGCTACAAATGGAAGGGACACAGCCTGTTGAGCAGTTGCATTTGCTAAATTATCATTTTTTTTTTTTATTGTTGTAGAGTTCCCTCTTTGGTGTCCCCTGCAGTGCATAACATCAACTGGTAACTGCTTAGTCTTTGGGCTAAGTCTGACATTGAGAAAAGAATGTGAACTCGAATGGTCCCTGCCTCTTTGTTAGTTAATTCCCTACGAGGGAGTAGCCTGTTTTCTGGTTTGAGTGGGTGTCCTAGCGCGACTGGGCCCTTCTGGGAGTGCTGGGTGAATGGGTTGATATGGAGGAGGTGCAGTAGAAGACTGCAAGTCTGGTGAGGAAGGACCACTAGAAGGAGTAGAGGCTCTAGAGGTTTGAGGAATGATCCTTGGACTAGATTTGAAGAAGGAGAGCTGTTAGTGGGAGGCATACTTCCTAATACAGTGTCATGAATTACATCAGATTCCCTTGAACCCTTCTGAACAACATGGGCATAACACATTTGTCACTGGTCTCTAAGACACTTGTGGGTTTTAATTTTTTTTTTTAATAGAGATAAGGCCTCACTATGTTGCCCAGGCTGGTCTCCTGAGCTCAAGACAGCCTCCCACCTTGGCCTCCCAAAGTCCCAAAGTGATTACAGGCATGAGCCACTGCGTCTGGCAGAGACTTGTCTTAATGTAAAACCGTTTGGTTAGAGGGAGGAATAATGTCAGGTTGCCCTGGGCCCTTGGGGAATTTCTGACCTTCCTTTCCTTTTATAAAAAGGTTTAATTATAAAATGGTATTGTTGGGCCAGGCACGGTGGCTCACACCGGTAATCCCAGCACTTTGGGAGGCCGAGGTGGGCGGATCACGAGGTCAGGAGATCGAGATCATCCTGGCTAACACAGTGAAACCCCGTCTCTACTAAAAATACAAAAAATGAGCCGGGTGTGGTGGTGGGCACCTGTAGTCCCGCTACTTGGGAGGCTGAGGCAGGAGAATGGCGTGAACACGGGAAGTGGAGCTTGCAGTGAGCGGAGATCGCGCCACTGCACTCTAGCCTGGGCGACAGAGCGAGACTCCGTCTCAAATAAATAAATAAATAAATAAAATGGTATTGTTTGGGGCCATGCTGTATTACAAAAGAAGAGAAGTCTCTTTTTTTTCTAGTCCATTCAGTTTAAAATAAGACCAATTTTGGAGAATGCATCTGAGGGGGCAGTGAGCAGAGGGTTGGTTACTGTATTGTTCCGCTCTCATACCGCTATAAAAACTACCTGAGACTGGGTAATTTATAAAGAAAAGAGGTTTAATTGACTCACAGTTCTACAGGCTGTACAGGAGGCATGGCTGGGGAGGCCTCAAGAACTTACAGTCATGGCAGAAGGTGAAGGGGAAGCAAGTACATTTTCACATGGTGATAGGAGAGAGAGAAAGAGAGTGAAGGGGGAAGTGCCACACACTTTTAAACCATCAGATCTCGTGAAAACTCACTATCATAAGAATAGCAAGGAGGAAATAGCCCCCATGATCC
Organism: Homo sapiens; assembly: GCF_000001405.40. Classification (NCBI taxonomy): domain Eukaryota; kingdom Metazoa; phylum Chordata; class Mammalia; order Primates; family Hominidae; genus Homo; species Homo sapiens. Next base: position 96,992,204 of record NC_000002.12, read on the forward strand.
AATCACCTCCCACCAGGTCCCTCCCTGAACATTGGGAATTGCAATTCAACATGAGATTTGGGTGGGGACACAGACCCAAACCATATCAGTTACCCATCTTGATTAGTAGCCTAATGTCAAAAAAAAAAAAAAATGAAGAAGGCTCTAAGCCTGAAGAGACAAAATTTAGCTTGGGCGTCCCCTTACTTTCGCTTGGGCTTCCCAGGCCCTGCTGTCCCTGGTGTCAAGCGTACCTTGATGGCCAGCTGACAGTCTTCCCAAAAGTGGTTTTACCAGTTTTCCCACAAGGAGAGGTACCACTTCTAGTCCCTGTCTTTACAGTTATTGGTGAGTGACCAATGTGGAATGAGGCAGATAAACTTCTTTTCCTCATTTAGCTGAGGGAGTCTTTTCCTGGGCTTAGACTCTTCTGGCCTTTTCTGTACATCTGATGTTCTCTTATTAAAGGCCCAGGACTTGGGTGGGCAGCCCTAGAGCTGACATTTCTATGGTACCATGATCTCTCTACATCCCATTTTCCTCTCTTAAAGAGCAACTGTATGAAGGGAAAATGAAGCAGGGGAAAAAAGAGCAACTTAAGGATCTGGAAAACAGCCAAGCCTACTAGGGTTGGGGGAGCATCAATTGATTGAAAGGCCCGTTTTCGGCGAGGTGCGTGGCTCATCCCTGTAATCCCAACACTTTGGGAGGCCAAGTTGGGCAGATCACCTGAGGTCAGGAGTTTGAAACCAGCCTGACCAACATGGAGAAATCCCGTCTCTACTAAAAATACAAAATTAGCCAGTCATGGTGGCGCATGCCTGTGATCCCAGCTACTTGGGAGGCTGAGGTAGGAGAATCGCTTGAACCAAGGAGGCGGAGGTTGCAGTGAATCGAGATTGCACCATTGCACTCCAGCCTGGGCAACAAGAGTGAAATTCTGTCTCAAAAAAAAAAAAAAAAAAGAAAGAAAGAAAGAAAAGAAAGGCCCATTTTCTATTTGCCTGATCTTTGCTTTAAAACATTGACAAAGTTGTCTGATTAGGGATACAAAAAGGCTGAGATCCCCAGTTTTGAGATCTTTTACTTGGTCACGATAAGAATGTTCATACAATCTAATGTGTTCCTGACAGACAAGACATTTGACAGGATTCACCCAAGAAACCAATTGGGAGATTAAGGAATAAAATTCATCGCCCCACCCGTAAGGGATTAAAGAACAAAAGTAATAGTTATCATCAGCAGCAGAAGACGGATTGAAAGGTCACCTGGCATTATGCAGCCTGGGCTTTTTCCCCATCACTTTCATATGTGCCAGCTGTCTGGCTGGACTAAGACAGCCACAAGCTACTTGGGGAGAGTCTAACTTTCCCATCTCCATGAGTCACCCACAGGTGAACTGGAAACCAGTTGGATGGAGCATGACAGTCTTAGCTGAAGGGAATTCTCAGGTGGCCAAAAGGAGGATATAAAGAGAGGAGGAAGATTAGACCTGTAGCCATGAGGTGGTGAGATCATTCTTACCTCTTGACTCAGTTTACCCAGGTCCTGCTGCAGTTGCCAACTTACAGTGTCATTGGGCCGATTCAGGTTCTTGACTGCTGCACAAAAGAATTTGAGAGCAAGTACAAAGCAAAAGTAGGTAAAGAAGTTTATTGCAAAGCGAAGGTATACTGGGACGGCTGGGCCAGAGCGGGCTGCTTAGAAGTGAGACAGAGTTGTCTGGCAGTGAGGTGCTTCCCTATATGGGAAATTTACATGATTATTCATAAAAGAGTGCGAATGGGCATTGCTGTTAAGCATGTTGTGGGGTACCCTCGGTGTGCATGTGCTATTGCTGTACATGCTAGTACACACGTCTCATTAGCATTTTAATTCTCCACCCGGGGTGTGTTTTTTATTTATTTTTTTGAGACAGAGTCTCGCTCTGTCACCAGGCCGGAGTGCAGTGGCACGATCTCAGCTCACTGCAATCTCTGCCTCCTGGATTCAATCAATTCTCCTGCCTCAGCCTCCCGAGTAGCTGGGACTACAGGCGCCTGCCACCACGCCTGGCTAATTTTTGTATTTTTAGTAGAGACGGGATTTCACCATGTTGGCTAGGATGGTCTCAATCTCTTGACCTCGTGATCCGTCCACCTTGGCCTCCCAAAGTGCTGGGATTACAGGTGTGAGCCACCGCGTCTGGCCTGTGTGTTTTTTAGCATTAAAATGAGCGTAGGTCAGCCCAAGGACACTAATCATGGGTTTCTGTGCTTGCTTGAATTTGGGGATTTCCCTTCTGCTCTCCATCCTCTTTGCTGCAGGATATTCTAACCAGGAGCCTGATGAAGTTTACGCAGTTGCCAATCGGTCAAGTTCGTTCCCCTTTAAGGGAGGCCACGACCACCCTATCTAACCGACCTCAGTCCGACAGTCAGATCTTTCCATGGTGGAGACACTGCAGATGTGTGTATTGAGAACCACTCTGTGTATTGGGAACAACTCTGCTCAGAACCACCAGCCATGAAAATCATTTTCCACGTTTTGCTTTGAGAAGAGATCTGTCCTGGGCATGTTTCTCTCTCTCTCTCTCTCTCTCTCTCTCTCTCTCTGTCTCTTTCTCTCTGTGTGTGTGTGTGTGTGTTTGTGTGTATGTGTGTGCACATGCATATTCCCATTAGGAGATTTCAGCCCTCAGATTCACACTCAACAAATACTGGTTGAGCCCCGGCCCTGCACCTGGCATTGAGTTAGGCTGCTTATACAAATTATTTTGTCTTATTCTAAACCAAGCCTGCTATCACCAAAAACTCACACCCTAGACTTCTGGGGAACTGATTTTTAATTAGGCATCACAAATAACTAATTAATGATCCTCCTGTGTGGTTCTACAGGAAAGAGGGCAGTAGAGCTGAACTGAGCTTTGCCGGAGTGTGGCTGGGATGGCTGTCCCCTGAGGAGCCCCTCTTCTGAGGCCAGGATATGATGGGTGGGAAGGCAGCCACCTTGGGGGTTGGCAGTCTCTTCCCAGCAAGGGGAAGGCCCCTGGAAGGAGCAGAAAATAATTACTACTTTGCCTTTGCTTCTTTTGATAAATTCCTGCGGGAGTTTGGGCCCATTCATTCATCTGACTTCCAGTTGTCTGTCAAAAGGACTACTGACACCAGGACATGGTGGCATACGCCTGTAATCCCAGCACTTTGGAAGGCTGAGGCAGGAGGAGGGCTTAAGTCCAGGAGACCAGCCTGGGCAACATAGTGAGACCCCATCTCTACAAAAAATTAAAAAACTAACCAGGTGTGGTGGCATGTGCCTCTGGTCCCAGCTACTCGGGAGGCTGAGGTGGGAAGATCACTTGAGCCCAGAAGGGCGAGGCTGCAGTGAGCTGTGATTTCACCACTGCACACCAGCCTGGGCAACAGAGCTAGACCCTGTCTCAAAAAAACAAAACAAAACAAAAGGCTGTTGAAGATGTAGAAAGAATCCCCTCCAAACTCCTTACTGTTCTTTGCAGAACTACTGCGATTTAAAATGTTTTAAATCTATATAGGTAGGTCCATTTTAATATGTACCATTTGAAAGTTTAATATAAAGAGACAGAGCCAGCTCCAGGCAAAATTGGATAATAACTTACTCAAGAATAACCCTCGTTCAGTGTGCAAATTGCCTCCAGAAACCTGACCTCATTTGATCTTCACAGCAGGCTGGAGGGCACTATTACTAGATTCATTTTTCAAATGAAGAAACTGAGGCTTGGCGGCCCCTCTGCCAGGTTCAGGGCCAGGCACTGGGTTATGAGAGCCGGGATTCCAGCCTGGGGCTCTTGTTGCTACTGGCCTGTCTCTCCCCTCATCTCTCGGGGTTTTGCCCTCACTTTAGGGATCCACTGCCCTAACTTCTTTGTGTTCAGGCTCTGTGTCCTTGAGACCCTCCACATTCCTCCCAGAAGACCCTGGAAGGAACAGAAAAGGAGCTTTGGCAAACAGGGCTGCTTTAGGTAGTACAGCAACCCCAGCACAGAGGACCCTTGCAGGGCCTGGCCACATCCAGCCAAGGACCTCCCCGATCTCCTCCTCTTCCTCCTCCTCTCCCTCCATCCCTTCCCTTCTCCTCCTTCTCTTCCTCCTCTTAGGATCTCTCTTCCCTCTGCCCTGCTCTGCGGAACCACGTGCTATATGTGCCCACTCCTGGTGAGCTGATCTCTCAGCCCAGTTAAGAAGGCATCTTTCAAACGGTCCCTTGGATAGTGATCCTAGTGATGGGACCGACTTGGGGGAGAGGGGCTGCAAGTTGGCCTTGCTCCTTCCCAAGTCATCCCATGTGAATGGCTGCTTATTCTTCCAGAGGCCAGCCTGGAGTGACACTTTCAATTTTTTTTTTCACTTATAGCCCCACTTTGTGTAATCATCATGTTTTGATCCTCTACTATGTGCTATATACAGTACATACATTTTAACGTATTCCCTATAATCACCCTATAAAAGGGAAATTGGGGGTTCAGAGAGGTTAAGTAAATTGCTCAAGTTGCACAGCCACGAGGTGCAGGGCCATTTGAATGCATGTTTCTCTGATTACAGAACCCATTCCTTCCCCTCCATATTCCACTGCCTGATTTCAAAGAGGTTACTAGAGAAAAGATAGAAAATCAGAACCAGAAAGAGGAGGAAAAGCCAAATTCTGTTCAGGAAGGCTAATGTGATTATTGTGAATGAACATTAAACCTGGCTCTAAGCTTCTTGGAAGCAAGAGAAGAAGAGAAGCGGGTGGGGAACACAAAGGACTCCATGCTTCTCTTTATAACATAGAGTTTCTACAATAGAAGGAAATAACGTGTTTTTCCTTATTTTCAATTCCAAAAGTAATTTCTCATGTGTGATTTTATACAAGGACATTATGTAACAAAATGGATGTAGGTTTGAATAACCAGGTATATCAAAAGATGGAGAAACAATTGTCCTGTATAATGCACCCTTCATTATGCAGTCATTCAACAAAGACTGAGCACCTGCCACACTGCCTAGACTCAAAACATGTGCAAAAAGATAATAACCTTGCCATGTACTCAACCCCACAATGGAGGTGTGCCCGGAGGCTGCAGGAGCACACAGAAGTGACATGGGGACCCTGCCTGGAAGGGTCCGATGACCTCAGGCAAGGTAACATTTGCCCAAAGTCTTGAAATTTGAGTTGGAATTTACTATTTATCTCCAAGAGGAGAAAAAGCATTCAAGGAAAAGGGAATAAAATGTGCAAAGGCATGAATGCTTGAGGCCTGAGATGTCGCTTATCAGTGGGCAAGTGCAGGACTCCTAGGTGTCAGCCAGCCTGAGGAGGACCTTACAGGGCAGGACAGAATCCAGTTCAGGTTCAGGACTCAAGGAACAGAGGCCAGAGACAGGAGGGGTGCGAAACAGGGAGTCCCAAAGGAGGTGGTTGTAAAATTGAGTGTGGGAGTGGATGTCAAGGCCCTTAATAGGGGCCACTCCAGGGACTATTGCTGGGGAAGAACCGACAGACATGAGAGAGAGACGGGAGGGGGATTCCACTGTGTTAACTCAGAGGATGACCCCATTTACAAGGTGAGTGGGGTGAAGGTGAGCTCAGCTGGAAGCCATGCCAATTTTGTTTGTTTACTGCAAAAATACTTTATTTTATATATCACTAGCTGTGAATTTTTGTCATTAGTTGTTGTATGAATGCTGCCTAGTGCCATTAACCAAATGGCATGACCATTTTACGTCCACAATTCACTTCTGTATTGACAGAATTTTCTCTCTCTTTTTTTTTTTTTGAGACAGTCTCACTCTGTTGACCAGGCTGGAGTGCAGTGGCGCCATCTCCACTCACTGCAACCTCCACCTCCCAGGTTCAAGGAATTCTCCTGACTCAGCTTCCCTAGTAGCTGGGATTACAAGTGCTCACCACCATGCCCAGCTAATGTTTGTGATTTTAGTAGTGATGCGGTTTTGCCATGTTGGCCAGGCTGTTCTCAAATTCCTGACCTCATGATCAGCCTGCCTCGGCCTCCCAAAGTGTTGGGATTACAGGCATGAGCCACCGTACCCAGCCTACAAACAGAATTTTCATGATTGATGTAAGTAAACCTGTCAGTGAAGATTTACCATTGAGATGCAGTCTAACATCCGTAACATCTGATGTTTTGCAGACAGCAATGTAGGAGAGACTTTTTTTTTGAGACAGAGTCTCCCTCTGTCGCCCAGGCTGGAGTGCAGTGGGGAGATCTCGGCTCACTGCAAGCTCCGCCTCCTGGGTTCACGCCATTCTCCTACCTCAGCCTCCTGAGCAGCTGTGACTACAGGCGCCCACCACCACGCCTGGCTAATTTTTTTGTATTTCTAGTAGAGACCTGGTTTCACTGTGTTAGCCAGGATGGTCTGGATCTCCTGACCTCGTGATCTGCCCACCTCGGTCTCCCAAAGTGCTGGGATTACAGGCCCGAGCCACCGCACCCGGCCGGAGAGATGTCTTTTTAATCACCTTTCATTTAAGTGCCCTTATGTAAAAAAATAAATAATTTGGAAGTTCTAAGTCTCCAAAGGACATTTTTAAACGTACATATAGAAATGGTTACAATGGGCTGGGCACGGTGGCTCACGCCTGTAATCCCAGCACTTTGGGAGGCAGAGGCGGGCGGATCACGAGGTCAAGAGATTGAGACCATCCTGGCCAACATGGCGAAACCCCGTCTCCAATCATGGATTTCTGTGCTTGCTTGAATTTGGGGATTTCCCTTCTGCTCTTCATCCTTTGTATTTTTAGTAACTAAAAATACAAAAATTAGCTGGGCGTGGTGGCGCCTGCTTGTAATCCCAGCTACTCGGGAGGCTGAGGCAGGAGAATCACTTGAACCTGGGAAGTGGAGGTTGCAGTGAGCCGAGATCGCGCCATTGCACTCCAGCCTGGCAACAAGAGCGAAACTCTGGCCGGGCACGGTGGCTCACGCCTGTAATCCCAGCACTTTGGGAGGCCGAGGCGGGTGGATCACGAGGTCAGGAGATTGAGACCATCCTGGCTAACACGGTGAAACCCCGTCTCTACTAAAAAATACACACACACACAAAAATTAGCCGGGCGTGGTGGCGGGCGCCTATAGTGCCAGCTACTCAGGAGGCTGAGGCAGGAGAACGGCGTGAACTCGGGAGGCGGAGCTTGCAGTGAGCCGATGGCGCCACCGCACTCCAGCCTGGGAGACAGAGGGAGACTCCGTCAGAAAGAAAGAAAGAGAGAAAGAGAGGAAAAAGAGGAAAGAAAGGAAAGAAAGGAAAAGTTCCAATGGGCCAGACGCAATGGCTCATCCCTGTAATCCTAGCACTTTGGGAGGCTGAGGCGGGTGGATCACCTGACTTCGGGAGTTTGAGACCAGCCTGACCACCATGAAGAAACCCCATCTCTACTAAAAATACAAAAAATTAGCTGGGCGTGGGGGCGCATGCCTGCACTTCCAGCTACTGGGGAGGCTGAGGCAGGAGAATCGCTTGAACCCAGGAGGTGGAGGTTGCAGTGAGATGATATCACCCCATTGCACTCCAGCCTGGGCAATAAGAGCGAAACTTTGTCTCAATAAATAAATAAATAAATAAATAGAAATAGTTACAATGAAAGCTGGGTGCGGTGGCTCACACCTGTAATCCCAGCACTTTGGGAGGCCAAGGCAGGTGGATCACCTGAGGTCAGGAGTTCGAGGCCAGCCTGGCCAACATGGTGAAACCCCGTCTCTACTAAAAATACAAAAATTAGCTGGGCATGGTGGCAGGTGCCTGTAATCCCAGCTACTCCGGAGGCTGAGGCAGGAGAATGACTTGAAACCGGGAGGCAGATGTTGCAGTAAGCTGAGATCGTGTCACTGCCCTCCAGACTGGGCAACAGGGCGAGACTCTGTCTCAAAAAAAGAAAAAGAAAAAAAAAGAAAAAAAAAAAGAAATGATTACGAGCCTTTTTTTTTTTTTTTTTGAGGCAGGGTCTTACTTTGTTGCCCAGGCTGCAGTGCAGTGGCATAATCACAGTTCACTGCAACCTAGACCTCCTGGGCTCAAGGAACCCTCCCACTTCAGCCTCCCCACTCTTGACATCCCCACACCCCCACCCCAAGTAGCTGGGTCTACAGGGGTACACCACCACATCTAGCTAATTAAAAAAATGTTTTGTAGAGAAGGGGGGTCTCAAACTACTAGCCTCAATCAATCCTCCCACCTCAGCTTCCCAAAATGCTGAGATTATAGGCATGAGCCGCCATGCCCAGCCTACAGACTTTTAAGAGATATTTTCCATGTCCACAGCCTATTGTAATTGCTGTACCACTTTCTCTTCCAACTGCTTTCCTTTGCCTGCAAGAGGAGCTTGAATAAGATAAATGTTTTGCTTGACTTCTTTGATGTCCTGGATTTTCTGTAGCTCTTTATTTTTCTTCAATCTGTTCATTATACATTTAGCTTGGCGTTTCTTTTTTTTATTATTTTAAGTTCTGGGATACATGTGCAGAATGTGAAGGTTTGTTACATAGGTATGCATGTGCCATGGAGGTTTGCTGCACCCATCAACCCGTCATCTAGGTTTTAAGTCCCTCATGCATTAGGTATTTGTCATAAGGCTCTCCCTCCCCTTGCCCTCCACCCCCTGACAGGCCCCAGTGTGTGATGATGTTCCCTCCCTGTGTCCATGTGTTCTCATTGTTCAACTCCCACTTATGAGTGAGAACATGTGGTGTTTAGTTTTCTGTTCCTGTGTTAGTTTGCAGAGAACGATAGCTTCAAGCTTCATCCATGTCCCTGCAAAGGACATGAACTCATTCTTTTTTATGGCTGCCCTTTTTTTTTTTTTTCTGAGACAGAGTCTCGCTCTGTGGCACCCAGGCTGGTGTGCAGTGGTGTGATCTCAGCTCCCCACAACCTCCGCCTCCTGGGTTCAAGCGATTCTCCTGCCTCAGCCTCTTGAGTAGCTAGCATTACAGGTGTATGCCACCACACCCAGCTAATTTTTGTATTTTTAGTAGAGACAGGGTTTCACCATGTTGGCCAGGCTAGTGTCGAGCTCCTGACCTCAGGTGATCCACCCACCTTGGCCTCCCAGAGTGTTGGGATTACAGGCGTGAGCCACCATGTTTGGCCATCTTGGCATTTCTGTTTAATCTCTTCAGCTCTCTTCATTGCATCAGTAGTTTTATTCCACAGGGTTTGCTGGTGTTTGATAGGTTCATTTCTAAGTTTTTCAAACTCAAATGAATGATCCACTGTAAGCTCTTTACCAGGAATGTTTTAGTCCACTTGACATTGCAGGAATTGCATCTTTTTTAAAGTTTTTATGACATTTGGGTTTTCAAAATCTGAACACATTGTAGTTGTTGAGAACAAACATCATGCTGTGGCCAGAGTAGATGAACCCCAAACAGAAATACCACTTTTGATACACGTGTTGAACCTTCGTAGGTCCCCAGTGACCACAAGCCAAGTTTGAGAGGAGTCTTTTTTTTTTTTTTTTTTTGAGACGGAGTCTTGCTCTGACGCCCAGGCTGGAGTGCAGTCGTGCAGTCTCGGCTCACTGCAAGCTCTGCCTCCCAGGTTCATGCCATTCTCCTGCTTCAGGCTCCCGAGTAGATGGGACTACAGGCGGCCGCCACCATGCCCAGCTCATTTTTTGTATTTTTAGTAGAGATGGGGTTTCACCGTGTTAGTCAGGATGGTCTCGATCTCCTGACCTCGTGATCCGCCCACCTCGGCCTCCCAAAGTGCTGGGATTACAGGCGTAAGCCACCGCACCCGGCCTGCCCTTTTTTTTTTTAAACCATGTAGGGAGATGATTTGAGCTCATGCTCTCTGATGTCATTTTTTGGAGGGGAACCTTCTTAAAGTTTCCTTCACTGAATATTCTGCTCACTGATCAGGACTGTTGTTTGAGACAAATGTTCATTCAGAGGATGTGTCCCAATAGCTCTGCAGATTCATTCACTTATTTCTTGACTGTATACCCATGTGTATGTGCTGATCTATAATGTCTTCCCCTTGGCTTACAAAAAAATAACATCATTGTCTCCATGCAGTCAGTGGGATTTATGGAACACTTACTATGTGCTAAGCCCCATGCCAGGCACTTGGATAAGAGATGAGTATGTTCTTGGGGGTCCTTCCCTTGAGGAACTCACATTTAGGAGGAGGGAAAGGTGGACCCACAAGCCCCTATGAGCACCAGAGGCATCAGAGCCACTTCCCACATCTCACCTGTTGCCTCAACTAAGACCCTGCAAGGTGAACCTTCCTTGCTTGCTTGCTTGATGCTTGAAGTGTACAATTCAGTGGTTTTTAGTATATGCACAAGGTTTTGCATTCAACTCTCAGATGAGAATGCCTGTACCCATCAGCAGCCACTCTCCATCCCTCTCACACAGGCCCTGGCAACCACGAATCTACTTTCTAGCTCTATGAATTTGCCTATTCTAGACATTTTGTATGAAATGAACCATTTGGCGGGCTGCAGTGGCTCACGCCTGTAATCCCAACTCTTTGGGAGGCCCAGGCCGGTGGATCGCTTGAGCTCAGGAGTTCAAGACCAGCTTGGGCAACATGCTGAAACTGCATCTGCACAGCAAGTACAAAATTTAGCTGGGCGTGGTGGTGCATGCCTGTAGTCCCAACTACTTGGGGAGCTGAGGCAGGAGGATTACTTGAGCCCAGGAAGTTGAGGCTGCAGGACTCCAGACTGGGTGACAAAGTAAGATCCTGTCTCAAATAAAATAAAATAATTAAAAATAAAAATAAAAGGAACTCTACAATATGTAGTCTTTTGTGTCTGGCTTCTTTGATTTACTGTAATTTTTTAAGGCTTATCTATGTTGTAGCACATACCAGTACTTCATTCCTTTTTATGGGTGAATAATATTCCATTGTATGGTTGTTTCATGTTTTGTTTATCTATTCATCAATTGATAAATCTTTGGGTCATTCCCACCTTTTGGGCATTGTGAATAATGCTGCTATAAATATTTGTGTACAGGTTTCTGTGTGAAGACATTTTCAGTTCTGTCCCTGTATACGCCTAGGAGTGGTATTGCTGGGTCACATGGTAGCTTAATGTTGAACTTTTTTAAGAGCTGCAAAGTTGTTTTCCCAAACAGTGACACGATTTTATATTTCAATCAGCAGCATATGAGGATCTGATTACCCCCATATCTTTGTTAACATTTATTATCTTTTTTTTTTTTTTGAAACAGGTTCTCACTCTGTACCCCGGGCTGAAGGGCAGTGGCGTGATCATGACTATGGTCCACTATAGCCTCAACCTTCCAGGGCTCAGGTGATCCTCCCACCTCAGCCTCCCAAGTAGCTGTGACCACAGGTGCACACCACCGCACCCAACTAATTTTTGTATTTTTTGTAGAGATGGGGTTTGCTGTGTTGCCCAGGCTGGTCTCAAACTCCTGGGCTCAACCCATCTGCCCACCTGGGTCTCTCAAAGTGTTTGGATTATAGGCACAAGCCATGGCACCTAGACTGATCTGTCTTTTTTATTTTAGCCATCCTAGTGGGTATAAAGTGGTATCTCATTGAGATTTTGATTTGCATTTCTCTGATGATGAATGATGTTGACCATATTTCCATGTGCTTGTTTGGCCATTTAAAAACATTACTATTATTATTTTTAATAGAGATGGCGTTTTGCTGTGTTGCCCAAACTGATCTCGAACTCCTGACCTCAAGCAATCCACCTGCTTCGGCCTCCCAAAGTACAGGCGTGAGCCACCATGCCCAACCCTATTGGCCATTTGTATGTCTTCTTTGGAAAAATCCTATTCAAATACTTTACCTGCTTTTTTTTTTTTTTTTTTTTGAGATGGAGTTTCACTCTTGTTGCCCAGGCTGGAGCGCAATGGCCCGATCTCGGCTTACCACAACCTCCGCCTCCTGGGTTCTAGCGATTCTCCTGCCTCAGCCTCCCGAGTAGCTGGGATTACAGGCATGCGCCACCACGCCCGACTAATTTTGTATTTTTAGTAGAGACGGGGTTTCTCCATGTTGGTCAGGCTGGTCTGGAATTCCCAATCTCAGGTGATCTGCCTGCCTCAGCCTCCCAAAGTGCTGGGATTACAGGCATGAGCCACTGCGCCCAGTGTTTTTTTTGTTTTTTTTGTTTTTTTTTTTTTTTTTTTTTTTTTTTTTGAGGTGGAGTCTTGCTCTGTCGCTCAGGCTGGAGTGCAGTGGCGCGATCTCCGCTCACTGCAAGATCTGCCTCCCAGGTTCACGCCATTCTCCTGCCTCAGCCTCCCGAGTAGCTGGGACTACAGGCATCCACCACCACGCCCGGCTAATTTTTTGTATTTTTAGTAGAGATGGGGTTTCACTGTGTTGGCCAGGATTGTCTTGATCTCCTGATCTTGTGATCTGCCTGCCTTGGCCTCCCAAAGTGCTGGGATTACAGGTGTGAGCCACCACGCCTGGCCTTTTTTTTTTTTTTTTTTTTTTTTAAGAGACAGGATCTTGCTCTGTTGCCCAGGCTGGAGAGCCATGGTACAATCATAGATCGTTGTAGCCTCAAATTCTTGGGCTCAAATGATCCTCCTGCCTCAGCCTCCTGAGTACCTAGGACTACAGCCAGGTGGCACCATGCCTGGCTTTTTTTTTTTTTTTTTTGAGATGGAGTTTTGCTCTTGTCACCCAGGCTGGAGTGTAGTGGCCCAATCTCGGCCCACTGCAACCTCTGCCTCCTGGGTTCAAGTGATTCTCCTGCCTCAGCCTCCTGAGTAGCTGGGATTACAGATGCCTGCCACCACGCCTGGCTAATTTTTTGTATTTTTAGTAGAGACAGGGTTTCGCCATGTTGGGCAGGATGGTCTTGAACTTCTGACCTTGTGATCCACCCACCTCGGCCTCCCAAAGTGCTAGGATTACAGGTGTGAGCCACCCGCGCCCGGCCAATTTTTAAAATTTTGTAGAGATGGGGGGTCTCGCTATGTTGTCTAGGCTGGTCTCAAACTCCTGCGGTGTGGTGGTTCATGCTTTGTAATCCTAGCATTTTGGGAGGCAGAGGCAGGAGGATTGCTTGAGGCCAGAAGTTTGACACCAGCCTGGGCAACATAGCAAGACTCAGTCTCAACAACAAAAATAGTAATAACTAAAAAAAAAAAAAAAAAAAAAAAAAAAAAAAAAAAAAAAGACAATGAAACTAAGGCAGAAAGAGGTTAAATAGTGTGCCTGAGTGGTTAAGCCCAATTCACATCCCTGAGGAAGTACAAATGATCAGTAAACATCTGAAAAGGTGTTCAACTGCCTTAGAGGTCAAGGAGCTGAAATGTACACACCAACAGCACTAACAGCACTCATTTTTCTTTCATCCAGTGGGGCTAAATTTGCAAAGGTTTGGAGGTGGGGACTGATACTCACATGCCCTACTGGTGGGTGCATGAATTGCTCCAAACTTTGGGAAAGCAATCTGGCAGAATGTATTATTAAAATGTTTAGCACATACACCCTTGACCCTACACCTCAGAAACAAAATCTCTGGAATATAAAGTTATATGTTAGCTCTTATAGAGCTAACATAAATAATTATTTAGATGTCTGTAGTTACAATAAGCTTTATATGATGGTGTTTAGAAATATCTATAAAGCAAGCCCTGGGGATAATTCTAACACATGCTACAGTTTGGGGATGTAAGCTCAAACTGTCATCCATCTAGTGACTTAAAGTTTGTCTTCTATTCTAAAATATATCAACACACACACATATATGTGCACATGTAAATATATACAAATAAAATATTGTAGTGAAATAAAATACCTTTTTTTGTTTGTTAGTTGGTGTTGAGAAAAGCTCTAGCTCTGTTGCCCAGAATGGAATGCAGTGGAACAATCATGGTTCACTGCAGCATCAAACTCCTGGGCTCAAGTGATCCTCCCGCCTCAGCCTCCTAAGTAGCTGGAACCAAAGTGTGTGCCACCATGCCTGGCTAATTTTTTAAAAAAATATTTTTATAGAAATGGAGGGTCTCAGTGTTGTCCAGGCTCATCTTGAACTCCTGGATTCAAGCCTTCCTCCTACCTCAGCCTCCCAAAGTGCTGGGATTAAAGGCATGAGGCACTATGTCTGGCCTTGAAAGGAATTTTTATTCAGTCTTTTCCAGATGTTTTTGCTTTTTTCTGGTGCTAGTCCTAAGAAAATTAAGAAGTCCTAAGAAAACTCTTCCCAACATGTAAAACATGCATTCGTTGGTTATTATGGCAATATTCCCTGCATGAGTAATTTTGGTGGTTAGCTTCTGTCTCATCATTTCTAGAAAAAATTTTATTTCTGTCATAACCCCTAATGCTTAGTAAAAAGGCTCTTTCTTTGTATGTTGGTCTTCTTCTTGCAAATTAGACACCCAGTATCAGCTAGTATTTCATTGTTGAGGACCAGCCCTGTACTGTAGAACTCTGGTTTCAGGGCCGCTACTTGCCATGGTAGCTCATGGCTGTGCTCTTTCTTTCTTCCTTGTTCCACTTCACAACATCTCACACAGGACAAAAACAGAGCAGATATGTTTAGATCCTCTGATGTTAATTGAGGCCACTTTGCTTTTTGAGAAATACAAAATTTGGCCCCAAAACATCCATCCAGATTGTATACAGAGTCTATAGTGACCTCTCCAATATGACCTCCTGCTTTAACAGAATCAGTTCAGGTTCTGGATATTTTTACCAAACTCAAGTTAGCTGCAACTGCTCGAGTTTTCATCAATTCAGATACAAAACCATTTACTTTCTTTGATTTAAACAATAAGAATCACAAAACTAGATCTTACATACAAAGTACACCTCACTAAATTGGGGGATTGGTAAATAAATTAAATTAAAAGTGGTTATTATCTATTGCCATTTATATATTTCCTTGTAATCATTTCCAATCTTGGTACCCATCCCTCATCAGATGGTGCCTGGCGCTCCTCTGTGCAAATGTCCTCTCTTCTCTTTCCACAAAGGCAAAATGCTGTTTTCTATATTTAGGAATACTATCAACTTGTTGTTACTGTTGCCATTACTTCATAGTCACCTACTCATATGTACAGTTTCTAAACTAAAATATGGCAAGAAACTTGTCAATGAAGACAATTCCATGTAAAATTTTAGGCGTGTTTCTTTTTCTGCAGAGTAATTGACTGATTCTCAAATTTTACGGGGCTAGTTTAGGCACAGCTCTTCCCTCTGAGATCTTCATTTTCTGAGAAACTAACTCTGAATCTGTGTCCTGATGAGGATCTGCCGTCACACATACCACAAAGTGCCACCCGTGTCAATCATGAAAGTCCGCACTCAAACTGACACCCAAAATTGATATCACAGCAGAGAAACAAGGACATAGAGCACAACTGAGAGGAAGAGCTGTCTCAGCCATGCAGCCAAATGCTTAGGACCAAATAAGGAATCCACACCTCACACGCTCTGGGTTGGAGAAGATGGGACCGCATTAGACAAGTTGGTTTTTCGTTTGTTTGTTTGTTTGTTTGTTTGTTTGTGAGATGGACTCTTGCCCTGTTCCCCAGGCTGGAGTGCCCTGGCACCATCTCGGCTCACTGCAACCTCCGCCACCTCTGTTCAAGCAATTCTCCTGCCTTAGCCTCCCAATTGGCTGAGATTACAGGCATCCACCAACACGCCCGGCTAATTTTTTATTTTTATTTCTAGTAGAGACGGGGTTTCACCAGTTGGCCAGGCTGGTCTTGAACTGATGACCTCAGGTGATCCGCCGCTCTCAGCCTTTCAATGTGCTGGGATTACAGGCGTGAGCCACCGCACCTGGCCTAGATAAGTACTTTTGAGGGATAAGATGGAAATATCTGAAATGTTTGGCTAGAGATGTTCTTTATATTGTTTTTCCTTCCATCTCTCTGCCTGTTACTTGTATCCTAGACTAACAACCAAGGCTCCTTTCGATGGAAATTATTCTACTCTCTTAGCTGTTGCCTCTTTCTGCCTATAGAACATCTTGCACACCACTACCTGACCAGATTTTATAACTCAGCATTCAAGTGAAGCTCCTATCATAGTCCAAACTCTTCCTTATGGTATCCTTGCTTTTCAGTACTAATCTGAGATACTCCTGCTGCTTTTCTTCAGAACAAATAGCTCTTTCAATAAAGCTAATGTCAGGAAACTTGCCATGCAAATAAACACAACATATAAATTGAAACATAATCTATTTTATTTTTTACAATAACAAACCTCTTAAGTGCATTTATGTCCTTAATGAAAGAGTTGTTTGCTTTTCCAAGTTCTGCATTTTCTTTTCTAAATTGTTCCCATTTTCCTTATACTTTCTACAATATTCTCATGATGCTTCATTGTTTCTTTTCGGGCCAGCCTCTCTCTCTTCTCCACTGCCTTTTGAAAAGCTGAGCAGTTGGACCTTGGAAAGATGCCCTACCAGCTCCAGGCACAATGCTGATAGAGGATGCCAATCTGGGATGATGGCACATTTTCTGTGACAGCTAGTACGACAACCTGGTTACTGGCTGCTAGCATTCTCTGCCCATCAGTGGTCTCTAGATAGTGCACTGTGTACGTCACCAGCAATAGAGTGGCTCCTCTAGTCCATTATCTTTTCTGCAGTCCCTGTGCACCAAGAGTATCATTACTAGTTAGTTCTAAAGCTCCTCACTGAGTAATGGCAGTGTGCTGCCCACTGATAGTTTGGTAAGCTGGAGCTTGTACCATCACTGCAACAACAGCAGATGACACTGCTTTCTCATCTTCATACTTTTCTCTAATTCCTGGCTTTCCAGGTGCATGGAAGGATACACTACTCAATATTATCCTGTTGGAAATGCTCTTGGACAGTATCTGTCTTACCTGTTAAGAATCAGATATCCATGAGCTGTATTCTGAGAATCTTTACCCTTTATACTTATGAAGATGTGAGTTGCAGAAAAACACTTCTTAAATCTTTGGTAGAATTCTTCTGGACCACTCTCGATATAAGAAGCTTTCCTGAATGACTCCAGCTCTGTGGAAACCATGTCGATCCTCCATGCACGATGCTACAAAAAAAATCACAGAAATTTGTCTTGATCATCCTTTTTGATTCGTACAGGCTTCTTCCTTCCTATTAAAGTGATTGTTTTATTAATAGGATTAGGGTAATGTAGTGTTCTCTGTGCATGTTTCCCGAATATGTTTGGAAATAAACTACAGGTGAGGGAAGAGACTCACAAGGGAATTCCAGGTGGCTGGGATTAAAGAATGGGTGAGTGAATAAATGATCTGTTTCCAAGATTGGATTAAAAGAAAAAATTGCCACTGATCTCTTTTCCACATTGTGATTATATTGCCCTCTTCTCTCAGTTGTCTCTAGATTTTCTGCCTATCTCCCAGATTATTCTGCCTATCTCCCAGAAAATTCAGAAAGAAAGATATTTTCTTTCTGAAATTTTCAAGTAATAAAATAATGAATTTAAGCTCCCCCTATAAAATAAGGTCATGTGTGTTCCTAAAAGTTAGAAAGGTTAGAAGTATAAAATTCCAGTATGTATTAGGTGACTGTCCTCAGCCATTTTAAGGAAACCTCAGAAGAATAACAAGGATAGAAAATTAAATCCTAAAATACTATAAAAATGTGAGATAAATGTAAAAACATTCTGTTAATTCAAATTTTTAAAAATGCCATTTATTTGGACTATGCCCCAACAGACCAAATCAAAATGCAGCTATTCTTGCTAAAGTTCTGCATCCCTGAGTTTTTAATTACATTGTTTACCTGACTTAGTAAAAAATCAGGACGGATGCATAATAGCCAAATGCTAAAACAGGCCAGCTTTAGCCAGCATGATAAGGAAGTCCTCCATTCTTTCATCTATGCAAGAAGAGTAACCTGATGTTAACCATTTCGTTTGTTGTATTATTTTGTTTCTTTGTTCCTGTTCAAGAAACCTTACAAAAACTGGCTCTTGTCCCATATCCAGCACAGAAACTCTCTATTTTTGGATGAGATATTTCCTGATTTTTGAATCACAGTTAGAAGCCAATTTGATCATTTAGCTAAATTTGCAAAAATTTTGTCTTTTCATATCTTCAAATATACAATGAGAAAACCCAAAGAGATATGAGAAAATCTGGCCAAAATCACACACACACACACACACACACACACACACACACACACATCAGGAGTTAAACTGAGAACAGAAATAACATTTTCTGATTTGAAGGCAGTCGAATTTTTATTGTCTAATAACAGTAAATTTATTTTACATAATCTTGAATTTTTGGTTACTAGCAATGAGTCAAAGGGAAGCTCACGGGAGGACACCTGGGTAGACATTCCTCTCTGAGTCTGCAGCATCATCAGCTGTAGTTAGTTGAAATGATAAATTAAATTATGCCGGCTAAATTGAGAACACAAGACAAGAACTCTATGTATGCTACTATTATGCATTTGCTTTATTTTGCCACAAATAATTTTCCTTTCTTTTCTTTTCTTTTGAGACAGAGTCGTACTCTGGCACCCAGGGTGAAGTGCAGTGGCATAATCTCAGCTCACTGCAGCCTGCACCTTCGGGGTTCAAGCAAGTCTCCAGCCCCGTGTCTGAAGTAGCTGGGATTACAGATGCCCACCACGTCTGGCTAATTTTCGTAATTTTGGTAGAGACAGGGTTTCACTATGTTGGCCAGGCTTGTCTTGAACTCCTGACCTCAAGTTATCTGCCCGCCTCAGCCTCCCAACATGTAATTTTCTTTTTTTAACTATATGGTTAACACATGTTAGTTCCTTCCTGGGCTCATATTCCTTGATGTGATCTTTATGCTATGGCTTTCCCAGAATTTCATCATAGACTGTGATCTCTTCTCATTTTGTATACTCTTCCTTAAATTTCATATCACTTCTCTGGTTTGAACTACACACATACTATGTTTCCACATCAGTTTTTAATTTTATTTCTATGAAGAATTTTACTTCTGCCCCCCAAAATGTGACAAGGCAAATGGATCAATAACCTCTTCAGGAGGTGAGAAGGAATCTTAGGTTTCTGATATAACTGGCAAAGTTCCCAGTGTCTTACCTTAATTTTATTTCTGAATTTTAGGAATGTCCCAGGCGAGAATAATTATAATAGAAGTTATCAAAACAGAAGAATGTAATTAATTTTTGGTTTAATGGCTGAGAAAATTTACCAACCTATATCTTAAATGTCCTTAGTGGCTAATACCACTTGTATGTACAAGTAAATCTAAGCTAAATAAGATTAGCTACAAAATTTTCTTTGAATAAATGACAAACAAAATTGGTAACAAGGTAATATTGAGAGTGTAATGGCTGCTGCTTATGGAAATTTTAGTGTCAATAGAGAACGCTCAGGAACTTTACATGGAAGCAGAAAGGAAAATTGGGTTGAAAGCCCAGAAAGTAAAATTCCACAATGTGAGATCACTTGGAGAGACACAAATTTCAGAAGGTAATAGACTTCTCCTGTTACCTAGTAAAGTGCTACAAAAAATGTGTGGGAGGAGAAGAGAGAAAGTTAACTAAGCAGTCTAGGTAGTACAGACAGAAAGAATAAGGAAGCATTGCTGATAAGTATTTTCATAATTTGGATAATCACCTTGATTTAGCCATCAATTTAAGAGATTAAAAGACACATAAGATCCTTCTTGCCATATGATCCTTAGTTAGCCAGTTGCTGAATGGGGAAACATCGGGCACCTAGACAGTGGTAAAAAGCAGGGTTTACTTATTCCTGAATACTCATTCCCGGTTCGAACTAAAAGCAACTCTTTAGTAAAGGATCACCTGATTTTCATTGAACACAAGCTCTGGGTATTTCTTCTGCTCTGTCTGTCATTGAATTTTTTTTTTCTTCTAAATCAAAGAAAAAAAAAAGAAAAAGAAAAGGCCAGACCCAGTGGCACATGCCTCTAATCCCAATGCTTTGGGCGATTGAGGTAGGAAGGTTATTAGAGTTCACAACTTCGAGACCACCATGGGCAACACAGCAAGACCTTGTCTCTGGCAAAATAAATAAATAAATAAATAAATAAATAGATAAAAATAAATAAAATAAAATAAAGGAAATAAAAATAAACATTTAATGTGTATTCAGCATTTCCAGATACATCTGGCAGCTCAGTGTGCTGCATGCCTTAGCTTGAAGGAAGAGGATGGGAACAGAAGTATTGTAGAAAGCACCATGTCATTTCCTTACATTCAGGTCCTCTTGCTCAGGATGTTTTTTCAGTTTTCTCGCTGAACAGCAGATGGCAACAAATTTCACTTTCTTGCAAATAAAGATGAAATCCAGTTGTTGAAAGTAACAGTCGTTTTTTTGATTACCTCCTCTTTTTAGATAAGTAGATGAAAAAATATAGCCCCCATTTACTTAAAATTGGGATCTTTATTAGAGTAAATTAGCCTGTGCCCTAACTGATCCCATGAGAGGTTTTCGCTGATACTGGGTATCTGTGAGAAATGTACCCTCAGGTTTATGAGACTGAATAAATTACAGATGATACAAATTCTTTACATATTAGTCATAATTGATCTCTTGTTTATAATCCAAGATATTTTCTTTCCTCTTTTTGTTTTAACATAGGTTTCTCAATTTATTATAAAAATATGCACTCTCTATCATCTGTATTCCTCTTTATAATGTAAGTGTGTTTTGTATATTTCTACAGTAAATGAGATGGAAATCATTTTATTCTTAGTGAGTAGCTTAATATGTATGTCAATTTAATTCCTGACAGTCTCCATCATTGTAAGTCCTTTTTTATATTTTCTTATCACTAAGAATCTTCGTATTTTCCTGGTACATGTTGGCCATCCTCAGAAAATTTCAAAATCAACCTTATAGAATAAAAATAAGATACAATTGTTTCAAATATATAAATAATGAAAGTTCATTAGCATGTGAATCTTGACACTAATCTTCTTATGTTTTTTGACATTATCCTTTAATATTTTCTATCATATTATGCTACCCATATTTTGGGAAATTTTCCTAATTCTATTACAGAAAAATATTTGTTTATATTAATTCTTTTATTCTTATGTAAGGAGAATATTAAGAACTTCATATATCCAGAGCACAACAATCCAGGTCTGGAACAAAGCCGGCATTTTTGTAAACATATATTCACATATAATTTTTTTTTTTTTGAGACGAGGTCTCATTCTGTCACCCAGGCTGGAGTGCTGTGGTGCAATCTTAGCTTATTGTAGCCTTAAACTCCTGGACCGACGTGGTCCTCCCACCTCAGCCTTGTGAGTAGCTAAGATTACAGGTGTGAGCCACCACGTATGTCTTATATATACATATATATTTTGTAGAGATGGGGTGTTACTATATTGCCTAGGCTGGTCTCAAACCTCAAGCAATCTTCCTGCCACGACTTTCCAAAGTGCTGGGATCACAGGCATGAGCTACCATGCCAAGCCATAAAAAACTTTAAATTGTGTTTTCGTGTAAACAGTTGAAATGCGGTGATGAAGGGTGCTATTAAGGTTATGAAAAAAATGGCTTTGAGCCTAAATATAAAAGATTACATAAACTCCATTTTATTGACAAGATGAGATGCAAAGTCATCTCCTGAGAAAGAGAAGGAGGATTGGGCTTGTTGTTACAGTAAAGTTATAGATTATTCAGTGATGAGATGGAGTGAAAGTGGTAAATTATGTGGTAAATATTATTTTTATTAATAATATTTTAATATTACAGCAGATATTTATTTTTTATTGTGTTAGGTATTATAATAAACTCTTTAGTGGCACTGAGAAATGACAACATGCTAGCAGCCCTCGCTCGCCCTGGGTGCCTCCTCAGCCTCGGTGTCTACTCTGGCCGCGCTCCAGGAGCCCTTCAGCCCGCCGCTGCGCTATGAGGGACCCCTCTGGTGCTGGCCTAGGCCAGAGCTGGCTACCTCTGCTGAAGGGGAAGTGTGAAGAGAGACGCGCCAGCAGGAGCCTGGGCCGCGCCCATCTCTTGCGGACTAGCGAGGGTTCGGCAAGTCCCGCACTCAGCGCAGCCCGTCGGAGCCTGCTGGGCTTGATAGGAGGCTGAATCCCGTGAATAGACCCCCGTTCCCTCTTCGCGGGATCGTTGGCCACGATAGTAGGTCTCCGTCTCTTTCTCGCTCCCCCTCTTTTCCTCTGGATTGTCTGGGACGAGCTCCCTCTGGGATGCCAGAGTGCCCGGGCTAGGTGCCACAAAGTCCAGCGGCAAGTGCCAGTGAGAGGTGAAGCCAGCTGGGCTTCTGGGATGGGTGGGGACTTGGAGAACTTTTCTGTCTAAAGGATTGTAAACACACCAGTCAGCACTCTGTGTCTAGCTAAAGGTTTGTAAACACACCAATCAGGGCTCTGTGTCTAGCTAATCAGATGCGGACATGGAGAACTTTTCTGTCTAGCTAAAGGATTGTAAAAGCACCAATCAGCACTCTGTCAAAATGGACCAATCAGCGCTCTGTAAAATGGACCAATCAGCAGGATGTGGGTGTGGCCAGAGAAGGAATAAAAGCAGGGCACCTGCGCCAGCAGGCGCAACCTGCTAGGGTCCGTTACCACACTGTGGAGGCTTTGTTCTTTTTGTTATTTAAAATAAATCTTGCTGCTGTTCACTGTTTGGGTCCACCCCGTGTTTATGAGCTATAACACTCACCTCAAGGTCTGCAGCTTCACTCCTGAAGTCGGTGAGACCACGAACCCACCAGAAGGAAGAAGCTCCGTACACATTTGAACATCTGAAGGAACAAACTCTTGACACACTATCTTTAAGAACTGTAACACTCACCGCCATGGGCCGTGGCTTCGTTCTTGAAGTCAGTGAGACCGAGAACCCACCAATTCTGGATACAGCATGATGTGACCTGACTCTCAACCAGTGGTCGTTGGAATGTTGGTCTATTACCCACATTTCATTGGAGACGGCAACACACTGCAAAATGAAGAGTACAGATGTGGGAGACTAGTTGCCTTAGTTCAGATCTGTTAAATTTCCCACAGTTCAGTTTTTTATTGTAAATATTGGACTATAGAGGTTTTTATATTTGAAGCATTTAAAACACATGCGTACCACATGATAAGTTCTCAATAAATGTAAGCTTTGTAAGCTCTCATCACTAGGCTTGATAATTAACAACACTTTGGCAAAGTGAGTCTAGCTCAATGCAGGGCAGGTGAGCCTCAAAATGGGGCTTAACCTTTGAGAGTCCTTGACTTTGCCCAGGAAAGGATTCAAGGGCAAGCCAAAGGTAGAGGTAAACAGCTTTATTGAAGCAGTAGCGTTTCAGCTCTGGTGATGTTACAGCTTTGTGGCTGCTCCCACAGAGCAGGGCTACTCCATGGGCAGAGATTAGCAGCTCACAGCAGTTTTGCAGTCATGGTTACACCTACTTTTAATAGCATGTAGACTAAGGGGTTTATGCAGAAATTTCTAGAGAAAGGGTAATTTGGGATGTCAAGTCATTGCCATGGAATGGGTGATAACTCCTGGGTGTTGCCATGGCAATGGTAACCTGCTCTGGCGCACTGGTGGGCGTGTCTTTTGGAAAGTTGCTTCTGCCTGGTCCCTGTTTTAGCTAATCCTCAATTTGGTTTGGTGTCTGAGCCCTACCTCGAAAGTCAAGTTTAGCCTCCTACCTTGAGGAGACTTGTTCAAGACCCCACAGCAACACTCATTCCCCGGTATGGAAGACAGTGATGTTGACCAAGCTTTAGGTTTTGTTTTTTTTCTGTTAACAAGCATTTGTTAATTTCCACAGTATACTGAAGAAGTACGTTTGATAGTGGAAACACACTAGTGAATGTGTAATTAACTGTGGCAGAACAATTATTAAAACAAAAACCAAGGGGATATTGTATGATGGTGAAATGAGAATAGAAAGAAGGGAGTATATATCTACATTTTGTTCTTCTATTCTCCCATCTCTTCTCTTATGGCCTGGGGGATGACCTCAAATTAAATTAAAATGAAACAAACTGCCAGGCATGGTGGCCAGCTTCTATATTCCTGACTACTCCATAGGCTGAGGGAGGAGCATCCCTTGAGCCCAGGAGTCTGAGTTCAGCCTGGGGAACACAGTGAGACCCTATCTCCATTTTAAAAATTCGGTCTATCTCTCTATCCATATATATATATATAATAAAATAAATAATGAATAACTGCCATGACTTTATCACACACCCACACATTAGGCTTCTGTGCTAATACACTCTCCATACTCCCTGCATCCCAACAAACATAGGAAACTTTCTAAAAAAATGAAAAATGGATGAGGTTTAAAACAAGCTTCTAGAATTTAATTGGTTTTCACATCAACCTAAAATCCTAAAAAATGCAAACCATTAAATTAATGCTCCTATCTTTAACATCAAAGCTTTCAAATCTCTCTAATGCATTTTTAAATTTAATTATTGAAATACTTGTTACATTTCTATTATGTGCTAGACATTATATTAACTGATTAAGTGTTATTATTTCCTGGAGTATAGTAGTAAATAAAAGTGACATTTCTTTAAGTTTTAGATTTTATACTATTATAAAAGAGAAGCACCAGTGGGCTTGTGTTACAGTGTGGTCTTTTAGCTTAGCTGTCCACAGCTGGCTTGTGTTAAGCAGCTCAGTTAGACCCTCTGCCTTTTTGCAAGGACAGAGGGCTTTCTGTATCCTGGGGTTGTTGCCTGAGTGTACCAGAAAACTCGGATCATATGTGGGCTTGGAGAATGAGTGCAAGATTTATTGATTGGTGAAAGCAGCTTTCAGCAGATAAATGGTGTGCCAGAAGGGGGATGGAGTGGGAAGGTGGTGTTCCCCTGCAGTAAAACATCTCAGCAGCAGGGCTCACCTCCAAGGGCTCTCGGCTGATTTCCATGTCGTTCTACCATTAATGGCTGCCAGCATCTGCTGGTGCCTGTCAGTGTGCTCTTCTTCTTTAGTGCCAGACTTCTCTAGAGGCTTACAGGCTTCTAACCCTTTACAGTTTGTTTAATCTATTTTTCAGAACATCAACTGATTATATATATGTGTATGTGTGTGTATATATATGTGTGTGTGTATATGTATATGTAAACAACAAATCATCCACACTTTCTCACTTCTAAAATACTTTCCCCTTCTCTCTCCTGCTGCTTCCCCTGGTGACTTTCCCACCATCCAGGAAACAACAGTTTATCTTTCACCTATCCGGGATTTGGAGGTATAAAAAAAATCAGAAATTGAGATGCTTGTTTTCTTTCATTCTTTTTTTGTTTATTTATTTATGTATTGGTGTTTGCTTCTTCTCCTTTTTTTTTCCAATACTTTCTTTGCATCTGTCCAGTAAAATCACTGAGTATGGCGACATAATAGATGACTACATAAGGTGGGGGAGCGAAAGTAGATCCAGGAAAAAGTAATATTAATATCTTGATCATGTATGCCTTCGCTTTAGTCGATCCTGTTTGATATTTCTGGAAACTGAAAGAATACCTGCTAAAATCTAGGTACACACGCACCTGTGTAATATGTCTCCAA
The DNA here is from genome assembly GCF_000001405.40 of Homo sapiens. NCBI lineage: Eukaryota > Metazoa > Chordata > Mammalia > Primates > Hominidae > Homo > Homo sapiens. The sequence continues at coordinate 97,017,648 of NC_000002.12, forward strand.
ACATCTGTAAAAAAAAAAAAAAAATAGAAAGGGTTTGTGCTTTCTACAAGATGATTCTTCCACTAAGTTCAGTGTGAGATCTGTAGGCAGTTTCTGAAAATATTATTTTCCTGCCATTTTCCCTTCTGGAAAGCATTTTATATTTCTTCTCTAATGAAAAACCTAGTCTATCATATTGTTATGAATTAATGTCCTAGTGAAGTCGGAGTCTTGAAGACATTCTTTACACAAGTGAAGGGAGAAAAGGCCCAGAGAGTCTATCTTCTGCAGTAACCATGAAGAACCTATCCAGTCATCTTCCCTAGGCCCTATTATAAAAGTGAGTGGATGAAAAATAATATTTAGATTCCCCAAACTCCCAGTCTTGCCACGTCTCCAAACAGACCTAATGTAAATGAATTGCTCACTATTTTATAAATGTTCAAAAAGCCAAATATATTATTGACTGTGGATGGGGAATATTTATTAGGGCTGTTACCTTGACCATTCCACAAAGTTTTGTCGCTGGTGGATAAAGTAAGTGGGACCTTTTTTCTGGTAAAATCCCTGGGAGGGGCTATACTCTACCCACAAAGTAGCATGAGTTATGGAAATGTGTTTCTGGAAAGAAGTCGTGGAAATACAGGGAAGAAAGCATTTCAGGAAAGAGGAAGAACACCTGTGCACATGAATGTTCCACATCCTGATACCCCATGGTCAGTCAGTACCTGGATTAGCTCCACATCTGGTTTATGGGACTTTTCCTTCAGCTCCTCATACATTCCTTTTAAAATCTCCCTCTCATGGGCCATTCTGGCATCGCTTTTATGGAGTTGCTAAAAATTGTCTTCGTCCTCCTTTTGAAGCATCTCCAAGTGATGTTGCTGTTCTTCATGGAGAAATGCAGGCATCTTCTGATATTCAGCTCTGATTGCTTCTATCTTTAAATTCACATAATCCTGCAGTAACAACGGGTTAGTCAAAAACAAAACCGACGTACTCATCTCCTATTGAATCTCACTGATTCCTCTTTGTCTCTTGAACATCCCATATTTTAACTCTTAGTCTTGCCAATTCTCAGACTATACGAAATTTTACTCTGTTTTCTTTTCTGCATGAAGATCAACGAACATAGATGTATCTAACCAAATATATTCACTTTATTCGTGATAAAGTGTTTTTTCTAAGATAGTCATAAAGAAGAAAAACAAATTGGATTCCTCTTTTCCAACTCATATTTATAGAAAAGTAAGACAGTTCGGGCTTAATAGTTAGACTCTAGAGCTATATTGACTAGAAAGGGAATAATTATTTTCATTTCTGAAATTTGGGGCAAGTTATTTAAATTCATTATGTGTGAAATAGCCTCAGACTAGCATGCTCAACTCAATGCATTTCACCAAGCAAAACCTATGCTAATAAGGCTTCATTTATGATCTGGCCTTCTTTGTCTCTCTAATCTCATTTCTTTCCATTGTTTTTCATACTGACTTTAACATAAAACATAGACTTCTTTGTGGTTCCTCAGCCCTCAAAATAAACACAAACTCAATATTACTGCACATGTTGTTTTCTTCACCTAGAATTCTCTCTGCCTCTCTTTCTCTCTCTAAGCATACACACACACACACAAACACACACACACACACACACACACACACATTGTGTTTGCCTTCCTCTTCAAGACGTTGTCTCAATATGAATTTTTCATTGAGGCATTTTCTGACCACCCTGTTTAAAACTCAAACTCTCGCCTCCAGTCCATGGCCTCTGTTCTCTTTTTCTAAGACCTTGGTATTTCAAATGAGCTAAGGATTTCTCATTTGAAATTGTCCAGTTGGAAGTCCTCTCTGACAGTTTCCCTTACTTGTGATTCAGAAATCCATCCACAGTCTCCTTTTAAAAGTTACTTTTTGGATTTATAAAAAGTTGCATTCCACAAATGCACTTTTAACTCACCCCTCGATTTTTCTGGACCATCAAAGCATTGCTCATCTGCTGAGAATCACAGGTATCGAAAACCACCTTAGACAGAAAATTCTCCCTTATGCAGGCATTTTTCTGAACCTGGACAACTGTTACTGTTTATTCACCTGGAAAATTTCCATTCATTCTTCAAGACTGAAGCAAACGATTTGATCTTTGATTCTATATGTCCAATAGATAGAGATTTGTGGCAGTTTCCATGTTGTACTGGGATTGTTGCTTTACTAGTGTGTCTGTTACTTCTACTAGATTGTGAGGTCTGGTTGAAAGAACTTCTCCTTTATTGTATCTCTGCCTCCACTCTCATGGCCTGACCTGGATTTTACCATTATAGAAAACTGCTAATCACAAAGTCTGCAATCAGAAAGTCAAGAATCTTGCTTTATAATCAATGTTTCCTTTCTTTTTAGATTGGTTTTTCTGTATATGAGTTTAAATCTGTCTGATTACCTTTGGATCACAGTTTATTACTCTCTGTGGTTCTTGCAATTTGGGGGCTTCATCTTTTTTAACACTTCTCTTACTTCAGATCTTCTAGTGCATAATTTCAAAAATTTAGCACAAAAGGTAAGAAAGCAGAGTGCAGTGGCTCATGCCTGTAATACCAGCCCATTGGGAGGCTGCAGTGGGACGTTTCATGATTCAAGAAGTTTGAGACCAGCCTGGTCAACATTGTGAAACCTCATCATTACAGAAAAAAAAATTTACTCGGGTGTTGTGGCAAGCACCTGTAGTCCCAGCTACTGGGGAGGCTGAGGTGGGAGGATTGCTGGAGCACAGGGTGTTGAGGCTGCAGTTAGCTGGAATGCCCATTTCTGCATGCCAGCCTGGGTGACAGAGGAAGACCCTGTCTCAAAACAGACAGACAAACAAAAAAGTAACAATACAAAATATCTTACTAACGTTTGTAATGTTAATCATGTCGAAAACTATTGGATATATTTGGTTAACAATTTTTATTAAAATTAATTTCAGTTGTTTCTTATTGTTTTATAACGTAACTAGAAAATGTATTCCCACTATGCAGCCATAAAAAATTATTGGATCATGTCTTTTGCAGGGACAGGGAAGGAGCTGGAGGCTATTATCTTTAGCAAACTAACACAGGAACAGAAAACCAAATAGTGCGTGTTCTCACTTAAAAGTGGGAGCTAAATGATGAGAACATATGGACACATAGAGGGGAACAACACACGCTGGGGCCTATAGGAGGGTTGGGGGTTAGAAGACAGAGAGGATCAGGAAAAATAACTAATGGGTGCTAGGCTTGAGACCTGGTTGATAAAATAATCTATACAACAAATCCTGATGACACAAGATTACCCATTTAACAAACCTGCACATGTATTGCTATACTTAAAATAAAGGTTTAAAAAAGTATTTTCTTCTCTTCCTTTACAGTTTCTCTGCAAATGCATGAATTAAAGAAAAGCAATGAATATATTTTTCATGGGATAATATTCAAGATATATAGAAACAAAACTTCTGAGATTTAATTGAAACAATGTTAAGAAGAAAATGTATAGCATTATATTCATCTGTTATTTACCAATAAAGGTCTATCCCAAAGAGCCAGATAAACAAAAGTAAATTCATGCCAAAATCTAAAACAATAAAAAAATTGTAGAATATTGATTAAAAAGCATACAGTAGATAAAATCAATGAAGTCAAAAATAGGATTTTTTTTTTTTTTTTAATTTGAGACAGAATCTCACTCTGTCACCCAGGCTGGAGTGCAGTGGTGCGATCTCGGCTCCTTGCAACCTCTGCCACCCAGGTTCAAGTGATTCTCCTTCCTTAGCCACCCGAGTAGCTGGGATTACAAGCACGTACCATCACGCTTGGCTAATTTTTGTATTTTTAGTAGAGCTGGGGTTTCACCATGTTGGCTGGGCTGGTCTCAAACTCCTAACCTCAAATAATCCACCCACCTCGACCTCCCAAAGTGCTGGGATTACAGGTGTGAGCCACCACACCCACCAAAAGTAGGCTCTTCAAATAGATCAATTAAATTGATAAATTCTTAGTGAGACTCAATTAAAAAATGGAGAAGAGGAGTTCAAATAAAAAATAAATAGGCAAACACTTAGGTCATCCACAAATTAATATGTTAATAAGAAGATTTTAAGATGACTTTTATGCTCATACACTTGATGATTTAGATGAAATGAGAAATTTCCCTGAAAAACATATCTGACAAAAACCAACAGAAGAAACCATAGACAAATCTAAGATACGATTTAGATTCTAAAAATTTACCCTATTATTTAAAAAACAAAACTTCTCCCAGCGAAAAACCTGGTGATCTTTTTCAGTGAAATATTCACAACATTTAAGAAAAAAAATCACACACTTTTAGACAAACCCTTCTAGAAAACAGAAAAAAGCAGTAATACTTCCCAACTTGTAACTTTGCTTTTCTGTTGTGTTTTTCTTTTACTTTTTGTAAACAGCTTCTCTCTCTGTTGCCCAAGCTGAAGTGCAATGGCAAGATCATAGCTCACTGAAGCCCAGAACTTCTAGACTCGAGTGATCCTCCTGTCTTGGCCTCCCAAAGGGCTGTGATGACAGGCTCTAGCTGCTGTGCCAAGCTCCAACATATAATTTTGATATTCGATCCTGATAAGTGTGTTACAAGAAATGCAAATTGCAGTACAGACACTAAAATAAATATAGGTGCAACAATTCAAAAAAGTTAGCTAGCTAATCAAATCTTGTGAGAGATAAACTCATATCATCTCCAAGTGGAGCTTATTCTAGAAAGGTTGACTAATGTAACATCAGAAAATGAAATAAGTAATCACGACATGAACAGGATGAAATACATATCATTGTTCCTGTAAAAAGAGGAAGAAAATATTTGATACAATGAAATGGTCATTTATGATTTTGAAAGCACTATTAAAAACACTTAAATAGCCATAAACTTTCTCTAATAAGAATATAATAACTTAGAGCCAGTACCATATTTAATGGAGAATTTGAAAGATTCTACCCAGGAATGGGAATGAGATATAAATCCTGTTATCATCACTTGTGTTCAACACCTTGCTTGATCTCCTTTTCAATGCAACTAGACAAGAAAAAGAAGTAAATAATGTGAGGGTTGAATAGAAATAAAGATATCATAATTGCATTATCAGCAAAACGTGACAGTTCAGTTAAAAAATAAATCTCTAAACCATTAGATATATTCATGAATTGAAAAACAAATTGAATCATGCATGCTTCTAAGACAATAATTAAAAGTGAGAATAAGCCAGATGCATTGGCTGACACCTATAATCCCAGCACATATATATATATATATATATATATATATATATATATATATATATACACACACACACACACACACAAACACACACACACAATTACTGTGAATATACAACTACTATATTATATAAAAATATGCCTAACACACCCATACACCCCACACCCACACACAAGGCTTTGAGAAGGGCACTTTGTTCTGGGAAGGAGGCTTATGAGCAGTGAGTTTGGGAATCAAACCCAGGCAATTTAACTTCAAGACATTACTCTTAACCATGATACCATATTACTCTCAGCTGACTTTTTCATAGTGGGTGATAATACTCAGTAGCCTCACGGCAATTCCAGGAAATGTAAGCACTCAAGAATTATTTTGAAATCTGCAGGAAATGTTGCTTGCTGTCTTCTTTATCCCTTGTTCTCTACAACTTTGCTTTTCCTCACCAAGGGTTATTTTTCTGACACATTTATGGGTGCATTCCGTTAAAGAAAGAGTTTTACTTGGTGTCAGGCACTGACAGAAGCTCTCTTTCTCCATATATGCCTGAACTTGACTGTCCTCCTTCTGTTCCAATTATTTAACCCTGAGTACCTTTTATCCTTTTAGATGTCACAAGGATGTGACTGAGCAGTTTCAAGGGCACCAACTTTTGCTTTCTCCTCCTCCCTTAGAATCCTGCATCTGCATTGCTGGTCTCAGACAGAACAGGCAACCCCTATTTCCCATTCTGGGATATTTTAATGATCAACTCTTCTTATGTTGTGAATTTGAAGGGCATGGACAGATCACTGGAAAGCGGACAGACAGGGACCTGTGTTCTGAGAACTGGGCCAGAAGACTGACAGAGGGGCAGAAGAATTTCAGAGTGATTCTGGCAGGCATCATGGTTCAGTAAGGGCCAGAGGAGTGGAACATATGGGCACAGTTTGAGAGGACTGAGACAAGACAGGGCCTATCTCTTTTGCAGCAGACTGTTAATAGATATTATATTTTAGTAAACAGAGGACATTTCTCTGAGTCATCATCAAAAACTTTCACAGTCTGGAAGAATGAATAGTCACAGGACCGAGCCTCACCTTCCCTTCTGAGTATGAGAGGCTACAAGGCAGTGAGAATGGAACAGCTTTTATCTGAGGTTAAAGCCAGTGTCTCTCTCTTCAGCCCACACTTACTGGTAAGGTCCAGTGGATGACTCAGCTACAGGTTTCTGAATTTCTGGCTTTTGAGGGAAAGACTTTGTCACCTTCTATGCTGAAGGTATTCTACGTACTATGAACTCCAGTCAGTGGCTCTTAACATCAAGAAATCTTGGGAAGTACAAGGCATTCAGAAGGCCTACATGAATAGTTTGCAGCCGCGTATAGACATCAGAAGGCGGTTCCTGACAAGGATGCCCTGACCTTTTTCATCTCACTGACGTAGAATTACTGTGTCTGTCCCTGGTCATCTTGAAGGAGATGGACCACCCCTTCCCCCCCTCTACTCCAGTGTCATGTGCATCTTCCTCAGTGATTTTGCTGTGCTGTGTTCATAATGATTGTCCAGTTGATGCCAAATCTTGAAGAAAATTTCCAAAAGAATATTTACCTGGTCAATTGTCAATTGCCCTTTTCCAGGAATCTGGAACTTGAATGGTGTTTCTATAAGGGGCTCGTTGGATCTCATGTTTTACAGGACCCCCAGTCTCTGGATATAGATCCTCAGTGTCCACTTCTTAGGAAGAGTAGGTGTAGTAGGTTATATTCCTCCCCCACTCTCTCTAAAAGAGTGCTAAAATATATATTCCATCCCACATTGTTTTTCTATGATGTAACTTCACGACTGCTACTGCTGTGTGTGTGTTCTAGTCCCTTTACTTTGGGTAGGGTTGTGACTACAGCTGATGTTTTACTCTCTGGAATAATGGTAGTATACAATTCTCCTGACTGTATGGGAATCTTCAGTGTGGAAAGTTATCTACCATGCTGTGAGCAAGCCCAAGCGGCTACCTGGAGAGGCCGTTTGAATATATTCTAGGTAACAACTCCAAGCAAGGAACCTCAGACATCAGCCAGGATCATCTGCTGGACTGGAAGTAGAATGTTTCCATTATTTAATCAGTGATCATGAAAATGACCATTTGGTGGGTAGACGGACTCAATGGACTCACTATAAACAGGGTTTTCATCAGAACTGGGTTTTGTTTGTTTTGTTTTTTGCTTTGATTTAATTTAGTTAGTTTATTTTTTATTTATTTTTTTACCTGATACTAATATGTTTCCAATGTAACATGAGGTGATGGTTATGTCTGGTCTCTAGGTTGTCAATGAGAATTCACAGTCTGTGTGAATTGGAAATATAAACACGTTTTAAAGCAGACAGTCTGCACATCTATTATTCCCTGGATGATGCTGTTTGCTTTATTAAACAGCTGCAGAATTCAATGTGGGTTAAACCCTTTTGGTTCTTGCTCAGACATCGCTAGCAAATTCTCAGAAAAGCAATAGGCTGTACCATTAGCCTATGTCTGTAGATGAATATACTATCTAGGTTTTTGTAGTGTGTTCTGATGTTCACACAATGATGAAATCGCCTAACAATGCATTTCTCAGAATGTATTTTGTTGCCATAGGATGCATGACTGTTAAATTCCTGTTCTAGCCCAAAGATTCTGTGAAAACTTCTGTGTAAAATAAATTTTTCCCCCCAAAGTGATGAGGTGTAGAATTTACTGTATTAATAGGAGGGAACTCTCACACTTACAAGTGCATTGTACAAAACCCCGTCTGCCCATGATGTACAAAAGTTGTTCCTGAATGAGATCATTAAGTTGGAATCACACACCCACATATTTCCAGAATTCCATCCAATAAATTCACAAACACTTGAAAATCACAATACGTATTTTAGGTAATGGGCCATAAGGGATTATTTTAATTGTAAGAAAATGTACAAAAAATTTGCTTTTTACAAATTTTCTATTTAATAGCAATAAAATGAAGTGACACTAAAGTACAAAAAAGCCTGAACAGTATGATTTCTTTGTATCAACAGTGAAGGGCTCCCTTGTATATGGAGTTCCCAAACAGTAAGTTTTCTTAATCCTGATCATCTGTGGCCAGTGTAAAAGAAAGGCCTGACAGGAAAAGTTAAGGAGCCAGCTGGGTAACTCCATATGAGGGAACTCTTGGTGACATTCAAAAAACTCACACTTCCACTTTCAAAATCAAGAAACACACCAACCCGGCCCAGAGGTTTCTCTATATAGTGAGGAAACTCTGGGGAGGTGGTCAAGAGACTGAAATGATTATCCACCTTCAGACACAAAAGAAGAAATATGTCCTCAGAGTTAACCATTGTGCTATTCTTCCTTATCCAGGAGTCGTTACAGACTCCCAGAGCCCAGTCACAAGAGTTGTCCACATCCAGCTCCCAGTAGTGTTTCCCAAAGGAGAAGACCCTGGCTCCCCATGCAGCAAAATAGTCAGATCTGTCAGAATTCAAAGGTCCACGTCTAAACATCCAACTTCTCACATCCTCAAAGAGCCTGATATTGTGATTGGTTACTTCACAATGGAAGGAAATTTCCACTGTAGAAAAAAGAGAATATTCCAGTGAAAAGCAGTTTACAAATTCTTATGTTCAGATAAGAAAGAGATTCTCACTAGAAAACACAGGTCAAGATTAGAAAGAAACTTCTGTCTGGAAAAATGTTGGAATCAAAGGGTGTTAGGAGATCTGCACAAGTAAATGGCTAAACTAGGATGATCACAATTTCCATAAACTCAAAAAGTATAAAGGGGAGGAAGGTCATGTCTATGTCTCGTTAGCGACCTTTCATAACAACTGAAAAACTGGAAGCTCCTGCACTGCAGCCAAGTCCATAGCAATAAAATTAACCTTCATTGTCTCTTCTCTGTCAGGGCAGAGCAGGAGGCTTTGGACAGGAGATGAGGTGGGCAGCCATTCTTAGTCCCAAATAAAAAAGTTATCACTTTCCAGAAATATTATGATCTGCCACTTAACCTAGCAAATTCATACTTAAAGAGAAAATCTGAATCTGCCTTCTGAAAAGTGCAGATTCCTTGCAAGAATTATCTGACTTTCATGCCAGATTCAGGCACAGACTTCTTTTATTCTGCTGGATTTGTCATGATCTATCCTGGAGTTCTATCTAAGACCTCGTCAACCACCAAATCCTGTTCCTATTGTTGACAGATTCTCAGTTTTTGCATTGTTATATAAGTTACTCATGTATGCTTTAGTTGATTAAAAACATGATTAAAATTATAAATGCTATGAAACTTCACCTAAAAATGTATTTAAAAAAAACACTGTCACTCAAATCAGTCGTTAACTGCACTGAATTTGAAATTGAAATGTCCTGAATTCAGTTCTGTATACTTCATGTAATAATTGTATACATGAAATTGTATCAGAGAATGGTTCCTAAAGTCCTAAAGAGCCCTTCTGCATGTTTTATTTTTCTAAGAAATTTGTTATATGGCTGATTCCTATTACATTTCACCAGCTTTTATTTTGTTTTGTCTGTTTGATGATAGTGAAACTATAAATACCTATTCACAGGCTATTCTCTTCTTCTAGATGAAAGATCATTACACTGGGAAAGCTGCCCATAGAAAACCATAATTGAAGGCATTGCATGGGGATCCCACCAACAGGGCCACACTCACCTCGGAAGCGGTTGAGCCTGTACACCAGTCCAGTGATGGGCCCTGCTGTGAGCTCTGGATTCACAGGCTGGGGCATGTGCAGCAGCACGGGCTCACTCCTGCAAGGAAGTAGGTTGAGTTGGTTAACTTTCTGATGTCTGTGTTTAAGAAACAGATTACAATAGAAAATGCTTCATTCAAGCTCACTTCTGATACCGTAATGTACCTCCACAACGCTAGGTTGGGTTTGTGGCTCTTAGGGAATCTTTCTAACTATTCACTCCATTTCTAACCTACTGCCACTGAAAGATAAATGCCTCTCTCCCTATCTGCCACCAAATAGTTTATCTCTAATTATGATTCTGAATCGCAAAAAGAGGCAACTGTATTCTAGCAACCTCTGCATTGCACTCTTCAAAACATAAACCCCTGAGTCACCTGGGAAAGTAAGAAAAGATTAATATCTGATAAAAGGCATAGGTGACATTCATCATACCACATAAACACATGAGTACACACACATACACACACAATCACACTGACACATTATGGTGTTAGTAAATTATGTTTTCACTTTGTTGGAAACAGCTTGATGTTTTTCATAGCATGCCTTGTGCTCCAGTTTGCACTGGTGGCCAAAAACATACCTTGCCACGATGTCTCCCAAATCCTGTAGAGAGAGAGAGAGAAAAAAAAAATGACTTCTTTAGAAAGTTGTTATTCTTGTTGGGTGAGGTGGTTCACACCTGTAATCCCAGCACTTTGGGAGGCCAAGGTGGGTGGAACACCTGAGGTCAGGAGTTCCAGACTAGCCTGGACAACATGGCAAATCCCATTTCTACTAAAAATACACACACACACACAAATAGTGGGGTGTGGTGGTGCATGCCTTTAGTCCCAGCTACTAGGGAGGCTGAGGCAGGAGAATTGCTTGAACCAAGGAGGCAGAAGTTGCAGTGAGCTGAGATTGGGCCACTGGACTTCTGTCTGGGTGACAGAAGAAGACTCTGTCTCAAAATAAACACACAAAAAAGTTGTTATTCTGCCTATCTGGTCTTCAGGTTTTGAAAACTTTAGAATTACCACATACTATCACTGCAACTATTTTAAAATGTATTCTTATCTCTAACAATTATACCAGTAAGACCTATTGACAATATGGATTTCTGATAAATTAAGGACCCTAAATTTGAGTGAGAGAGAAAGGTGTGAGTAGTGACTGCGCATTGCTGCAGCTGTCTACAACGTGGTCTTTTTCAGGGCTAGTCCCCAAAGTGTAATGTGGCTCAAATCAAGAGCATTTCAAACCTAGGACTTCCCAAAAGGAGGAAGAAGGAAATGTCAGTTTTTCCATAATTTCTATGTATTATCCATTGGAGTTAAAAATAGAATTTTCACATGAAATTTTTTCTTCCAGAGTTTTAATGAAATGCGCTGGAGGAGGAAGCTTGTGGTAGAAAATGTTGTATGGAAAGCTAGTTGCACAATTCCATAAAGCTTTATTTCCATTATATAGGGTAGGAGTTATAGTTTATCTCTATAACCGGTGGGAATGACTCTCATCGTCAGTGCAGGAAACGAAGAAATAATGTCTTTGGTACCCAATGGAAGGCAAAGATGTAAAGGTCAGCTAACACAAAGTGTCTCAAGGGGCATCCTCCGTTCTTACCTGGAGCAGCTCCACATCTGGTTTATGACACATTTCCATTAGTTCCTGATACATTTCTTTTAAGTGTTTACTCTTTTGATCCATTTTGACCCAGCTTCTCTGGAGTTGCTGAAAAATCTCTTGGTATTCCTTGTTCAGTCTCTCTAAATGTTGTTTTTCTTCCTTATGGAGAACCGGATGCAGCTTCCTATACTCATTCCTGATCATCTGTGCCCGTAAAACCACATCGCCCTGTAGGGATATGAATTTTGTAGGTTATATACCCAGGCCTACTTCCACATCACAGAACCCACAACTTCATCCTCCTCATTCCTTCTTTTATTTTCCATCCTTTACAAACAGGATGATGAGTTAAGCAAGACCTTCCTTCAAAATTTGTGTAATTCATCAATTCCCAAACATCTGCAAAAAAGCCCTTTGGATTTAAATGTTTAAATCTATGTCCTCTCAAATCGGAAATACCATTAGAAAACAACTAAAATTTATGATTGATTGTTCAGTTGTCATGGATAATACACATAATCTTTGTTACTCAATTAGGTTGTTGTTTCAAATCTCTGTACTTCACAGCCTGAACAATCACTCTTAGTAGAAATGTTTTTAGTATATTATAATCAGGATCAGAAGCCATCACACAAAAAAGATCTTAGTAAAAAATTTAACCCCCATCTCTCAAACCGACTACCTCTTTTCTGTCTCCTGTCTTTCTTCTGTCAAATCCATAGACTCTGTATTGCACTGCCATTCTAAGAACATTAATCCCCATTCCATTGTGTTTCTCCTCTCAATAATGACATATTTATCCTCTCACTGCCCCAGTCATTTTTTATCCCTTCTCCTCAGCTTTTCCTCACGTTGCATTTTCTCCTACTTGGACTGGCATCATGTGGGTCCTTTGCTATCAGATTTCACCAGCACAGGCACATTTCTTAAATTACTGTTCCCACCCGATTTCTTCCCCCTGGACAATATCATATTCACCAATAAATGCCTTTATTTCTCAATTATATACTATTTAATCAACATTTCATAATTAATTTTATACAGAAAACTCTGTCTGAAATACTTATTAATTTTAAGCACATACTTGCCCTTCAGAATTTATATTTATTTTTTACTTATCTGAAAAGCATTTACAGAAAACCTGAACAATCATTATATTGAACAGTCTGGTTGTTTTCCAGCCTATGAATAAACACATGACAAAATCTGGCATATGAGAATTTCAACTCAAGTTGCTAATATAAATGTTGTCAGCATGCCTGTCTCAAGCTGGTCAGGAGGACTCACGGTCTCATACTCACCCTCCAGAGGAAGGCTGTTCTTCTCTCCTCATATAGATTTCTCTGATTTTCTTGAATCTTTTTCCATAAAATCCTCATTTGCTTTAAGAGTTTCTCCTGCAAAAGAATTACAAGGTTGAACAACAGAAAGTCAAATACCAAAGATTCCACAATCTGAGTGGTATACACAGGCAAGGGATCTAATATATAAATACATTAGTGAGAGGAGAAAAAACCAAAATTTTTCATTGCTCATCCTTAATTGATATTTTTCAGTTTGAGGTTTCAGAATGTAGAACAGTTTAGGGAACTGAAGAATGAAGATTTCCTGTAACCCAGCTAAATTAGTTCAGGGAAACATCCTGCTTCAGAATCCACTATGCTAGCCCCTGATTTTGTAGCGTGCTACTCCCATACTCATTTGTCCAGTAATATTAAATATATTTCCAAAATACATTTCTTTGCACTGGTAGCTTTGGTAGCTTTTCAATGTCATTAGCATTGAACTGTAGAGTCAATAATAATGACATTTACTTAATCAGTCTCTTTTTGGGTGCAAGCTCCATGAAGGAAGGTAGAGTTGCACATTTTATTCAAAATGTCATCATTGGTACCTAGAACAGCACCTGGCACTCAGTAAAGAATGGAGTAATCACCGTGATTCTCATCATCCTTCTAATCTCTTTAACTCTGCCACCCTCCAGCTTTCAGGTGATCACAGAGCTATCTCTTACCCGGTGTTCCTCAGCTGCCTCTTCGATGGGATAGTGTTTGTGAGCCCCGTGCTCCTGAGAGTTGGAGCACAGCAAGCAGAGGAGACTCTTGTCCATGTCACAGAACATCTTCTTTGTTTGCCTATGGGTCCCACATATTTGTTTCTCAGAGCTCAGGAATTGCCAGAGACTGGCTTTTCTGGCAATGGTCACTAAATTCTTCAGAAGAATATTGGTTTTGAAGTCCTTTTTCTGTGATGGTTCCCTGCATGCACGGCAGTTGGCAGGACTTTGGGCTTCCTCCCAGGAAAGGCAGAGAGGGCCTGCAGAAGCTGTGCCCACAGCAGATGGTGACAGGGTCTACCAGGTAGTTCAAACAGATGACACAGGCGAGTTCCTTCTGGAAGGCATGTGAGAAGTCTGAGTCCATTTTCCTAAGGAAAGAAAACCACAAGAATTTAATCTTCTACCCTGGAGAGACAAAGATCCAAACAAAGTTTGAATCGGATTGTGATAGAATAATATCCTTTCTTTCTAGAGAAGTATAGGCTTTAATTTGCAATGACAGAAATAGGAAAAATAGAAAACTAAGGCACAAAGAGACATCAACCTCTAGAAAAAGTGACTGTTCTCCAATTAACACATGACCAGCTTTCCAAACTCTACTTTCTTGCATGGAAGAATGTTGGATTTTTTGAGGTGTTAGTATCCACCAAATTGCTTGGGCTTCAAGGGTTTCATCAACCTGTAAACTCAAGGTTTGAGTCTTGAATGGTCTGAAAGTCAGTAACACTCTTAATTGCCAGTGATTGGTTTAGAGAAGGAAAGCTAACTAAGCTCTTCTACTCTCATTATTTTATTTAACTATAACAACCATCCATAATGACTTTTCCAGAAGGACATTGCTTGAAATTGTTAGAGCAGAACTCATACTTTGACCCAAATCAGAAAAAGCTAGCCTTTACTCTCCAAGGAAAAACAGTCAAATCAAGGTAAGGTACCTCTCCAAGGTAAAGCTAAGAATCATTGTTTTTCTAGGCTGCTATGTTAATTTAATCAACAAAAACTTTCTGGCATGTTTACTGTTCCTGGACAGTCTGTTAATTTGGGGATATACTGGTTAATATTACAACATCCTTAAAAGACAGACAATTAATTAAATTTACAAAAAGATAATGATAATTGAAGCATTATCATTACTCTTTCACACAATCAGGAAAAGAGTAAGTATCATGCAATAGAGGCCGGGCACGGTGGCTCACGCCTGTAATCCGAGCACTTTGGGAGGCCGAGGTGGCTGAGGCGGGCAGATCACGATGTCACGAGATCAAGACCATCCTGGCTAACATGGTGAATCCCTATCTCTACTAAAAAATACAAAAAATTAGCCGACTGTGGTGGCAGACGCCTGTAGTCCCAGCTACTCTGGAGGCGGAGGCTGGAGAATGGCGTGAACCCGGCAGGCGGAGCTTGCAGTGAGCCGAGATAGTGCCACAGCACTCCAGTCTGGGTAACAGAGCAAGACTCTGTCTCCCCCCAAAAACAAAAACAAAAACAAAAACTAGGCACTAGACAGTAAGTCAGCGTTTTAAATGTATGTTTTGCTAAAATACAAATAAAAATAAAAACCAAGCCAGGGAAGGTGATTCAAGCCTGTAATCCCAGCATTTTGGGAGGCCAAGTCAGGCAGGTTTTTTGAGCTCAGGAACTCTAGACTGGTGACACGGCAAAGTGTCTAGATCATCCTGTCTCTAAAAATACTTATATAAATTTAAAAAAAAAAGGCCGGGCGCGGTGGCTCAGGCCTGTAATCCCAACACTTTCAGAGGCCGAGGTGAACGGATCACAAGATCAAGAGATGGAGACCATCCTGGCCAACATAATGAAATCCCGTCTCTACTAAAAAAAATACAAAAATTAGCTGGGCGTGGTGGTGGGCACCTATATTTCCAGCTACTCTGGAGGCCGAGGCTGAAGAATCGTTTGAACCTGGAAGGCGGAGGTTGCAGTGAGCCAAGAGCGCCGCTGCACTCCAGCCTGGCAATAGAGCGTGATTCCATCTCAAAATAAATAAACAAACAAATAAATAAATAGCTGAACATGGTGGCCCATGTTTAATCCATAAACCTATGGATTATGTTTAAAATAATTTTAAAAAAGAAATGGAGCCGTTTTTAAAACTCAGAAAATGAGATCATTTCATCTAAAAATAATCTAAGCTTGCAGATAAATTAAAGTCCCCAAATTTTGTTTTGGTTTGTAACCTAATAGTAGCTCCTACTCTGGAAATTGTGTACTTACCTCAGAAATATATCTATGTTCTCACCAAAGCTTGCTGTCGAATCAGATGAATTCAGCTCAGGGATGAGAGTCTCACAGTGCAGTGCTGGTAGCTTTCGGAAGTCCCCAAAGCCAGTTGCAAAGCTACTCTGTGGGCTCTGGAGAAGAATGAGCTTGGCTCCTGAAGTGTCGGTTTATAAATCTCTGAAGACCACACCCCTTTCTTCCAATTGATTGCATTTCACAGGGCGTAGGTGGGTGTTAACATAGATGATTAAGTTTCTTCAAAACAGAAGTTTTACGTTTATTTATTTATTTATTTTTTGAAAGGAGTCTGGCTCTGTCGCTGGCTAGTTTTTTTCTTGCATTTTTAGTAGAGGGGGGTTTGATATAATTGATATAATAGGAATTGCAAATAGAGAAGCCCACACAAGCTAACCAAATTAATTCTAGTTTATTGGATAAATGGCATGATATGTATTCTAGTTCAAATTTGAAGGTGGGTATAAATCTTTTCAGACACTGGAGATGAGACATTTCACCAAAATTGGGTGTGAGGAAGAGGAAAGAAATAGAATAGTATATAAAATAGTATATAGAGTAAAAATATAGTAAAAGGAAAAATCAATCTGCATAATATGGTGTATGGCTAAATGGTTTTTAACATTTAGGCGAATCAGACATGGAAAAATCCTAAAAGGGAGATTAATAGAGGAGATAATTGACTCAGTAAGAACTGTGAAGAAGCATCTCAGGAAGAGAAACTAGAAGTCTTTATATAGGTTTTGATTTAAAGAGGGAGAGAGAATAGGAACATTGAAAAAGATGGACAGAAAGAAATAACAAATATTCAAGACTCCTTGCAAGAGTGAGGCAGAAAGTTTATAGATTGCTTGATTACACCCAGCATATAATTATTTGAAGTTTTCTGTTGAGAGTGAGAGTATGTAATCCTTTTAACCAAATGTCTCCGCAGAACTATGTGTCATTAAGTAAGGTGATAATCAATATTCAATATCAAAAGATGCGTCTATTTCTCGATGAGGAGAAGCAACTGCATCTGCAGGCACTGGACAGAGAAGCAAAAGGGCTTTTCCAACAACTACAAGACAGTCAAGTGAGAATGACCCAACATTTAGAAAGGATGAAAGACATGTACAGAGAGCTGTGGGAGACGTGCCACATGCCTGACGTGGAGCTGCTCCAGGTGAGGAGGGAGGGTCCATCCCCAAAGAAAGGAAGCCTTTGCTGGACAATGCTGCCAGGACATGCGAATGTCACCTGCATATGTCACTGCTCTCAGCTTAGTGACACATGCTGTCTGACTCCCACATTACATTTGTCCAGTTTTTCAGAAAAAAGCTACAAAAGAAGCTTATTAGAGGGGAATATTCCCTGTGGTCAGTGTTTGATAAAGGGGAATATAAAATTACATCCACTCAAAGATTCCAAAAAAGCTTGCTTGTTCATGGTTAGGATAAGAATTACATTTCACCTATGTTATTTCTATTTGGAAAAGTTCCTCCCTCTTAGAAGCAGGAGATACATATATGATATATATTATATATATATATATATATATATATATATATATATATATATGGTACATATATATGTATACACACATACATATATATACACCCCCCCACACACACATATCTATGGTGTTGAATAAATAATATCACCTAAGCCAGGGGTGTGCAATCTTTTGGCTTCCCTGGGCCTCATTAGAAAAAGCATTGTCTTGGGCCACACATGAAATACACTAAGATTAACTATAGCTGGTGAGCTTTAATAAAATGACAAACAAAAATCTCATCATGTTTCAAGAAAGGTTAGGAATTTGTGTTGGGCCACATTCAAAGCCGTCCTTGGCCGTATGTGGCCCACGGACCGTGGGTTGGGCAAGCTTGTTGTAAGGTATGAACTTCAAATACTACAAAAATTTTTAAGGCATATTATTGGTTCTTTCCTGGAGCAGCTCCACATCTAGTTTATGGCACATTTTTATCAGCTCCTTATAGATTTTTCTTAGGTGTTTTTTTTTTTTTTCTGAACCATTTTGTCTTTTTGCTTTTCTTAAGTTGCTGTAAAATCTTTCTGTCATCATCTGTAAGTTTCTCTAAATGTTGTTTTACTTCTCATGGGGAACTGAATGCAGCTTCCTCTACTCAGCTCTAGTCATCTCTGCCCGTAGCTACACATAGCACTGCGGGGACCTGGATTTCCTAGATGACATATTTACTCTGAATTCATCCTCCTCCACTTATACCTCTTCTATTCACTTTGACTCATTTTCTTTTCTTTATCTCTTTCATCCTTTCTTTATAATAAAGATCAGGGTCTCACTATGTTGATGGCCAGGCTGGTTGGAAACTCCTGGTCTCAAGTGGTCTTCCCAAATTATTGGGATTACAGACATGAACCACCGAGCCTATCCTGACTCATGTATTCTACCAATAAGCTAAGTACATAAACTCGTGTCTTCCCACTTGACAGAACCATGAAATAAATCATTCCTGTCTTCCTTTCATTTATTTGTATTGTTTCTTAATAATACTGACAGCCAAATTCATTCTTTCCTCAAACCACTTTCATTCATTATATGACTTCCTAAAACACCTGAAGAAAGGTTATTATTGATCGTTTCTTCAATATATATCCATTGATATCTGAAAGCCTACATGAGAGCCATTGGAATTTATGGTTGATTCACAAATAATTTTTTGCAGTATTATGATCTCTGTGTTTTTAAATTAGTTTTTAGTACCAGGTCTTCCTACTCCATAGCCTGACCACTCTCTCTGAGCAGTAATCAATGCTGCATTGTACCCTCAGGATTGGAAGCCATGAGAAAAATCTTCCTCAAATCCTACCAAGATGATTTCCATTCAAGTGATAAGTGGATACATTTCTAGCATGTCTGTCTGAGGCTAAATCTGAGGGAAAAGGCCTAATACTTACAATCCACTGGTTGGTTTTCCTGCTTTCCTCATTTAAATTTCTTTGGTTTTCTTGAATTTTTGCCCACAAACGTCTCATTTGCTTCATAATCTTCTCCTGTAAAAGAACTATGAATGTGAACATCAGAGAAGCAAATCATTTTAGGTTTCAGACCCTCAGTGATAAAGAAATCAAGGGATGAGATATGAGAGAGATTTGGGAAGATCTCGGACTGTAGAACCACAACGTGTAACGCAGCAAGTTTAATAGGAAAATCATAGGCAGGGCTAATTTACAGATAATGTGGCACCTTGCATCAGAATTGGAATCTACTGACACCGTGCCTTGCTAATTCTAGCGTGTTTTATTCTATTATTTCCAGTGTTGGTAAATAGGTTTCTTATAGAAAAGACTTTTTAACTTGTAGTTTGGATAGCCAGAAACTCTTCTGATATTGAGCTCTTTACAGTGCCTTGAACACTGCATCAAGTAGTCAAATTATTACAATGATTATTAACTTCATCACTCCCTCAGTGAAATGTAAGCTCCAGGAGGGAAAGTACACTCAGATTATATTTATTATTTTATCATTGATACCTAGGCACTACATGACATCCAGTACAGAACAGATTACTCGTCATGCTCTTCATCTTCCCCTAATCTCTTTACCTGTGCCATCCTCCAGCTTTCAAAGTGCTCTCAGAGCCATCACTTACCCAGTGTTCCTTAGCTGCCCCTCACAGTGTGTGTGAGCCCCATGCTCCTGAGAGTTCCAGCACAGCAAATGAATCAGGCTGTTTTTCCACCTCTCCAAATATCTTCTTTGTCTCCCCATGGGTTCCATACATTTGCTCATTAGGACTCAGGAATTGCCAGAGACTGGCTTTTCTGGCAATGGACACTAGATTCTTCAGAAGAATATTGGTTTTGAAGTCCTCCTGCTGTGACAGTTCCCAGCATGTGGGCAGCAGGTAGGAATTTTGGTTTCTTCCTAGGAAAGGCAGAGACAGGGCCTACAGAAGCTGGGGCTGCAGCCTGTGGCGATGGGGTCTACACATTAGTTCAGACAGAAGAGGCAGATGGGTTCTTTCCGGAAGGCTTGTGTGATGTCTCAGACCACTTTCCTGAAGGAAGGAAATTAGGAAAGGTATGATACAAACTTCTTCATCTTATGCCCTGAGAAACAAAGACCAAAGCAAAATTTGACTCAGGTTGTGACTCAATGATAAACTTCTGTCTAGAGTAGAATAGGCGTTATTTTGCATAAGACAAAAATAGAACCTGAGGCACAAAGAGAGCTCTCAGATCTGTAGGTAAAATTGTCAGATGCATGCATAACTCACAGGGCACTACATCCTACCCTTTTCTTTTGCATAGAAAAATGAACCTCAGAGAGGCCAGATATAGTGGCTCACACCTGTAATCCCAGCACTTTGGGATGCCAAGGCTGGTAGATCAGGTTGGAGACCAGCCCAGCCAATATGGGGAAACCCCATCTCTACTAAAAATACAAAAACCAGCCAGGAGTAGTGGCACATGCCTGTAATCCCAGTCACTCAGGGGACTGGGCAGAAGAATCGCTTGAACCCTGAGGTTGCAGTCAACTGAGATTGAGCCACTGCTCTTCAGCCTGGGCAATAAAACAATACCTGTCACAAAAAGAGAGGAAAAGAAGGAAGGAAGGAAGGAGAAAAGAAAAGAAAGAAAAGAAGAAAAGAAACCTCAATTTTGTTGAGTTTTGACTTTACTCCAAAAAGCTTGAGGTTTAAGAGTATGAAATTAGGACCAATTTATACCATTAGACGATGGGTCCTGAATACTCTGAAAACCATTCTTAATGCTTATTGTGATTGGTTTAGGAAAGATCGATTTAGTACAAAAGAAAAAAAAGTGATTGGTTTAGGAAACTGTATTTCACTGAGATTTTACTCTCATTATTTCATTTTGATGTCATAATTTTCTCCTTTAAAGTACTTAGAAAAATCTCAATCACAAGCCACCACTGCAAAATAATTTCTAAATAAATAAGCAATATTTATTTACTGAACATTTGTTGAAATTTCATCAGATCAGGTTTCACCCAAAATTTGATCAGATTTCACCCAAAAATGCTAAAGAGGCATTTGGTATACTCTAAAACACAATATTACCCTCAAATTATTCAACATATTACCTAAGTTGTATATTATAGAATATTTTGTCTTGTGCATATATTTATGTGCCACCTTTAGAATTGAAGGTAATACATTTATACACAACATATGGAATAAAATATTCTCAATAAAATTTAAGATATACAACAAGTATAAAATTGCAAGATATCTGAAAACTATTTTCTGAGTTCTTAGAATACATAGGAACAACTAATGAATACATAAATGATACAAGTAAAATTAATCTTCACTGTAGTTCACAAGTATGTAGGAAGACAGGATAACAAAATAAGAGTAAAAACATTTTTACTAATTAAGCAAATGACATCATTTCATAGAAACAAGCTCAGTTTGTTGAAAAATTCAACGTAGGGCAGTCTGTTTTGGACTGGAAAACTAGCAGGAACTCCTCCTCCGTTAGCTGTGTTCTCACCCTAGAAATATACTTATAGTCTCACTGATACTTGCTGTAGAAGTAATAATATAAAGTCTGATCAGGGATCAGGGCCTCGCCATATAGTGGCAGTAGCTTTCAGACATCTTCACAGCCAGTTCCAAAGCCACTCTGTGTGTCCCAGAGAAGAATGAGCTTGGCTCCTTGTACCTCTTTATCTTGACTCTCTGAAAAATCACACTCATTTTGAAAAGGCTGTACATTTCTTGGAGTTTAGGATAGCCCTTAGGGTTCTTGATTAGATTTCACCACAAGAGAGGAAATGATTGATTCAACACCTTGGCTAATCTCCATAAACACACTTTAAACTTCCTCTCATCAAGAACCTCTGAGTTTATAACAAATGAACCCTCAAATACCAAATTTGTGGATAATTTTTGGAGTATTTTAATATTTTACTCATCAAAAGATGGGAAAGAGGATACCATCAATTTATGATTTTAATAAATGTCTTCAAAAGTCTGGAATTTTTTTCTCATTTTTCTTTTTTTTTCTTATGTTTTTGGAAATGTTTTGCCTGAAGTTGGCTTTAATTCTAATAGTCACTGAGCTAGACTGGAAATGCACTTTGCTGTTGCTTTTAAGACTTGATCTCTGGTTTTAATGTATTAATGTATTACTGTCAATTCATATATTATATATATATTTTCTGGCTCTGTAGCCCAGGCTGGAGTGTGGTGGTGGAATCACAGCTCACTGCAGCCTTAAACTGCTGGGCTCAAGTGATCGTTTTGCCTCATTATCTCAAAGAGCTGAAATTACCGACGTGAGCCGCTGCACCCGGCCTATTAATTTATGTTTTTAATAAAAGCATAAGAATTATCCTTATTATAAATTAAGAAATAGAATATCTTTAAGAAAATATTTTTAAGGAAATATAATATCTTTAAGGAAAAATGAAATCTCCAGTAGCTATAGACTGCTATGAAAACCACCGTTACAATAGCAATTTTGTGTATGTCTATATAACACATACATATGTAAATACATTTAATATATACACGAATTTTTTCACATTTTCCAGTCATTGAAGAATAAAAATTATAATTTATATTAATAAAAAGTGAAATAAGTAAAATTTGCTGTTTAGTGAAAACTTTGCTTAGCAACTTAAATGAAGCTGCAGAAAATGTGACTTGGATAATAGATGTAAAAAAATGTCATGAGGGCTTCACAGATGGACAATTAGAGGTAAACTAGGGAGTAATAGTGACATATGGAGGATGGGAGTATCACGTATGTCCTTTATAAACAGCATCATGTGTGATTGACTGTAGCACAAAGGGGAACTAAGTAGAGAAGATGAGGAGAGTACATATTCAAGGATATAATGTTTGATTTGATAGTTTTTTCAGAGTAAACAAATACATTATTGAATTCAGGAAGCCAAACAATCCCCATTTTGGATGTGTAAAACATAAATTTACTTTGTTTTGAATGTGCAAAACAATATATTTTGGCTGATTTTTAGTATTTCTCTGTCTTTGGTGGCCGATTCATTATGATATTTTAAGTTTGAAACCACCACCAAAGATGAAGAATCTCTTAAAAGCAACCAAAATAAACTGTTTCATTGTGAGGGAACACTTAATAGAGTGACAACAGACTGCTCCACAATCATAAATCATAAATGTAAGTATAAGACAGTGGACTAATATTTGTAAAGTGTCAAAAAATGTAACTGCAACCTTGTAAATGCAACCTTGACCTCCTGGGTTCAAACGATTCTCCTGCCTCAGCCTCCTAAGTAGCTGGGACTACAGGCACCCACCACCAAGACCGGCTAATTTTTGAATTTTTAGTAGAGACGGGATTTCACCATGTTGGCCAGGCTGGTCTCAAACTCCTGGCCTCAAGTGATGCACCTGCCTCGGCCTCCCAAAGTGCTGGGATTACAGGCGTGAGCCACTGCTCCCAGCCACCAACAGCCTTTTAAAATCACAAGGCACAGCTTCCTTTACTGGAGCATGCTGCTTAAACTCTTGATGAATCAAAATAAATCTTTCAAGATTTTCTATTTTTTTACATGGTCATGAAATTTATGTTGGTGTGTATTTTCAAAATCGCACGTTTCCTTCATATTTGATCATTTCCTTAGTTCACAAGCATGGGCATAATGACTTTTTGTGGTTATGTAGCTATCACTACATTGTTCTCTGGGAACAGAGTTTGTAAACTACATTGCTGAAGCAAGCCTGATTTTTATCTCTGAAAAAAGAACCTCCCTTAGATTTTGGTTTTTTATTGGATCCTGATTTTTTAACATGTAAAAATCACCTGTATGTTTGCTACCTAATTTTGCCTAGATTTCCGAGTCTGTTAAATTTGCACTCATGAATATATAACAGAGGCATAAATATTTTAAATTATGTTTCTCTTTATCACCCCTGTTCTAATGACTAGTATATAGGGAAATATTTCCTTATTGGGTTTGACTTTCAATCCTGTTTTTCTGTCTGTTTCACTCTTTCTTTTCTTTATTTAATCTCATATACCTCTACTTCATGAACTGAGACTGTTCTTCCAACTTTTATATTACTTCTTTGCTCATTGGCAGGGCCGGTTCTGGTTGCTATGGTCCCGCCCCTTAGTTGCTTTTTTAAACAAGTACATTTAGATTTTTATTTTCTCATGTATCAGCAGTGTTGATAGATTACCTTTTCACTCGTTACATCTGAGTGAAATGAGTATGAATAAATATGTTCGTTCCATTTTCATCCGGGTCCTGATATTTTTTCTTCATTCTATTGATTACGTAAAATATTTTGTAGAAATTTTCTTTGAAAATTGGCAGGGTATTTAATTTTGTTTTTTTCTCTCTAATCTTTTAAAAATCAAGCAATTACATTTGTTTATTTCAAATAATAATACTCAACAATGATAATCTGTTAATTATAATGTCTTGATCATGACGCAGTTTCATCTATGGCTATTTGTTGTTTATTTATTCGAAACTCAGTCATTCATTTGGTGATTAGTAGCAATGTGATAAGCTCCTGTGACTCTAACTCACAAAATGCAAGTTGGGGCAATAACTTATATCTCATTTGAGGTTATCCACAATCGCACATTCCTATCTCCTAATGCAGTTTATTTCTTTTATATGTATGTATCAGTTAACATTTTGTCATTTATTTCTTTAAAGCTACAAAAATATGTTAATGCAAACTAATTTATTAGTCTTTTCTTTCATGCTTAGTGCTTTGCATATTCTCTTTAAGAAATCTTTCCTACATGCATATTCATGAAATATCTTTTTACACTATTTTCTAAAAGCTTTTTTCTTTTGCCTTTCACATTTCAGTTTCTAATTTAGAGTTGATATTTGTATCAGTGTAGAAGTAAAATGAAGAGGTTAAGATTCATTTTGATGTAATATGGATATCTAATTGATCCAATATAATTCAGTTATTAGAATTTTTTTCTACTACATCACTGCTATGGCCTGAATGTCTGCGTCACCTCCAAAGTTCCTGTTAAAACTGAATCTCAAGGCAACAATATTAGAAAGTAGACCCTTTGGGAGGTGATTAGGTCATGAGGGCTCAGCACTGGTGAATGAGATTCCTGCCTAATAAGGTGGCTTTACACAGACTTGCCACTTTTGCCTTTCCACCTCCAACATGTGACAACACAGCCACAAGGTGCAATCTTGGAAGCAGGAACAGTCCTCACCAGACACCGAGATTGCCAGCATCTTGACCTTGGAATTCACAGCCTTTATAACCATGAAAAAAATAAATTTATGTTGTTTGTTAATTATCCAATCTAAAGTGTTATTTTTTGTACAAATGGTTTGAGACAATTGCTGTAGCACTTTTATTGTAAATTGAGTGACTATATGTACATGCAGATCTGGTTTTAGTTTCTCTGACTCATTGCACAGGGTTATCTGTCTCAGCCTTCACCGATACCATACTGTTTTGATTCCTGTTGCTTAATATAAGCTTCAATATTGGGAAGTGTTAATCTTCCAATCTTGTTCTTATTATGTAAGATTACCATGGTTGTTTTTGTTTGTTTGTTTTCTGCCTCTTCGCATGTCCATCTAAGTTAGAAACAGCTTTTAAATTTCAACAAAATTCACAGGGATTTTGATTGTCACAGTATTCCATTAATTTGGAGAGAGTTATTATATTCACAATATTAAGTTTCCTAATACAAGAACATGGTAAAACCTTTCGCTTATTGAGTCTCCTTGATTCTCTCTCAGTAACCTTTTGTACATTTGCACATACTCTTTATAACTTTTTATTTTACCATAATATCAAACAGTGACAAGTTGGAAAAACACTGTAAGAAATATAAATTGGACCCAGATTCATCTACTGTCAATAGTTGACTTTCTACTTCCATATTCCTTCTGTAAGTTGGTATTCTGGGTACTATTAATGCACAGGAAACAAACTACCCACCAACTTAATAACACATGAAAACTGCAATCAACTGCCTATCATCTCTATGGTTCTGGATGTTTCCTGGGCTCCACAAGGTTCCTGCCAGGCTTTCCTAAGGATGCAGTCAGTGAGTGGCTAGGGTAGGCATCATCTCAAAGGTGGATGACATTAGACGTAAGGTTCTCAGCTGGAGTTGTTTGCCAATTCATGTGGCTGCTTGGTTTACTTGAAACTTCCAGAGGAGGAGCAGGCAGAAGTTATGCAGCCTCGATGACCTCTTATAGCCTCAGAAGACAAACAGCATTGCTTCTACACAGTTGCATGCCTACCAAAATTCAACAGAAGGAAGCATAAGGCAGTAGGTTCAATGGGAGGAGAGTCAAGATTACCCTGTTAGAAAAAAATGTAGGATAGGAGATCTTGTCACAGCCTTGTTGGAGAATACAACAGGCATCAGTCCACCCTGTGACCAAAGCAATTCACATTCCTCCCACATGCTAAACACTCTAATTCTTACCTGAACATGCCCAAGTATTATCCCATGATAGTGTTACCGCATCATCAAAATGATGTCCTCGGGGAGTGATATCAGCAAAATGACTGACTAGGAGACACCAGCCTTCGCCTGCCTACCCCAAAAAATACAAACACAAAAACAAAAGCAAGACCAACAATGGGACAGCTATCCAAGATGGAAAATAGCCCTTGGAGTGTTCAAGAGCCCAGTTAAGAATGTGCAGGAACACAATTAGAAAAAACGCCCAGAATAACCATACAGAAAGCATCGCCAGAAGACGGCATGCCTGAGAGTCCTGAGACCTCTAAAATGAAAGAAGCAGGAGGCAATTGTTATCAGCCAGGAGGCAGGGTCACTGCACTCCCTATGGCCTGCTCTGTGGAGGACGCTGCAGCCTTTGCAGCTAATGACCTAAGTAAACCCCCAGGCAGCCCCGACCCTACAACATTCCCAGTGGATGCCCATTAGGATTCATTGTTGAGGATTACAGCAGCCTGCTCCAGAGGACACTGGTGCTTTTGGCATTAAGGTAACCTGCAGCTATAATCATATCACCCCAGAGAGGAAGATGCTGTGAAACCCTCCTCCCACACTCTCTCAAGAAGCAACCCCTCCTGTGCTGCCTAGGATGGGGCTTCATTGCCCTAAACCCAGGCTCCAGGGCCTCATCCACGGCTGGCAACTCAGACACCGAGCCACCTCCATGTGGACCAGCCCAGGCCCATGCCCAGATTTGCTGACACTCCCAACTTCACTGTCACTCCAAGTGCACCAGCAGCCTGCCCTGTGGCTGCTGTGGAAATTGCCTAAGACATAAAACAATATACAGCCACACAGTGGAGTGAAATGCAGAGAAAAACCACACAGAAATGATCACTGGGAGATGGCATACTTGAGAGTGCTGAGAAATAATGGCAAATACATCAAGAGTAATAAAAGATGTTGGTCTATAAGATCAAGACAAAAATCACTGAAAAAATAATGAAACTTATTCAGGATAAATGCCATGCATTATCCTAAATGCTGGTGTAACCATTCAGGATAAACTACAACTATACATATTATATAACTATACATATTTTATAATTATTATATTATATAACAGATAGTGTAACCACTCAGGATAAACTACAACTATACATATTATAGTTAAAACGCTGAACCAGACAAAGAGAAAATCTCAATTGTATCAAGAAAAAATGGGCTCATTATACCAGAAAAACAATAATAGAATAATTGGCTAACTGTTCACAAGACTGATAGAGGCTAGAAGACAGCGGGATTACATATTTAAATGCTGGGTTCGGGGGACTCAGCAAAGGGTTCAATATCCAGTTAAAACATGTTTCAAAAATAAAGGTAAAGTAAAAACATTTCTTTACTAAAAAATGAAGAGAAATGATTACTTGCAGAGATATGTTCTATAAAACATTCAAGAGGAAATTCTTCAAAATCACAGGAAATCACAGCAGATCGTAGCTTGAACGCACAGCGAGAAAAGAAGACTTCAAAAATAATAAAGAAACAAGAAAGAAGCAAGAAACAGCCTAACAAAAGTGTTCACTTCTATTTATATGAGATTGTAGCACAGGGAAAACCAAATTATTATAATGAATATCTGAATACCAGTTACCTTGATTGGGATGGGGGAGCAGTTGATGCCTGGGAAGGTGCACAAGGGATGAATCTGGAGAATTTGAAATATTCTAGAGATTCATCTGGATGGCGAACATACGTAAAACTTAGTTGCATATTTAACATTTCCATCCTTTGTGAGTGTTTTATATCAATTAAAAAACGTAAGAAGCCAATCCTGCATGCTTAATCCAATATGTATTAAAAAATAAGAATCATCATATGTTTACGGAATCTTAACCTTGCTAAGGAGAAGTGAGAAATGCACCTGGGAAATTCTAAGAAACAAGAAATCTAAGAGAGAAGACAAAGAGAAAAGGGAATTTATCCTACTCATGCAGCACAGATTTTATCTCTATTGGTTTCTCTCTAAACAGAGACAATCTTTAAGTCATTTTGCCCTCAAGAGAGGCTCCCAGCATCCCCTTGGCTCTTTCCACCCCACTGCACCCATCAGGGGATTTGCATATTGTCCCCTAGGGAGGACCTTCCATTGTGAGTCTGAGATAAAAGCTCAGCTCTAACCTTGCCTTGACTGATCAGGACTCCTCAGTGCACCTTCTCGCAATGAGGCTCCCTGCTCAGCTCCTGGGGCTGCTAATGCTCTGGGTCCCTGGTAAGGACAGCAGGGAGATGAGGGAGGAGAATGGGGTGGGAGGGTGAGCTCTGGGGGCCCAATGCCTCCCATGTGTGTTCAGTCCACGTGTTAGATGTGCAGGTCTTGTTCTGCAGCATGAGGCATATGATGTACTGATCTCTGAGAGGGAGGAAGATTTTAGAAGGAAGGATATGTGCCCTGAAGAAACGCAAGTCTTAGAAAGAGGATGATGGTATGGGAGACCACTTTGTGCCTTGCATCTGTTGAGTTCTTTTTGAAATTGGATATTCTTGAAATTGCAAAGAAATTATACAGGCTGAAATAATAAATGGAAAATTATGAGCATAACGCATAATATTTGTACATAACTTTGCCCTTTTCTGTCATCATTCCAGGATCTAGTGGGGACATTCTGTTGACCCAGACTCCACTGTCCCTGTCCATCACCCCCGGAGAGCCGGCCTCCATCTCCTGCAGGTCTAGTCGGAGCCTCCTGCATAGTAATGGAAACACCTATTTACATTGATAGCTGCAGAAGCTAGGCCAGCCTCCACAGTGTCTAATCTACACGGTTTCCAACCGGTTTTCTGGGGTCCCAGACAGGTTCAGTGGCAGTGGGTCAGGCATTGATTTCACACTGAAAATCAGCCCGGTGGAGGCTGAGGATGTTGGGGTTTATATTACTGCATGCAAGCTACACACTGGCCCCCCACAGTGCTACATCCTGGAACAGAAACCTCTCTGCTGGGATTGCCCAGCTGCCCACATGTGCTGCTTGTCTGGGGAGCAGCTCAGCAGGGTTTCTGAGTCTGCAAAAGGGGAGGCTGTTGGAGAACTCAGGGGCAGGTTTGCTGTTGAGGACTCTGGGCCATGAATCCTCAGCTGTACCTCAAGCACTACCTGTTTATTTACTTCTTTATGTTTTCAAGACAGGGTCTCACTCTGTTACCCAGCATAAAGTGCAGCGGTGTGATTATGGCTCATTGCAACCTTGAAATCTCAAGCTCAAGTGATTTTCCTACCTCAGCCTACGGAGTAGCTGGAATCACAGGGGGCGTGCCACCAAACCTGATTAATTTTTGTATATATTTTTGGTAGTCACGGGGTTTCGCCATGTTGCCCAGGCTGCTCTTGAGATCCTGGGCTCGAGTCATCCACTCAATTCGGACTCCCAAAGTGCTGAGATTAGAGGCATGAGCCATCGGGCCCAATTCCTGCTCTTGCTGATGTACCTGTCACCTGACACAGCCTTGACAGTCATAAGTAACAGGGTTATGAGGAGGTTCTAGGGCCCTGTGAGTTAAAAATCAGGATGAAAGGGAAAGGAGAATGGAAGCTCATCTTCATCCTCCCTCCTTGCCTACAGTTGTTTATTAAATTTATTCAGCAAAACAGCCAGACAATTGATCATTTCTGGCAAGACACACTGAATACATCTTAGGGTTTAACAGTTTGGGATAGATGATAGATAGATAGATAGATAGATAGATAGATAGATAGATAGATATAGATATAGATATAGATATAAATATAGATATAGACATAGATATGGATAGATATAGATTTTTTTTGAGACAGAGTCTCCCTCTATCGCCCAGGCTGGAGTGCAGTGGAACAATGATCGTAGCTCACTGCAACCTCTGCCTCCCAGTTTCAAACGATTCTCCTGCCTCGTCTCTCAAGTAGCTGAGATTACAGGCTCTCGCCAACATGCCCAGCTAATTTTTGTATTATTAGTAGAGACGGGGTTTCACCATGTTGGCCAGGCTGGTCTCCAACTCCTGACCTCAAGTGATCCACTGGGCTTAGCCTACCAGAGTGCTGGCATTACGGCATTAGCCAGCACACCCGGCCATATTTTTAAGAAAATATTTGGTTATATTTAAAATTGGCATTTTCCTAGTTTGTTTTAACTTCCGCTTCTTCTATTTAGCACTCATTGCCCACTCCATAAGACAGGAGAGACAGCATTCTCCACTAGTTCTCCTCAGAGGGAGCTGGCTGAGGACAGTCAGTGAAATCTTGGTAGTGAGCGTCAAATAGATTTTGTAATTTCATAGCAGATACAAGATACTAATACTGAACCTTTTTTTAATTACAATTATCTCTCACGGATAGAAAAAGGGAGTTCTTGAAACTCCAAGAGCTGGTTTTGGAAATAAAAAGCAAATCCTGGAAGATGTAGTATACTAAAGATGTAGTATTTTCCATGGATTACTGGGAAAATAAAGGATGATGGAAACTTTTTTATTTCCCAAAGTTCAGAATTCAAGATTGGACAGACTGCAGGAATAGGGGCCTGAGGGGATACAGGAGAGGTCGGCTATTGTTCAATTAAACTGCCCTTGGTTTACGGTGGGTGGGATGTGGATGGTGGTGGTGATGGCAGTTGATGTGGACCCACCAAGAGCCAAATATGTTTCTTGCGAAGAACCACAGAGTTGAAGGCACTGCTGCGTGGCTTCCTGGGCGGAGCCTGTGCCACTGGGAGTCTCACAGGAAAGTAATGTCGCGAGTAGGGCTTTAGGTCTGTAATCACCAAAGGGTTAGTGAAGTCCCTGTACAAGGAGACCTGAGGTCATGTCACTCAGTCTTAGTGAAATCACAGCAGCCAAGCAGAGCTTCTGAAACTTATTCTATCCTTGGAGGAGGTCTAGCAGAGACCACTGTCTGCATCTGGGAGATGTCAGAAGCACTGACATGCTGAGCAGAAGGCCCAGCAAAACGTAATCCAGCAGGTTTTGATAAATGACAATTTTGATATTAAGTTGTCATAAAAAACAATAAAAGGTTTTGAAATAAGTAAATGTATTATTTTTACACAATGTGGTCATTGCCTAAAAATAAATCTGATTTCCATATTCTAACAGTAATGGTATAGAAAAATGTATGATTTGCATATAGTCACTTAAAATAATGCTCCAAAAATATTTATGAATTATTCATGAGCATGTCTGTCACTGCCATGAGGTGATATGATTAAAGTAATATTCGTATCAAAAGGACAAAATATCTTTTTTTCTGGTTAAAAAAATGAATCACATCAGAAATTATTGTCTATTCTAAGATGATGGATCCCATTGTGAATGAATTTAAAATTGTATTTCCAAGCAGAAATGTCAAAAAAAAGGAAATCATGAAATTTAGCAAGTAATTTGTCACACGTACAAAGAATGACAAGTCTTTAGAGTAGTTTTCCATTCATGAGTGAGAACACACATCCAACCCAAAATCTATTGGTCTCACTCCCATAATCACCAGTGTGGAGACTAAAGGTAGTGCAATTTAAATCACATTCCTAACCAAAAAAAAGGTTCAAAAACAAAGAAAGGATGCTTCATAGAAAATATCTTGCAAAACAAAGAATGACATGTCTGTAGAAGGTATTCACAAGCAGGGACTCACATCTAACCAAAATTCTAGGGATTTCACCATCACAAACACTACTTTGGAGCCTGGAGATGCTGCACATCCTCCTGTGAGCAGAACACTCACTGGGACCCTGCACAGTGTGATGGCCCCAAACATAAAGCTCTCAAGGAAGCTCCGCCTCTCAGCGTGGAAGGAGAGGCTGCGGTGCCAGGGGATGTGTCCACAGAGAGTCGAGTCAGGTGGGCTCAGGCAGTTGCCTGGAGAGTCTTTGAGGAAGAGGACATGAGGCCTCAGTCACAGGTACATGCTCCTCTTCTGTGTGAACAGGGGCCAGGTCTCTCCAGGGCACCTTCCAGAGCCTCTTCCTTCCTAACTCCTTGGGGTGCTCAAGCCCTACAGACCCTCCAGTGTTGGCTGCCACATCCTCACTGGACCAGCCGCTAAGGTTTCCTGCTGTCGTCATGGCTGCAGGGATGCTCAGTCACATCACTGGGAGGAGACCCTAGTGTGTCCCATCCTCAACTGCTACAGGCATACTTGACTTGAACTATGTTTGTTTTGCTCCATTGAACATTTTATGTCACATTGTTCACAGTAGAGACATAACCCCTCCACCATTGACCCTTTCCACACTGCTGCACCCACCAGGTGATTTGCATATTGCACCCTAGGGGAGGACCTTCCCTTGTGAGTCTGAGGTAAAAGCTCAGCTCTAACCTTGCCTCGACAGATCAGGACTCCTCAGTTCATCTCACAATGAGGCTCCCTGCTCAGCTCCTGGGGCGGCTAATGCTCAAGATAGAAAAAATATGAGGTGGGAAAATGGGGTTGGAAGGTGAGTGCTGGGTGCTCCATAGCTTCCCCTATTTATTTCAACCGTGTGTTAGAGGTACATGGTCTATGCTCCAGGAAAGAGAATTCATATTTTTGTCTTAAGAATAATCAGGATTCACCTCCAAGGAACAATGACCTCTGATTAAGATCTTGAAAATAAAGAGTTCCCTGCTGGCTGGTAAATAATGGGTTCATTTTAGAAAGTCTACTTTCCATGATATAAATCAAAACTTGAAAATATATGTAACTGTAAATCAGTATCATAGGGAAATCATGAAAGCTGCTCATAATGTGTCTATACAACCTTGCACTTCTCTGTTATTATTTCAGGATCCAGTGGTGATATTGTGATCGCCCAGACTCCACTCTCCTGGCCTGTCACCTCTGGAGAGCTACCCACATATCCTGTAGGTCTAGTCAGAGCCTCTTGTCCAGTGATGGATACACCTATTCGTATTGGTTCCTGCAGAAGCCAGGCCAGTCTCCACAGCTCCTGATCTATTTTGTTTCAAACCGGGCCTCTGGAGTCCCAGACAGGTTCAATGGCAGTGGGTCAGGCACTGATTTCACACTGAAAATCAGCCGGGTGGAGCTGAAGATGTTGGGGTTTATTACTGCATGCAGGCTCTGCAGCTTCCTCCCACAGTGGTACAGCCCCATAGAGAAACCTCCCTTCTGGGGTGTCCCAGCTGCTCACATGCACTGCTTGTCTGGGGAGCAGCTCAGCAGGGTCTCTCAGTCTGCAGAAGAGGAGGCTGTTGGAGAATTCAGGGCAGAGTTTGCTGCTGAGGACTCTGGCCCATGAAAGCCTCAGCTGCACCTCAGTCCCACATGTTAAGGCTCCATCGGCTGCCACATGTAGCCACCTGCTCTGGGAACAGCCAGCTCTGATGAAGGAAGAGTGAATGAAGCTCATCCTCACCCTCCTTGTCTGGCCCACATTTGTTGCATCCATTTATTTGCAGAACAATCAGATCATGGATGCAGATTAGTGGTAACACAAGTGAAATGCATGTTGCAAACGACTGGTCTGGGGATAGTTTTATACATGGTAACAGTTGTTCATGTTGAGAAATTGCTATCTTCCCACTTTCCAAACTTTCTCTCTCCTTTACCACTCACACGAACCTGCCCTCCCTAGTATTATGGTGGAGAAAGCATTCTGCACCAGCTATTTTCACGGGAGTATGGCTAAGAATAATTAGTTATAATGTTTGATTTTTTTTTTACTTCTTATAGATTTTTAAAATCCAGGGGAAATATAAATCCTAATCCCGAAATAGTTTGATTTACCTCAATTACCTTTTGCTGACTGAAAATGGAGTTCTTACAATTCCAAAAGTGGGATTTGAAAATAAACAAAATAACTCAGAAGGAAAACATAAAGTTTATATAACGTATCACAGGAACAATGCAGAATTGCATGAGATTTTTATTTTCTTCTCAAATTCTTAGAATTTTAAAAGTATTTTACTGACATAGTACTTTAGAGAGGAAATATCTAGTACTATGTTGTCATAAGAAAATCATTCGAAGAATGAATAAATGCATTATTTTTACATGACCCTATTTTTTTCCTGAAAATAAATCTGAATCGTCTATTTTAGTTGTAAATGCATAGAAAAATTATGCCCTTAATAGATTCTATTAACTCGTCATTTAGCATTAGGTATGTCTCCTAATGCCATCCTTCATCCCTCCCCCCACCCCACAACAGTCCCCGGAGTGTGATGTGCCCCACCCTGTGTCCATGTGTTCTCATTGTTCAATTCCCACCTATGAGTGAGAGCATGCGGTGTTTGGTTTTTTGTCCTTGCCAGAGTTTGCTGAGAATGATGGTTTCCAGCTTCATCCATGTCCCTACAAAGGACATGAACTCTTCATTTTTTATGGCTGCATAGTATTCCATGGTGTATATGTGCCACATTTTCTTTATCCAGTCTATCTTTGTTGGACATTTGGGTTCGTTCCAAGTCTTTGCTATTGTGAATAGCGCCGCAATAAACATACGTGTGCATGTGTCTTAATGGGTGCAGCACACCAACATGGCACATGTATACATATGTAACAAACCTGCACATTGTACACATGTACCCTAAAACTTAAAGTATAATAATAATAAAATAAAAATTAAAATAAATAAATAAATAGATTCTATTGACAATAATGTTCTAAATTTATATGCTTTCTTAATATGAGGGCTACGGTCTGATACATACCTGTATACATTTTGCCATGGAACTTTTAAACCTAACAAATGCTTTCCGTTAAAAAAGCAATAGTGCTTTCTTCACCATAATACTAGAGAGGGCAGTTTCGTGTGAGTGGTAAAGGAGCAAGTTTGGAAAGTGGGAAGACAGCAATTTCCCAATATGACCACCTGTTACCATGTATAAAACTATCCCCAAACCAGTCGTTTCTAACATGTATTTCACTTGTGTTACCACTTGCCTGCTTCCGTGATCTGATTGTTCTGCCAAATAAATTTACATGAACCCGAGTAATGAGTGATGTCTTTTACATGTGAAAACACTGTGTAGAGACACAAAAGGCTCATTGAATCTGATGCAGGCTAACAGCTTAAATTATACTTGAGATGATTTATGTCAAGATAACGGATTCCACAGGAAGTGCAATTAAAATTCCCATGTGTCATTTCTGTTGGGTTGAAAAGTTGCATGGCAAAATGTATATAGATGTTTAGTAGACCATAGCCCTCAAATTAAGAAACATAAGCACTTAATATGTTATTCAAAAATACTAATTAATGTTTCTTTGAGCCTAAATGTTATTACAGAACGCAGTAAAAGAAAATAAGATGTAAGTAGCAACAGCAGGAGATACAGCAATTCCGTTGTCACTTTAGCCCTCCTGTGATTGACAGCACCTAGTCACCTTGAGTTTCTGCTTTTCTGTGAGACAGAAGATAAAATCAAAACCCATTCAAGGCGGTTAGATATATTCTTAGGAAAAGCAAACAAATGTACAACCTACCTGATGCTGATATCGCAAAGGTCTATATTCTCAAGTCAAAATGGTGAAAAGTAAATGATTCCAAATCTGAAAGGAGAGAGACACAAGGAGAATCAGAGCATAATTAAATTTATTACAAAGAAACCTCAAAATATGGTGGACTAAATGTGACAAGGTTTCTGTGTCTGTGCCATGGCAGTGCAGAGGCAGGCACGTGGCCTTGGTGGTGTGGGTGGCTCTGCTCCATGAGGTCACTCAGGTGGACAGGAGGCACGACCACCCTGAGAGCACAGCCTTCCTCCTTCCTCACAGTCACTGCCCCCATGGTCATCCTCAACAGCATGAGGTGGAACTGAATGGAGAGAAAGCTGTTTTCTTCTAAGGATCAAAAATAAATACAGAAACAAATAAAACCTCTAGCTTTCCATCAGGGACAAATGTACTTTTGACTCAGTCACAGATTTGAGAAATTTTCCATTGAGCGGGTCTGCTGGTAAACCCACGTTCATTGTTTGTTTGTTTTAATCTGAAAATGTGTTTACATGATTCTTGAAGATATTCTTTGACAAGAAACTTCCATATGTGGTAGCCTATTTGAAGTTGTCATTTACTATTTCATCATTGCTGCTAAAAAGTCATTTGTTTAAAAATCCGTGACTCTAACTGTTCTTGTTTGAAAGGAATACGTCTTTTTAAGATACTCAGATTCCTTTTAAGCTCTTCATCTGGCCCTCCTTTTTTCTGATTCAATGTATTGTTTAATTTTTTACTTATGACTAATTAATCAATTAATTTTCACAATCACAGAATCAAATGTCCGATAAGTTGCTATGTCAAAGACCTGTCTGAAGATGGCAAAAACACTCCACAATAAACAAAAGACAACACCATGGTCTCAGGAACACTGGGAAAGTAGGAGTGCTGGTGTCCCATTCTCAACAGGGAGCCCGAAAGGTAGAGGCGGGTCTTTCTTGTGACCTGGGCACCGGGAAGGAGCCACCCATGTGCTGAGTTGTGGGAACCTGCCCCATTCTCTGAGACTGGAAGCAAGGCCCTGGCTGTGTCCCACCTGCTATGGACTGAATTGTGCCCTCAGATTCATGTTGAAACCCTAATTTCAATATGACTGTAGAAATTAGGACCTCTAAAGATGTAATTGAGGTCATAAGGGGGGTCCCTGATCCAGTAGAATTCGTATTTTGTTGTTGTTGTTTTGTTTTGTTTGTTTGCTTGTTTGTTTTTGAGGCAGAGTCTCGCTCTGTCGCCCAGGCTGGAGTGCAGTGGCGCCATCTCAGCTCACTGCAAGCTCCGTCTCCCGGGTTCACACCATTCTCCTGCCTCAGCCTCCCGAGTAGCTGGGACTACAGGTGCCCGCCACCACTCCCGGCTAATTTTTTGTATTTTTAGTGGAGGCGGGGTTTCACCGCGTTAGCCAGGATGGTCTCGATCTCCTGACCTCATGATCTGCCCGCCTTGGCCTCCCAAAGTGCTGGGATTACAGGCGTGAGCCACTGTGCCTGGCAAATTCGTGTTTTTATAAGATGCAGAGAGCTCTCCTTTCTCCCTTCTCTCTCTAATTGCCTTCTGCTCTATGGAAAGGCTGTGTGAAGACACCGTGAGAAGGTGGCATCTGCAAACCAGGAAGAAGGTCTTTACCAGAAAGCAAACCCTGCTGGACATCGATCTGGGCTATTCCAGGCACCAGAAATATGAAAATTAAATTCTGTGGTTTCTGCCATCCAATCCAGTTTTTTTGGTGTGGCAATGCAAGCTGACTCATCCACTTTTCCCACTCTCTCTGAGCAGGATCAGCCTCAGGAGACCCTCGTGGACGTGGGGACCTGGTGTTGCTCCTCTTCCTCCTGCTTTTCCAACTCTCTGGTGAAGAGGGAGAACTCGGGCTTCACCTTCAGTTTCTGTGCATTAAACATGAATTTAATGCAGTTTCTTTGCATTAAACATCCTTCAAGATGAAGTCTGTCGCCCATTTTGCTTGTTCATCAGAATTTAGTCAAACTGAATGAAGTAGTTATTTAGAATTAACATTTGGGGCTGTTCATAATTGTTCCCCACTTATGTGACTGTTGGGATATTGTGCGGTGCTCATCTCCAGGCCCCTCCCTGTGTTCCAGGAGACAGGGTCACTGTCACCAGCAGAGCCAGTCATGGAAATAACAGTGTCCTAGCCTAGCTCCACGGGAAATAAGGGCTGACACTGGTCTCCTGCTGGCTCCCACTGCCCCCTGGACACGATGCCCGCCTGGGTCAAGGGGGTGAGTCTGGACAGATGTCACTCTGGCCATCAACAGCCTAACTACCTTCATGACTTCCCATTGTGAACAGAGTCCCAGAAGTTGCTTGAGCCATGAAAGTTGGACAGAGAAATCCCACATCACTGCAGTCAGAGGGGGGCTGTGAAAAGACCGTAGGGGGGGGTTTCATACTATGATCACGCAGTACTGAGCCATGGCTGCCACTCTGTCTGACGGGAGCCCCCGGGGGAAGATCCACTCACACTGTGCTCTAGAGGTCGTTTTTGTCACCATCTTGGTTCTAGCTGGTTTGTGCCAGTTTCTGTAGCGCATCCTCTTTTGTCGAGATCCTGTTCCGGTCAGCGTTGTCATGACCAATGTTGGGATCGGTGCTCAGAACACAAGTCCTGATGATCTCCTACCTTACACTCGCTGCCTTCTGTGAATCAGATATTCTGATAAGGATCCTGTTGGATCCTACTCAAATCAGGGGCCACACAGACCCTCACTGAGGGCTGAGGACCACAGGCATCTGAAGATAAGCAGAGGTCCAGAGAATGATAGCCCCTGACTGTCCTCTGTGAAGACAGCTTCTCCCCAGATGGCTGAGGACTATCTTTGGCTGTGTCCTTCTTTCTGAGTGATAATGAGGGATAGAGCAGGTCTCTAAGCAAAACCACAACATTTCAGGGACAATGATACCTATGCAGGCCCTCCTATGTGTGCTGCTCTAACCTAGACATAGGTGGCACTAGATACGCTTAGGGAAGTGAGGAGATTTATAATCAGAAGGAAGAAAGAGAGAACGAGAGGAGGAGAGAGAGAGAGAAGAGCGTGTGATGTGTGTATAGTACCAACACTGAAGAGTCATTCTATAATGGTTTAGTGCTGAGTATGGTGCTCAAATGATCAGGCTGTATTCCATGGAAACTATACAGATACCTTTCACAGGAAAAGAGCCTTTGCACATGAAATTAAGGATCATAAAACGGGCAGATTATCCTGTATTGACCAGGTGGGCCTTAAAGGGGCCTGTCTTTGTTAAATGTCATTTTTAAAAATCCTGCAGAAGAGAAGACCATCTGAAGACAGCAACAGAGATTGAAATGATTTGGACTCAAGCCAATGAAAGCTTAAACCACCAAAAGCTCAAAGAAGTAAAAAAATAGACTTGCCCCTGGAGCCCCTGTAGCAGCTTTGTCTGATGACAGCCTGCTCCTGGCTGCTGAAACTGATGCTGGACTTTTGGCCTCCAGAACTATAAGAGAATATATTTCTATTTCTTTAAGCTACCAAAGTTTTGGTAATTTGTTATAGCAGCCCAAAAATACTAATACAAATGGGGCTTAGAATAAATCCAGCCTAAAGGTAGTATAATGATTGGGAATCTCCACGTTCCATTCTCTAATGTTACACATATTAGAAGATTTTATGAGGAAATAGCGTACAGGAAACCGCACAGTGTATACTGGAGCATCTGTTAATTATATAATAAATGTTGATAATTCTTAGTAGAGCATGACATCTGGGTAGTAATATCTTATCTAGAATCTTCATTCTAAGATATTCAAGGATGCAGAAAAGGGGCCCTAAGTAGTCTTTTCATACATATATATGCATAGATACATTTCCTGGTGCATCAACTAGAGAAACCTTCAGGACAGCCCTTGATATCCTTGGTGCTACTTTTCACAGGTGAGTAAACTGTTCATCAGAGCACAGGGGTGGTTTGCCCAAAGATACACGGCCAGCAATTATCAGGGCTGAGCTTGGAACCCAGCTTAAATATGTCGCTTCCACATGGCCACATTTGTTCCATGGAGGAATGAATGTCTTTTAAACTCAGAGAAGAGACAAAGCCGGAAGGGTGGTGTGGAATTCTCAGCAAGCGCCTTGCTACCTCTGAACCTTGCCATGATTACCACAATTATAAACTCAGGCCTTTCTGCAGTTTTGTCCACATAGCAAAACTTCCTCCAAGTCTTTAAAATTTAAATGTCTTTCTTTCAGATTTGAGGGCAGGAGCACATCTCGCATTGCCCTGAACACTTTGTTTCTTTTCTACCATCCTCATCTCTCTGAGCCGGCTCTTCCCTCTCAAAATGTGTCCTATCAATCTGATTTCTTCTCCTAATGTGAAAACAAATGAACAAATAGTCCCCTACTTTTGTCATCTCCAGAGAACACAAGAGCTAATCACATACCCAGAGACTATGAGAGTTTAAAGGATTTATCCAAGAGCTTTTACACATAAGAAGTATTCTCCTGCTAGCCCTCTTCACAGTGAAATGCCTGTGTGTCTTGTTAAAACTGACACTAAAAAATGACAAGATAGAGCCATTTTGAAGAACTGAGGGTGACCATTCCAAGATAATTCAGGTGTTTCCTAAATTTTCTGAATATCCCTATGCATTAAAAAAAAAGATGTGACAAGAATTCAGACCATACTGTCCAAGAAAGAATGTTTTTCCGCTTTCTTAGGTTGGCTCTTTCAGGGATAATGATGCCTATGCAGGCAGCATATTTATAATGCACAGGAAACACGGGGAGGAAACAAGGCAGTGAAGGAGGAAAGAAAGGAGGGACTCCAAAAGTCTCCTCAGCAAAGAGCTACCGCTGAGGATGGCTGGAGCTCAAGCCCACGTGGAAACAGGGGAAAATGTCTCAGTATTATTCCAGCTGAAAAGAGAGGGAGCTGGGGTATATACACCTCTCCTGTCCTCACTGATTGAGGGCTTTCTGAGAGGATGCTCATTCCAGGTGCTGTGAAAGGCCATGTGTGCAGGCAGGGCTGCCTTCTCCAGTTTGACATAGAGCAGTGAGGAACAGATATGGCCTTGGGGAGTCAGCAGAAGTACAGCAAAGGGGAAAGGCAAAGGGTAGCAAGAGTGACTGCTACATTCACCTCCCCGCACAAAAAAAATGTGTGTATTTCAATCCAGAGCTTCTTCTCTCTGAACCTAAATCTTAGCAAGCAGTTTGCCAGTAATTTCCCTTGAAATTCAGGCCCCTGGAAAGCAGCAGGAGATCTGGGTACAGGCTATACCACTGTGGTCTGCTCACTCTTAGTGATGCGTGAGTAATGCTCCCTGGACTCCCCAGGTTCTAGTCTTCTCATGTCGATGTAGTTGATTCCACTTCCCTTGCTGCACAACCAGGCTGGGATGCCTGGGCAGAGGCAGACATGTGAGGTAGAGGGGTTCAAATCTGTTTCCAAGTTTTATCCAGATTCAAAGTATTTCTTCACGTACATGGGCGGTGGCTTGGCAGGAGATGCAGATTCTCTCTCCTGGAAGTGAGGCAAGGAGGCTGGCGTCTGGGTAAGGATGATGTCCCCACATACTGCTAAAGAGTCAAAGAGGAAAGTGGCATCGATGGTGCAGGGCAGAGACATGCACTGAGTAGCTGCTGCCCTCACTGAAGAGAAAGTGTTCACTGACTTGGCCTTTCCCCAGGACCTCTCCCTCCCCTGCTTTCCAGAAAGCCCAGTTTTTTGGGAGCTGTACCTGAACACCTGGGAACATTCCAGTGGGAAAGGCAGCTCAGAGCATTAGCAAGGGTAAGTTACCTTGTTCTTCTTCCTGTGGAGACAATTGATCATATGGGTCAGCAAGACGTAGGTGCTGTCCATTTAGTCCCTGGTTATTACAGAGACCTATAGCTCTGGATTATGGAAGATCTGTGAGTGGCACAGGCATTGAGGAATCACAGCATCATTATTGTGCATCTGCAGGGAATGGCTTGAAAATAGACTGGTAATAACAAATGTTTCAGGTCACTACAAAATACCTTTGAATATTTAAATATGCTTCTGACAAAGACTTTTTTCCCACATGAAACAATGGGAGCAACGTGACAATCACAGAGGTGTTGTTAGTATAACAAAGGGATTGTCGCTCCCACAATGTCCACTTAAATAACTTGAAGACCTGATAGCCCCATTCTCTAAGACATTATCAGACATTCCCTACAAATGATCATACTCTCCTATATACTCCCGATACAACTCTAAAATATATGACTCCATGTAGTCCCTAGGTTTGTATTAAATTTTGACTTTTTTCTCCCAAAATATCTCTTGTCGAAACAACGGATGTAG
The DNA here is from genome assembly GCF_000001405.40 of Homo sapiens. Lineage (NCBI taxonomy): Eukaryota > Metazoa > Chordata > Mammalia > Primates > Hominidae > Homo > Homo sapiens. The sequence continues at coordinate 97,059,712 of NC_000002.12, forward strand.
AGAGAAATACATTCCCTCCAGGCAAATCTGTCAGGCCTGGTCTGACCTGGGACCCTGCGGACACTGCCCCTTTGCTGAGTTACCGAGATGAGCCAGCCCCGTGGCTGTGCCCAGCCTGCCCCATCCCCTGCTGATTTGCGTGTCCTAGAGCGCAGCCCCCTGCCCTGAAGACTTCTTAATAGGCTGGTCACACCCTGTGCAGGAGTCAGTCGCAGTCAGGACACAGCATGAACATGAGGATCCCCGCTCAGCTCCTGGCCTTCCTGCTGCTCTGTCTCCCAGGTAAAGAAGGAGAACACTGGGAAGTTAGCCACCCAGTGTGCTCAGTACAGCCTGGCTCTTCAGGGAAATGCTCGCATAACATGGTGAAAAGTGTAAATATTTGTTTTTGTATTTCCAATCTGAGATGCCAGATGTGACATCCAGATGACCCAGCCTCCATCCTCCCTGTCTGCATCTGTAGGAGACAGAGTCACCGTCTCTTGCCAGGCTAGTCAAAGCATTTACAACTATTTAAATTGGTATCAGCAGAAACCAGGGAAAGCACCTAAGTTCCTGACCTATAGGGCATCCAGTTTGCAGAGGGGGATGCCATCTCAGTTCAGTGGCAGCGGATATGGAAGAGATTTCACTCTCACTGTCAGCAGCCTGCAGCCTGAAGATTTTGCAACTTATTAATGTCAACAAGAGAGCATTTTCCCTCTCCCAGTGCGACAAGTCATAACATCAACCGCTAGGATAGCAGATGAGTGAGGCCGGGTTGCCCTAGATGCTCCTCCTGGTGCCTCAATCTGCTGAGTTGTTTTCCAGATGCAGCCAAGTTTTGAAGGTCATCTGGAAATTTTGGTAAATTGTGATGAGGTGGCTCCTTTGCACCCACTCTCTTTCCTCCTCATCCCCAGAAGCAAAGACATGAAATGCGAGTCCTGATTTAATAAAGAGATTTAACCACCTGAGGAGTCTGTTATGGGATGATTGGAATTCTTGTAGCAAAAGAGAAGCCACTCTAGCCCTTCCAAGCAGGAATTGTTTTAATTTATGAAATCAGTGTCTAAACTACAGCTTTTCAAGGCCTGGTTGATGTTAGTCACGGAAGCAGATACTAGAGACATGATTCTCTGGTGCTCCTGCAGAAACCAGGGTGCACCCTACCCTGCAGGTGTGAGCTGCCTAACCACATGGTCCTTGGTTCTGTCTGAGAAGCCCAGAGTGCAGGTGCTGATGCTCTCAGCCTCCTGCAGTATGTCTCTAGGTGATTCTCTAGTTCTCAACTAAGTCCACTTGTCTGTCTGCAGGTGTCAATGAGCATTGAATCATTCTCTTCTGACTTCCAAATCTTGTGGAAGGACCCCTCAGTGAACAACTCTACAGGAAAGTATAGAGGGAAAGGTGGTTCTGACGAATGCGCTTTCAGAAGTGATGGTGATAATGAGGAACTGACAGCTGAAAGCCCAACATGGTCAGTATTTTCACAAAATAGTGAAAACTTTTGCCAGTTATGCATGGCCTCAGAATACATTTGAATATACTTGCACTTGTCACATAGCAACATAACTTTATTAAGTCATAGACACAGCTTAAAAATCAGGAAATTGTATGACATACATAACAATCATTTTACAAACAAATGAAAAATATTTCTTGACAAAGAAACCAAAACAACAGAAAAACCTGAACATTGGTGTAACCTTTTTTAAATTATGAAAATTCTTTGCTACTCAACATGTATCCAGAATCCAGCAGGATCATTAGCACACTGAGAGCATGATACACATGCTAAACAGCAGAACGACCTTCAGTTCACTGAATGAGAACCTTTGTTTAGCCATGGTAGTTGATAACAGGTGACCTATAAAAGGTTTAAGAAGCTATGTTCTATGTGATATTTGTTTCAGCTAAAGAGATACCGTGGTGGTGGGCACCATTAGCCCCAGCTACTAGGGAGGCTGAGGCAGGAGAATCACTTGGACCCAGGAGGTGGAGGTTACAGTGATCCAAGATCATGTCACTGCCCTCCAGCCTGGGTGACAAGAGCAAACTTCTGTATACTATTATGGCAATGAGGCTATTTTTAAAAATTTCAATGGAAAGCCACATGTTGCAACCACACCCAGCTTTATTTTCTAATCAATGCAACATGACATTTGAAAACAATTGGAAGATTGTAAAGTTGGAGAAACATAATGATCTGTCCATGGAATAATAAAATGCTTTGATGTTTAAATGGAGGAAAAGTTTGTAGGAACCATAATAATTACCAAGGTGAAAGAATAACTTAAAATTGTGTGTATCTGTGTTCAAAATTATTAGACTTCATTCACCATTTCAACTTGGTTTGGGGAGGTTGCCCACTCCTGCTGCCTTCATCAGAATATGGTGCCTGGGTAGATACTGCCCTTTAGCCTTGACCTCAGATGAACACAATCCATAGGTTAGAGACAAGCTCTGCTCCCTGCAGCAAAACCACCCAGCTGAGCCCTGTCTTGAAGAGTCATGTTAATACTAAAATGAACATCCAGAAACACGATAAAACTTGATGTAATACACTGACTTTTAAGTAGTTGGTTATCAATCATCATTGTGCAAAAAATGTGACCAATGTAATACTTACACATTCACCCATATAAGATGTATCTTATTATGATTAGTGGCAGAAGTATAAATATTTGGTAATGTATTTATAAAGCTACCAATGAGAAATTTAAAAAGAAATTTAAAAAATTATATATAAATAAAAAGTGTAAAATTTACCTTATTTATGGAAACTCCACATATATATATATAAACATTAATGTAGGTACATATATATATTTATTTGATAAATAGTTGGGTGCGTGTAGTTCCATATGCATATATTCATGTCTAAATAAGGCCATTTACATATATATAAGAAACATAGGCATATTTACAAAATGTTTTAATAAATTAAATCTCTTAAGATAATTCTATTTATTCCTCATCAAAATAGTTGGTTTCTAGAACCAGATATAGTACCTGCTCTGGCTATAGGAATGTCCTTTGCAAGTCCTTGAAATTTGATGTATTTCTAAACACTCACCAAATTCATGTGTCACCTTAAAATATTTTTCTAACTTACTTGAGGTGCCAAAGAGTATGAATGGAGATGATTTTCCCTAATGTTAAAAGTTACATCCTTGTCTCCTAGGTAAGTCCTCATTCTTTGTATGTCTACAATGATGCTATTTTGGACAGAGTTCTATCCATGGATGCTGGACTGATGTCACATCATTCTCACAGTCAAGGATGGCCTGGAGAGTAAAAATCATAACAGTGAGCAAAGTGCAAGTGTTATATCCTTGTTCATTTTGCAAAGAGAGATCAGCCATTCAATGACATTGTCTATGGGTTTGAACAAATCATCAGACCTTAGAAAAAACAGAACAGAGGATTAGAGACAAAGTCATTGTGGAAGAGCTATGAGTGGAACTTTCAAAATGGGCCAAAAGTTGCCTAATCTATGGGTTAGAGAGCAAGTTGATCATGTAACTTGCTCAGGAAGAGCTTTTTGGGGTTGTGAAAATACTTTATATCTTGACTTTGGAGGTGGTTAGAAGGATTATTTATTTGCAAAAATTCATAAAAACTGTACATTTAAAAATCAATGTGATTTATTTTAACTATTATTATCCTCAATAAAGATAGTTAACTATATGTAGTCAGGGAGCTCAAGGTGCAACTGAGTAATGCTGTCCTCACATCTTCTATTCTTGCAGTGGACTGCAACTGTGTGAGCAAGAATGTCTGGGAGATTGCCTCAGATCTAAGAGTAAAGAGCTGTGTCTCTCTGGCAAGAGCCCAATTTTCTTTTTACTTTGATTTTGTCTTCTATTGGATGAGAATTTAAATAATTCTCATAGATTAGATCAAAGTAGCAGGCTTTTTCATGTACACTTATTATTTATTGAAGCTAAAATTCCAAGCAAAATAAAAACTTATTCCAAAAGTGAAGAAAAGTTTTCACCTGTGAATTGCCACTACTCTTCAGCTTGGGAAACACAGCAAATCCTTGTCTCAAAATTAAAAGAAAAAAGGAAAATAAAACATTTAAATAAAACAATATAAATTTTTTTCTAAAATTAGTTAACTAAGCCTGTCATACCTTTCGTTTTATGACCATCACTCAGAAATTGCAATTATTAAAATTTGCCTGAGTTTTAAGCATAAGAGCTGTAATGTGGCTTGCTATATCTGTTTATTAAATAGATAGATATATACTGACATTCAATTTTATAGGCATACATAATTCAATATAGGGCTACATACATATGTAGCTATATACAGATATGCATTCATATATACATATATGTGCATTAACACACATATATGTACATTTACATGTATACAGATATAGATATATTTAGATATCTATAAATACTTATATAGCTATAGATAGATAGATATTTCAAATATGTATATATATATATGAACTACACATTACACATATATGTGCTTTTTATGATTTTACATCTCTGTTCATGTCAGATGCAGGAATTAATTTTCTGTTTCTAATGCTTTTATTCGTTTTGGAAATGAAGTTTATTGTGACCACATATAATAATTCTGGAAGCATTTCCTTCTTTTTAATTCTCTTGAAGTTTGTGTAATTTTCACAAGGTTGGTTCCAGTAAATGAAATATAAGATGGAAATTTTCCTTATAGAAAAGTTTTCATTATAGAGTTCCTTTTAGTTTAGTCAAAATAGTTGCCATAATTTATTTCATTGTATTCTACTTTTATGTGTTTGCTATCCTGGGCTCTGTAATAATTTTCCCTTTTTAAATTATAGATTGTGTATTTTGCATCTTTTCTCTGTCTTTTTTATCCACCTTTCCTGCTTCATGAAGCAGCCATGGGGTTTAATTCCTTCCGGGTAATTTTTCTGAACTTTTACGCTCTGCTTCCCTTTTAAACGTAAGTTCCAATTCCAAACCATAACTTTGTAAGTGCATAAAACTGAAGGCTTTAAAGGGCACCCAAGTCATCACTTGAAGGTTTTGCTGCTTTGAAATTTCTTTGGCCAGATACCTTAAATTAGGTCTCTCAAGTTCAAAGTTCCACAGATATTTAGGGCAGGGGCAAAATGCTGCCAGTCTCTTTGCTAAAGCATAGCAAGAATCATGTTTATTCAAGTTCCCAATAAGTTTCTCATCTCCATCTAAGACCACCTCATCCTGGACTTCATGGTCCATATCACTATCACCATTTTGATCACAGCCCCTCAACAAGTGTCTGGGAAGTTCTGAACTTTGCCACATCTTTCTGTCTTCTGAGTCCTCCAAACTGTTCCAACCTCTGCCCATTACCCAGTTCAAAAGTCGCTTCCACATTCTCAGGTATCTTATAGCAATCCCCCACTACCTTGATACCAATTTACTGTATTAGTTCATTTCCATGCTGCTATGAAGAAATACCTGACACAGAGTAATTTATAAAGAAAAGAGGTTTAATAGATTCACAGTATGACCCAGGAATTCCACTCTTCCCTATAGACCCAAGAGAACTGAAAACATATAGTCAAATAAAACTTGCACATGAATTCTTATAACAATGTTATTTATGATAGCCAAAAAGTGGAAACAACCCAAATGCCCATCAGTGCATACATGCAGCAATGTGGATGAACCTTGAAAACATTAAGTTAAATGAAAGAAGCCAGTCGCCAAAGGTCCCACAGTAAATTATCCCATCCATATGAAATGTCCAGAATAGGCAAATCTATAGAGGCAGAAGGTAAATTAGTGGTTGTCAGGGGCTAGGAAGGAAGAGGATGGGAAATGGCTGCAAACAGCATGAGGTGTTTTGGGTGGTGATGGAAACATTCTGCAGTGACATTGTGATGATGGCTACACAACTCTATAGTAAAAGCCAACGAGTTGTTTACTTAAAGTGGGTGAACTTTATGCCATACAAATTATATCTCAATACAGATTTCTTTAAGTCTTCAAGAAGCCCTCTGGTAAAGAAATCAGCCTAACCCAGCCCTGAACTCATCTGACCACCAAAGCTTTTCCTCACATTGGCACCCTGAGAAACTGGTATTCTGAAGAACGCGCTTTAGGAAAAACTGCTTTAGACAACAGGAATTTGGTAAGAAGAACTTTGTTTCTGTGAACACATATTTGCATGTCAGGGTACATCCTTTTGTATTTTATTTATATTTAATGTGTCTATGTCTTGTCTTCTTGGTAGCTTTATAAGAATTTCGAGGAGAGAAAGTATGATTTTGTCTCTTTGAATTCCTACTTCTCACCACCCATAATGTGGTGCACACATAAATATCTGTAAATATGCAGTTAGAACTTTGCATCACTAATGAGTTAATTAAACTATTCAACAAAGCCAAAAATACATATCATGGACCCTCGAGTGCCAGGCACAGTTTTGGGCACTGGGCATACAAAAATAAGGGAGCTTACGGTTTAGTCTGAGACCAGGCCAGGAGCCACGCAGTAGAGGCACCTCTCCCTGGGGTGTCTGAAATCATTCCTGTGAACTCTAAATACCTGAGACAGGGCTCAGTCAATTTAGGAAGTTTACTTTGCCAAAGTTAAGGATGCTCCTGTGACACAGCCTCAGGAGGTCCTGACGACATGCACCCAAGGTGGTCAGGGTACAGCTTGCTTTTACACATTTGAGGGAGACACGAGCCATCAATCAATATGTGTCACATGTACATTGGTTTTGTCTGGTAGGGTGGGACAACTCAAAGTTGGGGCTTCCAGGTTAGAAGCAGATAAGAGACAAAAGGTTTCATTATTTTGCATACTCGATCAACCTTCCACTGAATACACAATTTAGTCTGGCTCAGTGAATCTGCATTTTTACATCAACAATAGGGCAGAGGAAGCAATTAGATATGCATTTGTCTCAGGTAAGCCTCAGAGAGATGACTTTGAACAGAATGGGAAGTAGGTTTGCCCTAAGCAGTTCCAAGCTTGACTTGTCCCTTTAGCTTAGTGACTTTGAGGTCCCAAGATTTAGTTTCCTTTCACATTCCCAAAGCACATTTGTCATGTAGTTGAAATTATTGAACACCTTAATGGAGGCACCGTGTTTGAGATTCACTCCCTTGCTATTGAAAAGCAGACACAACCAATTTCTTCTTCATTGTTGGAAAAGGTTGCTTTCCCTTTGGTTGGGCACCAGTGGAAGACTTGCACTGAACAGCTATTTTGGCCAAAACTATGTCTCTCAAAGGTGAGTCCCACTGGGGCAAATCCAGGTGCTCCTGGTCTGAGCAGCTTATAAGAAGGACAGGCACAGATAGAGCAAGGGATGCACACTCCTCTACCCTCCACTCTGCATCCACCCTGTGATACATCTAGGGTGGCACACAGAATGACTGGCACTGTCTAACTTTTTCTTTATTTAAAAAATTTACTGCATTTGCTTAAGCATGTACATGAGCTTGTCCTGTGACTCCCCAGTCCTGAAGCTCAGCCGAATATCTGAACACTGGGCTTTGAAAAAAAGAAAGTGACCCTGGAGACCAAAAGGACAGCTGGCTCACAGGAAAGCTGCTCATGGCAGGCAAAACTGGAGGACAGAGAAATGCACTAACCTTGGTTGATACAGTTTAGATATTTGTTCCCTCCAAATCTCATATTGAAATGGGATCCCCAGTGTTGGAGGTGGGCCCTGGTGGGAGGTGTTTGGGTCATGGGGGAGGATCCCTCATGAAGGGCTGGGTGCCCTCCCCATGGTACTAAGTCTTGTTCTACTTGTTCCTGCAAAATTGGATTTTTAATCTGGTACCTCCATCCTTCTCTCTCCCGCTCCCTCTCTCACATGTGACATGCCTGCTCCCCTTTGGCCATGAGTAAAAGCTTCCTGAGTCCTTACCAGAAGCAAATGCTGGTGCCATGTTTCTTATACAGCCTTCAGTACCATGAGCCAAATAAACCTCTTTTCTTTATGAATACCCAGACTCAGGTGTTCTTAGCAACACAAACAGACTAATGCATTGGGTCTCCCAGTGAAACGGGAGAGTACCCTGAACCCCTTGCAGGACTTGTGATGGGGTGTGGCTTGTTTGCTGGCTGCTCAAACCCCTTATGGGAAGGGGAGCATGCAGATGGGTAGGTGCAGGAGCTGGGGTGAGCGCTTTTGGGCTCCAGCCCCATGGTAGTGTCTAGGAGCGTGTTACAATTCATGCTGTTTTAGCAGCTGCTGTCCGTGGATGGCAAGTCTTAAACCAGCTCAGTGGAGAGTCAAGATGACAGTCTTTTACACTCTGCCTTCTTGGTACCTGGGTCCTTGTCTGGCATCTAGGAAGAATTAGGTCACTCAGACTTGTAGGTTGGTGAAGGCAGGGATTTTATTGAGTGACGGATAAATGGGATATCTCAGTGGGATGAATGGGGAGCTGGAAAGGGGATGGAGTGGGAAGATTATCTTCCCCTGGAGTTCAGCTGTCCTGCAGCCAATCTCCTCTCTGACTGTCCCCAGCTGAACTCCTTTCAACATTCAGATGCTCCTTCTCTTCTCTCCTTCTCTGCCACTCCACTCTGCTGCTCTGCTGCTCTGCCACTCTTCTGCTCTCCTGTAACTCTGCTGGTGGAGCTTGAGGCTTATATGGGCACAGGATAGCGGTGTGGTGGACCAGAGTGTTCTTGGGTCCACCCCATTTGGGCATGAAAAAAAGAAAGTGACCCTGGAGACCAAAAGGACAGCTGACTCACAGGAAAGCTGCTCATGGCAGGCAAAACTGGAGGACAGAGAAATGCACTAACCTTGGCTGATACAGTTTAGATATTTATTCCCTCCAAATCTCATATTGAAATGGGATCCCCAGTGTTGGAGGTGGGCCCTGGTGGGAGGTGTTTGGGTCATGGGGGAGGATCCCACATTTGGGCATGAAAGTACAAATGCCTGTTCCCATTTAGGGCTGCGGGTTTCCAGACTTGAGGGTGGGGGCGTTTGCCGGGGAACTGCCCTCCTCTACCCAGTATTTCCTTGCCTCTTGTCTGTATCACCAAGATAACACACTACAAATATGGGAAGGAGCTTGGAAAGAACCATGGGAAGAAACTTGATGTGATCACAGCACCCCCAGTGAGGGCAGGCGCTCAGCAGGGCAGCTGTCTCTGAGTTAGCAGCATCAGGAAGCCTCCCCTGGAAGACACTGGCTGCAGGATGAGGCTGCCAGCCTCCACCAGGGACATCTGGACGCCACTCCTGCTGGCTTCTGTGGAGGCCAAGGGCAGCCTTCTTGGCAGGCTGCCAGCTCTCTGGAGGCTCTTGGGGCCCATCCTACCCTCAGGGGACCTGGCAGGAAGGTCAGCTGACTGCTCCTGGGTCACTCACGGATGCCCCTTTTTATGCCCCAAAATGAATCTGAAGAGAAGAAATCCTAGCCTCTGCCAAGCGCTGTCGCCCAGCATTGCAGCCTGAACACATCCAAGGGGCCTGATGAGCAGCACCTGGTCCCCCACTGGCTCAGACGCTTGAAGCTACTGAATTTACATGTAATTAAAGACTCAAGTGCAGACCGCATTTCAAAACAGACACTTGGTCAGAGATAGGAGGCCTTCCCCATCAGATGGTTTTGTTTTGCTTTTTCTCTGCATATGGGCCTTATAATTTGCCAAGGTAAGGTTACAGGGGCCACAGTTGTTTTGTTTGGAGATGAGAAAGCTCAAGAATGACCTAACTCTGTCTTCAAATATGCGGAGGCATTTATTACAAGGAGGGAATGGTTGGCTGTTTTCTTCTTGAACTGCAAGAAAAGGTGGCTCAGCTGAAATCCTAAAGACCTGCACACACGGCCTGCCACACTCAGCCCTTCCCCAGAGCACCTTGCATGTAGGAAGCACTTCTTGCCCTAAAGCCTAGGACTGCCTGCCTTTGAGAAGGAAGCTTAGGCCTTGACCATGGTTGAGGAAGGAGGCCCCAGTATCTATTTTGGAGAAGTCTGGTAGGTTCTACCTGGTGGCTGGCAGCCAGGACACTGACTTTATGGCAGAGGCTTCATTATTTTAAAAAATTAAGGATCCTCAGTGAGGGAGGCCTTATTCATGGCAGGGCCCTTTGTGTGGCTGATAGGTGGGGCATCAAAGCTCTGGCACAGACGTGGCTGAGCTGAACTCCTCTGAATCATAGAGGTGGGGAACATGGAAGCCTATAGCTATGAGAAAGTCCAGGAGGAGACAGGAGAAGCTTTTACCCGTCCAGAAGGAGGGGCAGCCGAAGGAAGGAGAGAGGGAAGAGGGTGGTCCAGTGCAGGCACAGAAGGTTCCAAACAGGCTGCACCTGCACTGGACCACCCTCTTCCCTCCTTCTTTCAGCTGCCCCTCCTTCTGGACAGGTAAAAGCACTTCCATCTTTTCAGTGTCATGGAGGGAGCCCGAGAAGAGCAAACATTGACATCACCACCGCTGCCCACAGCAGTGACACCACGGGCACACTTTTAAAAGGGTCGTATCCTGGACCGGCACTTCCTTGACTCTCTCTGTCCTAAAGCCTCTGGAGAGCCCTTAAATTTGTGGTCCTTGAAGCTATTGTAAAGGTAAGATTTTTTTTTCTCCCCAAGTCCTACCCATCCTGACTTTAAGTTTGTGGTGTCTCTGATAATCTCTGCTCCTGTTCTTTGAGACCATCCCCGTCACCCTCCACTCTCCCACGTGACACCTGTAAAGTCTCTTCCAGGGATCTGGGGCTACATTCTAGGGTCTCTTTGCTCTGAGCTCTCTGAGGCCTCAGGCTGTCATAATAAATCAAATGGCAGGGATCTTCTCCAACATCATCCTTCTTCCTTCTGCTTTCCTACGAGGGTGGCAGGTTCAACGTGTCTGTAGAGGCCTCGCTGTGTGAGGGTCTGAAGAGAATTTCCAATTTGATGCAGGGGAAGGAAGGGAGAGAGAGACTAAAAATTGGTTGATGGCCACCATGTGCCAGGTGCTCCCAATACAGTCTCAAACTCATGACATCTCCCAGCCAATGGATTCACTCCCTTTACCAGTTCCACCTGGAGCTCCATCTCCCAGACAAGCAAAGGCCATGTTGGGGGGCTTTGCAGTCAGCTGCCTGCCATTTCATCTCAGGTGTTACCGTGGGAAAGTTGTTTAACCTCTTTGAGCCTCAGTTCCCTCACATGTAAAATGGACCTACGAGTTTCTCACACAGGGTTGCCCTGGGGCCAGGATTGCCAGATAAAATATAGGATGCCTGGTATAAAAGTTGCATGGGACAGACTTATACTAAATATGCTCCCCAAATTGTTATAGCTCTAAAATATTATGGCTCCAAATCAAATGTCTGAACTCTATGAGACAGAGCAAAAACCACGAACACAAAGAAGTAACAGGGTCAAGAGAAAAGAGCATGCACTTGGAGGGCAGACATCCAGGAACACCATCTCTGCTCTGTGTCAAGCCAGGCTGTCACTTTAACTGATAATTAAATGCTTCTGTGCCTCGCTGACTCCTCTGTGCCATAGGGACCTAAAGAAAGGCCCTACCTCCCTCACACAGCACAGCTAAGTACTTTGAAAACATTAAAAGCATGAAAACAGTATGTTTTACTCTCTATCCGGGATGGGCCAGGAGCAGTGGCTCACACCTGTAATCCCAGCAGTTTGGGAGGCTGAGGCAGGCAGATCACTTGAGGTCAGGAGTTCACGACCAGCCTGGCCAATATGGCGAAACCCTGTTTCTACTAAAAATACAAAAATTAGCTGGATGTGGTGGCAGGCTCCTATAATTCCAGCTCCTCAGGAGGCTGAGGCAGGAGAATCGCTTGAACCTGGGAGGCAGAGGTTGCAGTGAGCTGAGTTCGCACCACTGCACTCCAGCCTGGGTGACAGAGAAAGACTCCATCTCAAAATAAGTAAATACATAAATATAAATACACAGGATGTGTGCAGTGATATGCCAGGAAGTTCATAGAGTGTCAGTTTTCATCTCTCCCTCCTGCACCAAAAAGCAAACTCATCCATCTAAGAGCACTCAAGACTGAAGGAAACCTTTACAGAAAAATCTAGCCTGTTCCTTCTAATCAGCAGGACTGCACTGAAACCGTCATGGAGATTGGCATCCTTTTCTCTTTCTGAAGACCTCTGGGGAGGCAGATTCTACAAACAGCCTTGGCAGCTGATGTGCTAGCACAGTGTAGGATAACTTATAAATACAGTCAGAGCCAAGGAGGGCCTCCAGAATGCAGCCCAGCATGGTGTGCACTCGTGGAGCCCTGACATACAGCTAAGGAACATTCTGAAAACTCAAGCCATCCCTCTCATCACTCCTCTTCCTTTTAATTGCAATTGACCCTTCAGAAATCAAGTAAATTAAGGGGGAGGGGAAAGAAGAATTTGTGCTAGTAAGACAGATTCCGAAGAATGTAAAATGAAATAATACCAAACACACAGAAATAGAATACTTTAGGCAGAAAGAAAGGGATGAAGAGGTAGAGGGAAGCATTTTTCCTCCCAGTACATAGTAGGTCCTCAATAAACATTTGTTAAATGAGTGCATTCTTAGGAAGGACAATCTCCTCATCCATATGAATGAGAAATGTTTTGCTGATACACTATTTGGAAGTGACTGTACTACAGCTGATTTAATGGTAAAGCCATCAAGTCTGCATTTCATCCTTCTACCTGGGTACTGGCTCCAAGAATCTGTTCTCTATCAACACATCAAGACCCTTGACTTAGAGAGCCTCATATACACAGCAGGAATAAAAGGAGAGGAGAAATAGAGAATGAAACTCAGCCTAACCTTCCTCATCTAGCCCTTTTCTAATTCATCCGGTACCTTTTCTAATTCTTCGCAAAGACACTGCGTAAGTTTTCAGAAGCTTTAGCTGGGCCACACCTCCAGGCTTCCAGGATTTGAAGAATTATGTCAATATAGAAACCAGTTTCTGGACAGCGAATAGCAAATCCAAAATCACTCTAAATTGGTGATTGTCAACCAGGATGGTTTTGCTCCTAGGGGACATTTGGCACCACCTAGAGACATATTTTTAAATGGTCACAACTAGCAGTTCTTATTGGCATTTAGTGGGTAGGGGCCAGGGATACTGCCAAAGTGCCTGTAATACACAGGACAGTGGCCCACAACAGAGAATTATCTCAATATCTCAGCAAGGAATTATGTCAACAAAGCCACAATTGAGAAGCACTGTGCTAGATTCAAATCTCTTCTACCGTGTCTTCTCAGACCAAAGTCTTACCTGTGACAACTTATAGTAACCTCTCTGCTTTGGTGTCCACACCTTAATCTACCAAGTCAACAGATATGTACCAAATGCCTATAGCTCTCTACCAGGCATGCAAGCAAGGAAAAAGCAGCAACTTTCCTCAAAATAAAACCATAGAAGTTAGTCAGAAAAGAAAGTGCAAAACAGTGGGTACCTTCTCAAGGAAATAAACCAAACAAAAAATCCAGACAGTAGCCAAGCACAGAAATGCACATAGTGTTTTTGTCATTTCTGAGGAAACAAGTTAGAATATGGATGGCTCAGGCCTCCTGGGTTCAATCTGAAGTCTTTTGTTTTTTCTTTTCTTAAGGAAGCTAATAGACAACAAATTGAGAAAGAATGAGTGGAGGCCGTTTGGTTTAGTATGTTCTCTGCAACACTGTTGCGTTTCCCCTGTAGAAAGTTTACAAATGGTAGTTCAGTTCCAGGTCAGCCCAGAAGAGCTTACTGGACAATAGTCCACCTGAGGTGCCAAAACCACAGGAGTCCAGGGATACACAAGCCCTGAGTTTTCTTGGAAGAAAGAAGGACAAAGGGATTATCTGTTTCTTTTCTCCTTAGACTCCCTAAGTCCCCTGCTCTACACCACCTCTCTCAGAGGTAAGAGTAATCCTAGAAAACCTTTAACTAGTTTTTTTAAAATTTATAAGCAAAGTACATCCTGGAAAAAAAAATCCCACCTCAGACCCATATCCCCAGGCTCTTTTCAAAGAGACAAAGTCACTGTTTATTACATTTCTTCCAGAAATACTCTCTGCATATACTCAAACGTATGCATGCATATATCACCTTTCAAATTATAGGCAGAAATGGAAGCATGCAGTCTGTTGTGTACTTTTTTTTCAACTATTTTAAGTTCAGAGGTACACGTGCGGAATGTGCAGGTTTGTTACATAGGTAAACGTGTGTCATGGTGGTTTGCTGTATAGATCAACCCATTACCTAGGTATTAAGCCCAGCATCTATTAGCTGTTTTTCCTGATGCTCTCCCTTCCCCCACCCCCGTGAAAGGCACCAGTGTGTGTTGTTTCCCGCCCATATGTCCTTGTGTTCTCATCGTTCAGCTCCCACTTATACATGAGAACATGAGGTATTTGGTTTTCTGTTCCTGAATTAGTTTGCTGAGGCTAATGGCTTCCAGCTCCAACCATGTCCCTGCAAAGGTCATGATCTTGTTCCTTTTTATGGCTGCATAGTATTCCATGGGGTATATGTAACACATTTCCTTTATCCAGTCTATTATTGATGGGCATTTGGGTTGATTCCATGTCCTTGCTATTAGGAATAGTGCTGCAATGAACATACGTGTTCATATATCTTTATAATAGAATGATTTATACTGCTTTAGGTATATACCCAGTAATGGAATTGCTGGGTTAAATGATATTTCTGCTCCTAGATCTTTGAGGAATGGCCACATTGTCTTCCACAATGGTTGAACTAATTTGCACTCCCACCAACACGTATAAAAGCATTCCTTTTTCATTGCAACTTCTCCAGCATCTGTTGTTTCTGGACGTTTTAATAATTGCCATTCTGACTTGGCATGAGATGGTATCTCATTGTGGTTTTTAATTTGCATTTCTCAAATGATCAGTGACATTGAGCTTTTCTTCATATGTTTGTTGGCTGCATAAATGTCTTCTTTTGAGAAGTATCCATTCATGTCGTTTGCCCATTTTTAATATTTTTTTCCTTGTAAATTGGTTTAGGTTCCTTGTAGACCCTGGATATTAGACCTTCGTCAGGTGGAAAGATTGCAAAATTTTTTCCCCATTCTTTAGGTTGTCTGTTCACTCTGATGATAGTTTCTATTGCTGTGCAGAAGCTCTTAAGTTTAATTAGATCCCATTTGTCAGTTTTTGCTTTTGTTGCAATTGTTTTTGGTATTTTTGTCATGAAATCTTTGCCCATGCCTATGTCCTAAATGGAACTGCCTAGATTTTCTTCTAGGGTTTTTACAGTTTTGGGTTTTACATTTAAGTCTTTAATTCATCTTGAGTTGATTTTTGTATAAGGTGTAAGGAAGGGGGTTACAATTTTCCACATATAGCTAGCCAGTTCTCCCAGCACCATTTATTAAATAGGGAGTCCTTTCCCCATTGCTTGTTTTTGTCAGGATTGTTGAAGATCAGATGGTTGTAGGTGTGTCGTCTTATTTCTGAGTTCTCTATTTTGTTCCATTGGTCTATGTGTTTGTTTTTATACTAATACCATGCTGTTTTGGTCACTGTGGCTCTGTAGTATAGTTTGGAGTTGGGTAGCATGATGCCTCCAGCTTTGTTGCTTCTGTTAGGATTGTCTTCGCTATTCGGGCTATTTTGTTTTGTTTTGTTTTGTTTTTTTGGTTCTGTATGAATTTTAAAATAGTCTTTTCTAATTCTTTGAAGAATGTCAATGGTAGTTTAATGGGAATAGCATTGAATCTATAAATTACTTTGTGCAGTATGGTCATTTTCATGATATTGATTCTTCTTATCTATGAGCATAAAATGTTTTTCCATTTGTTTGTTTCCTCTCTGATTTCCTTGAGCAGTGGTTTGTAGTTCTCCTTACGGAGGTCCTTCACTTCCCTTGTTATCTGTATTCCTAGGTATTTTATTCTTTTTGTGTCAATTGTGAATGGGACTTCATTTATGGTTCGGCTCTCTGCTTGCCTGTTGTTGGTATAAAGGAATGCTAGAGATTTTTGTGCATTGATTTTGTAAGTTGAGACTTTGCTGAAGTTGCTTATCAGCTTAAGAAGCTTTTGGGCTGAGATGATGGGGTTTTCTAAATATAGGACATGTCATCTGCAAACAGGGATAGTTTGCCTTCCTCTCTTCCTATTTGAATACTCTTTATTTCTTTCTCTTGCCTGATTGTCCTGGCCATAATTTCCAATACTATGTTGAATAGGAGTGGTGAGAGAAGGCATCCTTGTCTTGGTACACTTTCTTTTTACCCATAAATCTACCTTACTTCTTTAACGGCTGCAGAATATCCCATGCTATGAATGTACCATTGGTATCAACATTAGGACAGTGACTAGGAATATTTTGAAAAACCAAAAGTTCATCTTTCTCCTCTTACTTACTACCTCTTGTCCCTACCCTTGTCCTCCATATAGAGCTGCCTTGAACCCTTCACCTTATCTCTCTTGACTGGTTTTACTCTATCCCCTTTCCCAAAGGAGTCATCCCCCAAAAGCATGGACTTTCTGACTCCAACCCAAAACTCACCTTCTTTCAGAGTGGCTGGCCTGACTTATTTTATTCCAAAAGAAAGTAATTTGATTCTAACTAATTATTATATGAATTACCACCAACTCCTTAACCCTCACATTTAGAAAGGAGATGTTAACTAAGTTGAACTCATCATTGGAATTCCAGAGAGCAACAACTGATTTAAAAAAAAAAAAACAGAAGCTGTCAAGAGCATACAATTATGGGTTGGGATCAGCCATATTGGCTATTATCTCATGTCAGAAAATCTAGGCACAGAGAGCTTCCTCTAACTGATGATAATTCTGGGCAATTTCTTCATTTCTTCTAGCTAAAAGTCCAATTACTTTTCAAAAGCTCTAAGGTTTTCCACAATACTCTTAGTAAGGGGCCTGGAAAGAGCAGGCCAGCTGTCTATAGGTATAGGCCATTCATAAATGGGTATCCGTAACATATGGACCCACCGTTCTGAGACTGGCCACGAGTCAATTGAGAAAGAGTATGCCATCACTTGCAGATGCCCACAAGAGAACTTGGACATACAGAAGAGGGATAACTGAGTTGAGACTGGAGTTGTGCAGAATATATATATGTGTGTGTGTGTGTGTGTGTGTGTGTGTGTGTGTATGTGTGTAACTACATAATATATTAATATACGTACAGACATAATTTTAAAAGAGCACAAATGGAAACACATACATAACACAAATGCAGTTACATTAAGAGTGGGGGCCAGAGGGTCCTTTTATCACCTACTGTCAGTGAAGGGATCCAAAATGGTCACAAGAGTCTTCTCCTGCCAGTTTCCAGGCCCTATCCTGACGGCAAACACCAGGACAGTGTCTTTAATCAGAGCTGGCCCAAGGCCCATCACCCTCTAATGTGAAAGCTGTCTACTTTAGCCAAACTTTTCAATTAGGACAGGTACTCTTCTTTTGAACATCCAAGGTGGAGAGGAAAAACGGCTAGGTCTGAACCCTCAGGATGTGCCAGGGCAGTACAAGTGTGGATGGCATCAGATGGTAGGGGGCAGAGAGAGAACCAGGTCAGGGTGGAATGGCACTGAGGGCCATTAGGGCCTTTTGGGGGCCAGGTAAGTGGCCTCAGATGGTGACAGCTACATGGTCCTGGGTAAGTCTGTTCTGGTTGGTTTCATTTGGATCTGGAGGGTCCTACTACACCTGGCTAATTTTTCTATTTTTAGTAGAGACGGGGTTTCACCATGCTGCCGAGGCTCATATTACACTCCTGGACTCAAGTGGTACACCCTCCTCGGCCTCCCGAAGTGCTGAGATTACAAGTGTGAGCCGCTGCACCCGGCCATGTGCGTATCTTTTAAATATACGTAAGTTATTTATGTCTAGATAGCCATCTGCTTCTTAGAATATGCTTAGTGTATTTGCACATCATTTTAAGCCTACCAGTAGTGTTTTGTGAGTATGTATTGTGCACATATGTACACAAATATATATTTCATGTGGAATATATAGTTCGTATATGCGTATTACATCATGAATTTATTTATAATAGCTGTTCCATGTCTTATGCATGAAATCTCCAAGTAAAGGGCATCTAAATTCAGTACAATTAGAAGTAGAATAAACTGTTGCAAATAAGATCTTTGAAAATGTCCTCTGATAGACTTCTGTGGCTGCTTCTCAGGGGAATATACCCAGGATGTGATGGTCAGGACGTAAAGTATACACATAAAAATTTTCCCTAAGTACTAAGAAAATAATCTCCAAAGGAGTCTGCATCCTTGAAGTAAAACATGAACATGCCCATATCCTCACATTGTCACTAATGTTTGGCGTAATCCAAATTTCTAAAGTTAATAAACAAATATAAAGTGTTATTTTGTGTCACTTATTAGGTCACTAATATTTCTGAGTTGCTGTTCACATATTTCTAACCCATTAAAGTTTTCTCTACTTTGAATTACCTCTTCATATTGTGTTCAGAGTCTGCATTTCCCAAGTTTTTTCTAGGTAATATAAGAGTACCTTAAAAAGGTATTATTACTGTTGTAGAAGGAGTATTATGTGTGTCAAAGGATCCTAGTTTCTTTTTAATATTTATTGAATATTAAATAATAAATATTTAATATTTATTAAATCCCATTTTCCCTTAGAACGCCACACAGTCAGCTGAGAACATTATCATTTACGTAAACACTACGTTTCTTAGCCTCCCTTGGAGGTCATTGCGACCATGGAACTAAATTTGGGAAAGTGAGATGAAGGCACGATTATTTGCCTGTGACTTCCAGGGTCTTTCCTTACAGGAGGGTATCTTTTGTCCTTTCTACTCCTCTTTCATTACTGCAGCTTGGATGCACTTATATTTCCTGGAGCTCCAGCAGCTCTATGTGACTATTAGTAAATGAGACATGCCCTAAGTAAAGCTGGGGGAGTGTGGAGTCCCAGTGGCTCATGAGGCACAGCTGCCACACCAAACCCGGATGGCCAAGCCTCTATCAAATTTTGTGTGAGCAAGAAGTATACTAACTTGTTTAGGTGACTGTTATTTGGGAGCTCTTCTGCCACCTTCAATTCAGCCTCTTTTTTTCACAAAATTATTGTTTATTCAATAAGAACACATTTATCTTGAAATACTTTTTTTTAAACTTTTATTTTAAATTCAGGGGTACATGTGCAGGATGTGCAGGTTTGTTACATAGGTAAACATGTGTCATAGGAGTTTGTTGTACATATTATTTCATCACCCAGGTATTAAACCTAGTATCCATTAGTTATTTTTCCTGATGCTCTCCCTCCTCACCCTCCATCCTCTGGTAGGCCCCAGTGTGCATTGTTCCTTTCTTTGCGTCCATATGTTCTCATCATTTAGCTCCCACTTATAAGTAAGAACATGTGGTATAATATTTGGATTTCTGTTCCTGCATTAGTTTGCTAAGGATAATGGCCTCCAGCTCCATCCATGTCCCTGCAAAGGTCGTGATCTTATTCTTACTTTTTATAACTGCATAGTATTTCGTGGTGTATATATACCACATTTTCTTTATCCAGTCTATCATTGATGGGCATTTAGATTGATTCCACATCTGTGCTATTGTGAATAGTGCTGCAATGGACGCATGCATGCATGTGTCTTTATAATAGAATGATTTACATTCCTTTGGTTATATACCCAGTAATAAGATTGCTTGGGTGAATGTTATTTATTTCTCTAGGTCTTTGAGGAATCATCACACTGTTTTCCACAATGGTTGAACTAATTTATATTCCCATCAACAGTATAAAAGTGCTCCTTTTTCTCCATAACCTTGCCAGCACCTGTTATTTTTGGACTTTTTAATAATCACCATTCTGACT
Organism: Homo sapiens; assembly: GCF_000001405.40. Lineage (NCBI taxonomy): Eukaryota > Metazoa > Chordata > Mammalia > Primates > Hominidae > Homo > Homo sapiens. The sequence goes on from NC_000002.12 coordinate 97,079,471, forward strand.
GGTGTGAGATAGTATCTCACTGTGGTTTTTAATTTGCATTTCTCTACTGATCAGTGATGTTGAGCTTTTTTTCATATGATTGTTGGCTGCATGTATGTCTTCTTTTGAAAAGTGTCTTTTCATGTCCTTTGCCCACTTTTTAGTGGGGTTGTTTTGAATTTGTTTAAATTTCTTTTTTATTTTATTTTTTCTTTTCTTTTCTTTTTTTTTTTGAGACGGAGTCTCACTCTTTTGCCCAGGCTGGAGTGCTGTGGTGCAATCTCGGCTCACGGCAACCTCCACCTCCTGGGTTCAAGCAATTCTTCTGCCTCAGCCTCCCGAGTAGCTGGGAGTACAGGCATGCACCACCACGCCCAGCTAATGTTTATATTTTGACTAGAGATGTGGTTTCATCATGTTGGCCAGGCTGGTCTTGAACTTCTGACCTCAGGTGATCCTCCTGCCTTGGCCTCCCACAGTGCTGTGATTACAGGTGTGAGCCACCATGCCCAGCCAAGTTTCTTACAGATGCTAGATATTAGACCTTTGTTAGATGCATAGTTTGCAAAACTTTTCTCTCATTCTTTAGGTTGTCTGTTTACTCTGCTGTTAGTTTCTTTTGCTGTGTGGAAACTCTTTAGTTTAATTAGATCCCATTTGTCAATTTTGGCTTTTGTTGCGATTGCTTTTGGCATCTTTGTCATGAAATCTTTGCCCATGTCTATGTTCCGAATGGTATTGCCTAGGCTTTCTTCTAGGATTTTTATAGTTTGGGGTTTTACATTTAAGTCTTTAATTCATCTTCAGCTGATTTTTTTATTAGGTGTGAGGCTGGAGTCCAGTTTCAATTTGCACATATGGCTAGCCAGCTTTCCCAGCACCATTTATTAGAGAATCCTTTCTCCATTGCTTGTTTTTGTCAGGTTTGTCAAATATCGGATTGCTGTGGGGGTGTAGTCTTATTTCTGGGTTCTCTATTCTGTTCCATTGGTCTATGTGTCTTTTCTTGCACCAGTGCCATGCTGCTTTGGTTACTGTAGACCTGTAGTATAGTTTGAAGTTGAAGAGCATGATGCCTCCAGATTTTTCTTTTTGCTGAGAATTGCCTTGGCTCTTCAGGCTCTCTTTGGGTTCCACATGAATTTTAAAATATTTTTTTTTCTATTTCTGTGAAGAACTTCCATGGTAGTTTAATGGGAATAGCATTGGATCAATAAATTACTTTGGGCAGTATGGCCATTTTCATAATATTGATTCTCCCTATACATGAGCATGGAATGTTTTTCCATTTGTATCCTCTCTGATTTCTTTGAGCAGTGGTTTGTTGTTCTCTTTGTAAAGGTCCTTCACTTCCCTTGTTACCTGAATTGCCAGGTACCTTATTCTTCTTGTAGCAATTGTGAGTGGGAGCTCACTCATGATCTGGCTCTCAGCTCGATTGTTGTTGGTGTATAGAAATGCTATAACAATTTTTGCACATTAATTTTGTAACTTGAGACTTTGCTGAAGTTGCTTATCAGCTTAAGAAGCTTTGGGGGCTGGGCGCGGTGCCTCATGCCTGTGATCCCAGCACTTCTGGAGGCCGAGGTGGGATGTGTGTGCAGTGGTGAAGGGAACGGCTCCTTCCTCATAATGGACCCTCCGCCCCCAGCCTGTGCAGTGCGGGGGCTGCTGGCAGGCAGAGTGCCGCCCCAGGGGCCCTGGGAGCTGCAGGGCATATTGCTGCTGAGCCAGAATGAGCTGTACCGCCAGATCCTGCTGCTGATGCACCTGCTGCCGCAAGACCTGCTGCTGCTAAAGGTCAGGCCTCCCCTACGGCCCACTTGGTCCTAGGCCTTCCCCTCTTGGTGGTAGGAATGGCCCATCCCTGCCCATGCTCTACCTCTGAAACCTCCTGGGTGGTAGGTCTGGCCTTGCCCGGTCTTTGGCTAGGCCCCTGCCCATGTGCCTGGCTCTCCTGAGGCCACATGGGTGCCTTTTTCTCCCAGCCCTGCCAGTCTTCCTACTGCTACTGTCAGGAGGTGCTGGACAGGCTCATCCAATGCGGGCTCCTGGTTGCTGAGGAGGTAGGCAGGGCAGTTGGAGACAAGATCCTTGCCTGGAGCCTGGCCTCCTCCAGCCTCCCACCCTGAGTGCCAGCTGCCCCAGGCTCCTCCTCTGCCCTGTGTGTGCTGTGGGGGTGGGCAGCCCCTGGCCTTGCAGCGGGGAAGCCTAGCTCGCACCTCTGCTCCCTGTGCCTTGGGATATGGCCACCTATGCCCCGGTTCTGTGTGTGTCTCTCTGGATAGCACTGGACATGTGTGCCTCTGAGGTTCTCTGCACACCTCCTGCTCCCCACATTTCTTGGCCACAGGGCTACTGCCCTTGAGGGTGGGAATTCACTTCCTCTCACTCTGCAAGTTGGCCCAGCAGGTGCTGGGGCATGGCTCTGGCCATCCTCTTGGGTCTCTAGGTCTGCTTTTACTGGTTTCACCTGCATGTACCTGGTCTGGGGGTGTAGGGTTGATCCCTGGCCAGCTTGTCAGAGAACAATGGCTCCGGGTCCGGCCAGCCTGTGACACAGGGCAACGGCGACTGAGCAGAAAGCTGCTGTGGAAACCGAGTGGGGATTTTACTGATAGTGACAGTGATGACTTCAAAGAGACCGAGGGCCAGTACTCCAGGGTGTGTTTCAAAAAGCTGCCCCTGGAGGGAGGTGGTAGGGAGGTGGTGGGGAGCTGCACTCACCCCGGCCTGTCCCCTCCAGCTCAGCCAGCAGTCACACTGCCCAGATTTCTTTCTTTTCCTCTGCCGCCTGCTCAGCCCGCTGCTCAAGGCCTTTGCACAGGCTGCCGCCTTCCTCCGCCAGGGCCAGCTGCCCGATACTGGTGAGGCCCTTGTTCCCTTGCAGTCCTCGAGGCAGGCTGTGTCTGTGCTGGGTGCCAGGTCTAGGTCTTCTCTCTTCTGCAGAGTCGGGCTACACAGACCAGCTGTTCCAGTTCCTGCAGGCCACCGCCCAGGAAGAAGGGATCTTCGGTGAGTCTCAACCAGTCAGCCCAGGCTCCTGCAGGCAGTGGTGTTTGCTGGTGGCTGCTGCCCCCTGCCAGACAGTGACAACCCAAGTCTAGGAAGGTGGGCTGCAGAGTACAGACAGTCTTCTGTCCAGTCTGAGTTCTATCCCTCCCGGGGCTTCTTTAAACAAGAGGAGAGAAGCCTGTGCCCAGTGGCTCCCTGTCCTCCCTACCTAGAGCCTTCACTTCTCTCTTCTTTCCAGAGTGTGCGGACCCAAAGCTTGCCATCAGTGCTATCTGGACCTTCAGAGACCTAGGGGTGAGAGGAGCCAGTGTCACCATCTTCTGTCCCCCTGCTCCCACCCCAATAGAGTGGCTCAGGGAAACCCAGCTATGTCCCCATCACTCCACAGGGCTGGCCTGATGGTGCCTCATTAAGACCCTGGGATTTACTTGGTGTCTTCCAGCAACAGATGTGGTGATGGGTTGGAGAAGGTGGGATGGTTTCCTGCCTCTTGGTCTCCCAAATCACTGGCTCATCTTTCTAGGTGGGGCTGCTTTGCGGCAGCATTTGCATGCAAACACTGAGGTCTAAGGGGCCAGAGGTCTCAAGGCAGGTTTCTGGGGGACAGGCCTGGCCCCTGAGCCATGCAGACACAGTCCCTGTGGTGAGCGCACTCATGGCGCATCTTCCATGGCCCAGGTTCTGCAGCAGACGCCGAGCCCTGCAGGCCCCAGGCTCCACCTATCCCCTACTTTTGCCAGCCAGGACAATCAGGAAAAACTAGAACAGTTCATCCGGCAGTTCATTTGTAGCTAGAACTGTGAGGAGGAGCCTGTGCTGAGACTTCTCAGCCCCAGAACACAGCTGTGTCCTAGAGCCAGAAGATGGAGAGGAGGCTGCAAACCCTTAGCTGCTCTATAAATATAATCATTGAGGCTTGATTGTCCCTTGCCATCTCTTGCTTTTTCCCTCCTTTGATGTGATAAACAAGGGGACGAGACGAGTTGTCTTTTCCCCAGCCCAGCAGCATCTTTTTGGCGTATGTGTGTGTATTTGCTCTCTTCTTCCCAGTCCCACAAAATGCCCCAACTTGTTCCATGAAACAAAGCCCAAAAGAAGACAAACAGCACAAGCCAAGCTGCTGCTTTGACCCGACGCATTTATTGAAGAGAGCTCTGTCCTTCTCCCTTCTACCGAGAAGAGGCGGCTTGCAGGGCTGGCACCTGCCCACACCTGCCACTGGGCCTTTCCCTGGGCTAGGCTGAGTGGGAGCAGATGCCCTCATCCTATGTCGGGCCTGTGCAGGAGCCATCACACCACCTTGTTGATGATGACACCTAGTTCTTCAATCTCACACTGGACTTCATCCCCCTTCTGCAACAGAGCAGGCCATGACGGTGTCAGCCCTTCCGTCAGACACATACACAAGCCTGTACTTCTCAAGTCTGAGCCAAGCCTGCCAGGCCTTTGGGGCCCTTGCTCTCTTTGCTTTTCGCTAACCTACCTTGAGAAAGACAGGAGGTTTCCTGAATACACCGACACCTGGGGGGGTCCCAGTTAGGATGACATCCCCTGGGTAAAAGGTAACAAACCTGGAGCAAAGCAAAAGGACCCAGTGAGACCAGGGGCTGGCTGAGTGGCCACAGCCAAAGGTGGAGGGCTCAGGTCAGCCTCCACATGTGTGGCAGGTGGAGCGGGGCTGGCAGGACAGCCCTTGTCACTCACTGGGAGACCCAGGCTATCAGGTCCTCTGTCTTGAATACCATCTGGTTGGTGTTGCTGCTCTGGACGACTTCCCCATTCACTCGGCAGCAGATCTTTAAGTTGTGTGGATCTGAAATGCAAAGATGGAACCTTGGAGTTATCCCTTTTCCCCCTCAAACCCCCCAGTGTTTTACAAACACAACTGTAGGGGCGCTTCGTGACTTGGCAGGTGAAAGGGCTTTAAAGTGCCCACATTGACTCAGTGCACTATGTTAGAACTTTCTGTATAGACACTGGCCTTCTCAGGCCTCCCTGCATCCCCACCAAGAGCACCAGGCAGTAGTCACTTGAATGAGTTGAGAGGATGTTCCAGACTCTGAAGGAGAAGAGAAAAATGGCTAGGGTTTTTGCCTCAAGAAAGGGCATCTGTCTACAGCATAGGAAGATACCTGTAGATACAAAAATGACTCCCGGGCAGGGCCAAGCGTGGTGGCTCACACCTGTAATCATAGCACTTTGGGAGGGCAAAACAGGTGAGAACTGATTAAGCTCAGGAGTTCAAAACCAGCCTGGGTAACACAGTGAGTGCTTGTCTCTATGCAAAATAATAAAAACATTAGTCAGGCGTGGTGGTGCGTGCCTGTAGTCCCAGCTACTCAGGAGGCTGAGGTGGGAGAACCGCTTGAACCCAGGAGGTTGAGGCTTCAGTGAGCTGGGATTGGGCCACTGCACTCTAGCCTGGGTGACACAGTAAGACCATGCCAAAAAAAAAAAAAAAAAGACTCAGAATCTATAAAGCAGTGAGGCAGTGGTTCTAGCCGGGACAGAGAAGCCTCGTGTATCAGCCGCTGGCAGGGGATGGATTACTGTAAGAACATCCTGGCTAACCAGCACTTTTAACTGTTGGTGTTGGTCTTAGTGTTCTACCACCCTTAAGTAGAGCAGCTGAAACACAATTTAACTTTGCCGAGGACTCTGTGTGGGTGCTGTGAGGCACTGGGGTCTTTGGTATCCTGGCATGGCTGGCCCATGTGGACACCCCCCACCTCCACCACAGTTGTGGGTGGCTGTGTGTTAAGAGGCTGCGCTCTGCCCTCTGGCACACTGCCTCCAACCTGGCGCTGTCCCCTCACTGTGTGTGGTCAATGCTGTTGTTTCCACAGTGGCTGGGTGAGTCACACTGGCTTTCATCTGTAGTGTGGAAAATGCCTGGGCCTTGCGATAGCTATGCTCCATGATGCTCAACTTAGATTATTTCAGATGGTGGCAGCCGCAGGAAGCCCGATCCACCCATCAGCTCAGTGTTCTTTGTAATTTACTTCACGCATGCAGTTTCACATCCTCTGCAGTTGTGTTCCCTCTAGGGGGCTTGGGAAGGAAGCCCATGGGAGAACTGGTGGCTGAGGATAAAAGACTTTCCCTGTATGGAGTCAGCAGTCAAAGGGCAGCCAGGGAGGGCAGGTGCCACATGTACCTGAACCCATGCTCCTCCCTGGAGGGCTGTTCATCTGTGCAATGGTAGGTACCAGGGGGCAGGGACCAGGGACCTACCTGCTACACTGTCCTTGGTCACCAAGGCAGGGCCCAGAGGGCAGAAGGTGTCGAAGGTTTTTCCCAGCAGCCACTGTTTCCCATTGCGTCTTGTTAGCCAGTCACGAGCACTCACGTCATGAGCCACAGTGAAGCCGGCCACGTGGGCCATGGCATCTGTGGCCTATGGGGGCAGGGGATTTGGCCATACAGGAGGTTAGATCACGGGTGACACCAACACCTGTGGCAAGGGATCTCAAAGCTGTTATCCCATGTTAGTAGCCAGAGCCAGCCAAAGGTGGGTGAAGGGAAAGGCAGTGTCAGGGAGCAAGGAGGCTGACTGCTTCCTAGTGTCAGGGACAGCTGGTGCCGTGTGTCGGTGAGTGAGGTCAGAACTAGGAGAGGCAGGAGCTGGGGCCTCTGCTGCACTCTGGCCTGGGAGCCCACCCTTTCCACCTCACCTTGATGTGCTTGCCTTTCTTTCCAATGACCACGGCCAGCTCCACTTCCCAATCTACCTCCTGTAGGGTGGGAGAGGAATAGTGAGCCGCAGTGGCTTCGGGGCCCATTATCTATGCTCAGAGGCTGTACGCCATGGATCTCTGTCAGTATGGCTTGGCTGCCATCCCACGTTTGCCATCACCCTGAACCAGAGCCCAGTGAATGACAAGGGAGGTGTGACTTGTAGACCCATACATTTTGGGCAGTGGCAGACAGCATCATGGAATACAGGCACAGGTCCCCACACCACTGTGACTGCAGAAGAGCAACACGTGTCCAGGGCACTGAGTTTAAAAGTCACTCTGGATACTTTTAACAAAGGATAAATACGAAGTAATATCCCCTAGCAATATGTAACCTTACTGTGTGTCAGGCACTGTTCTAAGTGTTTTAATCTATTAACTCACTTTAGTAAGAGAAAGATTGACATGCCACAAAGGACTTGAGTAAGCAATTCACAAAAAGGTAACGGACATGGCCACAAAACATGAAAAAATGCTCAGCCTCTCCCATAATCCATAAAATACACTATAAAATAGATATAATTTGGCCTTCAAAATTGGTGGCTCTTTCTAATAATAACCAGAGTTGGTATAAGTACACCTGACATCCAGATGTTGGTCTCTAATACCACTCCCCACTAAGGAGCACTGGGTTCCTTGGTCCAAGACAGACAGTACATGATGAGCCTGGAACGTCTTGGCCAGAAAGCAAATATATGCTAAAAGCTTGGGGATGGAACAAACTTGAAGGTCCCTCATTGGCCAAATTGAGGTCACCTGAAGAATGTAAATGATGGATTACAACCAATTGAATAAAAACAAAAAGGAATTCACAGTGATATTGAAGACACAGGAATAAAGAGGGAGGCAGCTTTTTTTCTTTTTTTTTGAGACGGAGTCTCACTCTGTTGCCCAGGCTGGAGTGCAGTGGTGCAATCTCAGCTCACTGCAAGCTCCGCCTCCTGGGTTCACACCATTCTCTCGCCTCAGCCTCCCGAGTAGCTGGGACTACAGGCACCTGCCACCACGCCTGGCTAATTTTTTGTATTTTTAGTAGAGATGGGGTTTCACTGTGTTAGCCAGGATGGTCTTGATCTCCTGAACTCGTGATCTGCCCGCTTTGGCCTCCCAAAGTGCTGAGATTTCAGGTGTGAGCCAATGTGTCTGGCCAGGCTTTTTTCATAGAAGAATGCCAGCTAACAAAAACTGCATGATTTAGAAAAATCATTGTTCTTGGCCGGGTGCAGTGGCTCATGCCCATAATCCCAGCACTTTGGGAGGCTGAGGCAGGTGGATCACCTGAGGTGAGGAGTTCAAGACCAGCCTGGCCAACATGGTGAAACCCTGTCTCTACTAGAAATACAAAAAATTAGCCAGGTGTGGTGGTGCATCCCTGTAATCCCAGCTACTAGGGAGGCTGAAGCAGGAAAATTGCTTGAACCTGGGAGGCAGTGGTTGCAGTGAGCTAAGATGGTGCCACTACATTCCAGCCTGGGTGACAGAGACTCCATCACAAAAGAAAAGAAAAGTCATTGCTCTTCATCCCCCAATGCAATAATGGGTCCAGTAAGGATGACTACAGGATCCTTGGATGAGAATCTATGGGGCAATAAGATAGTTATGTGATCTCAAACTACCACATAGATTGCTTGTTAATTACAAAAATGGAAATGCGTCTTCACAATGGAGGGACCTAGTGAACGTCAGCTAAACCAAGTGGTCAAATTCTGGGACCACTGACATGAGCCTCCCAGTCAGATGCAATGGGAAATGTATAACATCTTTGTAGATCTCTTGATAAAAATGCTTACCCTGACACTAATCATGAAGAAACAACCAGACAAACCCAGGATGTGAAACATGCTATGAGACAACTGGATTCTTCAAGGAAAGGGCAGGGGGGATTGTTTGAGGTCAGGAGTTGGCAAACTATGGCCAGCTCACTGTCTGCTATAATCAACTTTGATTGGAAACCCATCATTCATTTCTGTATCGTCCCTGGTGGTTTTCACACTATAACAGCAGAGTTGAATTGTTGCAAAACAGACCATATGACACTCAAAGCGTAATATTTACTAATTGGCTCTTGATATGGTTTAGCTCTGTGTCCCCACCCAAATCTCAACTTGTAGCACCCATAATTCTAATGTGCTATGGGAGGGACCCGGTGGGAGATGACTGAATCATGGGGGCAGGTCTTTCCCGTGCTGTTCTCATGATAGTGAATGGGTCTCACGAGATCTGATAGTTTTAAAAACGGGAGTTTCTCTGCACAAGCTCTTTTCTGCCTGCTGCTATCCACCTAAGATGTGACTTGCTCCTCCTTGCCTTCTGCCATGATTGTGAGGCTTCTCTAGCCACGTGGAACTGTAAGTCCAATTAAACCTTTTTCTTTTGTAAATTGCCCAGTCTCGGATATGTCTTTATTAGCAGCAAGAAAACAGACTAATACAGCCCTTTAAGAAAAAGTCTATGGAACCCTGTTCTAGGTTAAAACTACTAAAGAGATATAACTGAATACAGTGTGTGCCCTTGGTTGATCACAGAGCAACAAAGTAACCAAATTAAAAGTCATCTTTGGGGCAACTGGATTTCATATTAAATATCATTCAAGTTAATTTTCTTGGCTGTGATAATGGTATGGTCATGCAAGCCATTGTCCTTATAAAGTGTCTATTTCAGTTTTATGACAATATTTGCAATGTGTCACCCCAACCCCTGCCAAAAAAAAAATGTGTGTTTGCCATGTGAAGGGCAGGGAGAGGGCAAGGGAGAGAAAGCAAATACAGCAAATGTCTACAGTGAAACCAGGTGAAAAGTATATGAGCATTCACTGTATTATTTCAGCTTTTCTATAATTCCCAAGACATTTCTAAAATAAAAATTTGCGAGGAAAAGTAACCAGTGTTAGTAAGGGTATATACACTAACGATGGATGTGTAAGTTGCTCTTACAATTTGCTTAAAGGACAATTGGGAGATTTTCTCAAGGGTTTTGAAATACTGCCTGTAGTTTGATAATATTCAAATCCTAAGAGTTCATTCAAAGGAAATAATAAGGCCGGGTGTGGTGACTCACACCTGTAATCCCAGCACTTTGGGAGGCTGAGGCAGGCAGATCACAAGGCCAAGAGACTGAGACCATCCTGGCCAACATGGTAAAACCCCATCTCTACTAAAAATACAAAAATTAGGTGGGCGTGGTGGCATGCGCCTGTAGTCCCAGCTACTCGGGAGGCTGAGGCAGGAGAATCACTTGAACCCAGGAGGCGGAGGTTGCAGTGAACCAAGATTGTACCACTGCACTCCAGCCTGGCAACAGAGAAAGACTCTGTCTCAAAAAAAAAAAAAAAAAAAGGAAATAATAATATATTAATGGACATGCAAAGTCTTTTCTACATAAGGATGTTCATTGCGACATTTATTTATAGAAACCAAAAACTGGAAACAAGTATCCAGCAGTAAGGTACTCAGGAATATAAACTACCCTGTACATCACAAAACTCCAAGGTAACCTAAATATGTCAGGGAGAATATTTAATGGCATGAAAAAATGCTCCTGATGGAGTCTTAAGTAAAAGGTAAGTATATGTACAGTATAAACATATACAGGAGTGGAGAAACACTGGGAAGGTAGACAGAAAAACATTAATATTCCGAGCCATGGGCAGTGGGATTATGGGTGACGTAATTTTTAAATGTTTATCTCTGTTTTATCTACAGTGAAGGTGTATTGCTTTTGTAACCAGGAAAACACGTACATTAACTTTTTTTTTCCAAGGCCAGTGTTACTACTGTGTGTATAATCCTGTAGAGTTTCTGTTGAATGCACTACTGAGCGAGAGGTGGCTCCAGTAGGCTCAATACTGAGCTCAGAATGCCCTTGTGATGGGCCCAGTGACTAGGGAGGGCAGTGGGGAGGCACTGACCTGGCTCTGTGGTGGGAGGACCACCTCATCATAGGGCCCCACGATGGAGCTGGCAAACTTGCTGAAGATGATGGGCTCCTTGGGCACGGGCACGTTCTGTTCTTTGCAGTGGTCCACATAATTCATGCCCACACACACCACCTTATCTGGCCATGTGACTGGAGCCAGGAAGGTTACCTCCGACCATGGTAGGACTGGCAACTGGGCAGCCAAGGCTCTGTAGAGACCAGAGCAGGTGAGAGGGTCTGGCTGGGAACAGGTGGGCAATCCCGGGCAGGCTGGGCAGATCCTGCAGCAGCTACAGGTTTTGCTTTTTGAAATCTATTTCCTAGCTCTATCAACCATCAGAGTCAGTGTGAAAACCACTGACTATTGTCCTTTGCTGTCAGAGCAGGGCTTTTATTTATCCAGTATTGATTTCCTCTCCCCCTTAGGTAACTCATGTCCATGTAAAAGATACAAACTGGAATACATGGAAAGGTCTCCCTTTCCCCTTCTGGTTACCCCGTTCCCCTGGCTCTTCGCAGCTACTCTATGGATATTCTTCTCCCACCCTTTTGTATGTAATGATAGCATACTATTTACATCTTTTAAAAAAACAACTGACTTTGGAGATCTCTGCTTAACAATATGTAACAATACATAGAGAGTGTCCTCTTTATTTCTTGTGGCTGCATATTACTGCTCTATAGAGATATACCCAAGTCCCTAATGAGGGGCATGGAGATTTCCAGTCTTTGCAGAATATGGCAATATGGGAACATACTGTTAATACTGTGAGCTGTGAAACATTTGTATTTTTTTCCATTTTAATAGATGAAAATGACATCTTAAAGTATTTTTAATTTATTGTTCATCAGCTCCTTAGACCAGATTCTATAGGGGTCCAGGCTTCAGGGACACTCTCACCTAATCTAGTCCAAACCCAGGAACCAAGTGTCTTATAGAAAACCTCCTTGCAGTCCTCTCTCCTTGTAGGAGCTGGGAGTCTATATCACTCCCCCAGCTGCATAAGATGCCTTTTAGGACCCCCGGGCCCAGACCCGTCAGTCAGTCCAGGACTTCATTCCCAGAGGAGGCAGTGTGATGAAGTATAGAGTCCTGGTTCCAGCACCACATGTATGGCCTTGAAATTGTTAATCACCTCCCCTAGCTCTCTGTTTTCTCCTCTGAAAACTGAAGATGTTATTATGTAAGATTTCTAAGGATCTTTTAAGAGAACGGGAGAAAAGGAAAGGTGGGGTTACTCTGCTCCCTTGCAAAAGAGCTACCTGCTGGTGCTGTTTCCCAGAGCGGGGAGGGTGCAGGGGGACCAGGGCAGCTGCTTCAGGGCGATGCTGCCCACTTACTTACCTTCTTGCCACTGAGAGGGTGGCCTCTCCCTGCTCTAGGAACTGCGTCATCGTCTTTGGGAGTGTGGGGTCAAAGGCATTGAGGTTGATAACCCCTCCACCATTCCCTGTCTCCAGGCCCAAGTGAGGCCCCACCAGGTGGGGTGCCCGGAACTGCACTAGTCTCATGTCTCTGGAGGGTTGAAAGGGCCACTTCTGAGCCTGCAGCAGAGCTGTGAGTAATCTTCTTCTACCAGACACCAGCATCAGAGCCTGCAGAGAAAAACACAGGATCCAGGAGATGGAGGATCTCAGAGCCATCATCAGCATCCCTGATATTCCTAGGGCTATAGCCCAAGGCCCTTTGCCCCATCAACCGTTCCCTGCATACCACACGGGAAGCGGTCCAGGCTTGTATTTTACCTGCTATACTTCATAAGGTGAAACTTTTGTAGAGGAGCAACTACTACATGCTACGCAGTAAGTCCCAGGGATTCCAGCGTTCCTTCAACCAGTGCTTTCTGAAAGTTCCCACTGTGCTTGGCTCTGCTGTAGGTATTGGGGAAACAATGTAGGTCAAACTCAGCCCTGCCATTCTCCCTGCACAGGTCACAGATGTTAACAACTGACGTAAGATTCAGCTATCAGGACTAATGCTGTGAAGATGGTCAGGGGCTCTACCCTTGTCTAGTTTCTGGAGGAAGTGATGTGAGCTGAGCTGGGCTAAATGAGCAGGACCAGGAATTAGCTGGGTGGCAGCCTAGCATGGGCAAGTGACGCTGGTGAAACTGGCTTCACAGTGGCCATAAGCAATTTTTTAAATGCTATTTTGGTCCTGTTTAAAATGGTTTCCACTGCTCACATGATCAAGCTAGAACCTCTACCAGGCTGTCCTTGTCTTCTAGGAGCAACACCCCCACCTGCCTCCCCAGATAATAATTATTTCATTTCTCCTGATAGAGAACAAGTTGCCTGAGGGAAGAGGCTGCAGACAAACAGCAAGGTCTAGGCCTGACAGCCATCACTTGGTCATCTCCTCCCTGGATCCAGGGCACATGTCTGTCTCTTTCACTGCCCAGCACTGTGCCTGGTGCACAGAAGGCTCTCAGTGACTTTCTGCTAAATGAACAAATAAGTGACAGAAGCAGGGGCTTGACATTTCACTACTTGGGAAAGCTTAATGCTTGTTAACTTCAGGAGACATGGCTGTGCCTTTCCTCCTCAAATCACCTAGAAAGTATCCACAAGGGCCAGACGCAGTGGCTCACACCTGAAATCCCTAGCACTTTGGGAGGTCGAGGTGGGTGGATCACTTGAGGTCAGGAGTTCAAGACCAGCCTGGCCAACATGGTGAAACCCTGTATCCCCTAAAAATGCAAAAAAATTAGCCAGGACTGGTGGCGGGCACCTGTAATCCCAGCTACTAGGGAAGCTGAGACAAGAGAATCACTTGAACACAGGAGGCAGAGGTTGTAGTGAGCCAAGAACATGCCACATCCCTCCAGCCCAGGCAACAGAGCGACTCCAAAAAAAAAAAAAAAAAAAAAAAGAAATTATCCACAGAGCTCAGGTCCTGTTTTGAGTCCAAGGCTCCACTTAAAGACAAACACTATTCTCTTGTTTTGTTCTGAATCCAAGTCTGGCCACTATTCCTTACCACATGGTGCCTTCCCTGAATGGTTCCTTGCTCTTCCAACAAAGGCAGTTTGTATTGTACAGCCTTCTATGCCCAAAAATGTTGAGGCAGCTGAGCCCCAGACTCTTGGTCCTCACTTGGAGATTCAATCTGCCTTGTTCAGTTAAAGACTCATTAGACTTAGGTCACCACTGTTGTGGCCCGCCAGTTTGACTAGAAAACAGAGTTTTGACTTCTCTGCCCTGCTATCTTACACAAGCACCAACTGTGCCACTGTCAAAAGGCTGTTCGAGCCAAAGTGCACACACTCAGACACTCCACATGCTAACATAACAGTAACTGCTGCCGCTGAATGCCAACTATTAAGTGCTCTACCTACAATGTCTGATTTAATTCTTTTTTTTTTTTTTTTTTTTTGAGATGGAGTCTCGCTCTGTCGCCCAGGCTGGAGTGCAGTGGCGCAATCTTGGCTCACTGCAAGCTCTGCCTCCCGGGTTCATGCCATTCTCCTGCCTCAGCCTCCCCAGCAGCTGGGACTACAGGCGCATGCCGCCACGCCCGGCTAATTTTTGTATTTTTAGTAGAGACGGTGTTTCACTGAGTTAGCCAGGATGGTCTCGATCTCCTGACCTTGTGATCCGCCCACCTCGGCCTCCCAAATTGTTGGTATTACAGGAGTGAGCCACGGCGCCCGGCCTGATTTAATTCTTGACGCTTGTGGAAGGTAGGTACTGTTAGTCCCATTTTACAGATGAAACAGTTAAGGCTTAAAGCGGTTAAGGGATTTGCCCAAGGTTACACAGTCTTAAAGCTAGGAGGGGAGGGAGCTGGGATGTGAATCCAAGTCCAGGTGACATTGAAGTCCTTGGTTCAGAAGCCTGTAATGCAAGCAAGAAAATCTAGCTTCAGCCCCATCTTCCTACCAAGGACATTTTAACCCAGAATGTTGTGGTGAGAAGTGGGGACCTTCCATAGGAAATCCTCCAAAGGCCCTAAAGATTGTAGTGAGAAGTAGGGACCTCCCACAGGAGATCCTCCAGAGGCCCTGCAAACAGCCATGCGTGGGGAAACTACAGGCGCTCTCTGGCTATTGCCTCAGGGACGAGGCTGGTTACCAGCTCTCCAAGAGAACTCCAGGCCCCATTGACTGTTCCCTTCCCACATGACACACACATGCAGGTTCATTCCAACCTTACAGCAATCCCCTCAGGTAAAGCGCCCTCACTTTACAGAAGAGGACACTGAGACTCAAAGGGATGACGTCAGGTGCCCAAGGTACTAGTCAGAAAGTGGCCCTGGGGCTTCTGCAACAACCACTATGTCACACAGTCCGAGCTCAATCCAACTCTGCAAGAGTCCATAAGCAAAGGGGCGGCGACGTGAGGTGGAAACAGTAGCCTGAAACGTGGGTGTGCACGTCGGATCCCATCCCACCGTCCACTCGCCTGGAAACCCCCAGTTTCCCCATATGCCCAGCTTCGTCCCCTGCAATTAGTGAGGGCTCACATGGGTCCGCCCCATCCGTGTGGTCGGAAACGGCCGGGAACCTGGTTCTAGTTCTGCCCTCCGCGGGAGACCTGCGCCAGGGACACCCTTCTGGCCTAACCCAGCCAGGCCTGGTCTACCTGGCGGCGGCGGCGGCGGCAGCCGGTCCTCCTGCGCTGAGTTAGGGCTCGCGGGGCGGGAGGTCAAGGGCAGCGGGCGCCTGAGCACTGGCACCAGTCACCGCATCCAGCCGGGGAACTACAGCAGCGGCGAAGTCACTGCCGCTCGGTGCGCACTCCAGCGAGAAGCGGGCGCGTCCTGTGACGTCACAGGCAACCACCCCTAGCAGGGCACCAATCCCGGAGGGCGGGCCCAGTGCGGGGCGGGCGGCGCCGGGGGCTCTTCAGGCTCAGGGCATAGGCAGGCGGCGGCCGCGTTTTCTGGAGACGGTCGCTCTCGGAGGGACCCTGCAATTGCCCGAGACCGAGAGTGGGCGCTGCCTGAAAGTTTGTCCCTGGGCGCTTCGCTGGCCTCATCCGGTCTCGGCCTTGTTCTGGGCCTGGCGCCTTTCCCATTGTTGGGGAAAGTGGTCTAGGAGACCAAGGCAGCGTGCTGGGTGGGAGAGAATGATTTGTGGCTTCTGATTCTGACATATGTCGTTAAGGAGGGGAGGGATGAGTGACCCTGTTTTACTTATGGAGAACCTGGGGCCAGAGCTGTTTTCCCAGGGTGACACAGGCGGTGAGTAGTGGAGCTGGCATTCCTGACCCCAAAGCTCAGCGTTTCCCAGCCACTCTCCGCAGCCAGGCCTTCACCTGCACTGCTGGGCGCAGGTGGGGAAGTGGGGAAACGGTGCTCCATCCCCTGCAGAGGGCAGGCGTGCGGGGAGCGGTGGCTGAACTCCACAGACAGCTACTGCTCAGCTCTTCAGCTGCCGGCTTTGAAGAGTGTGAGGGGCTCTGGGCAAGAGGCCCCCACATTACTCAAGGACCAGATCATCAAGAGCTTTACTTGTCCCACAAAGGAGTCTGGACCTCGTTTAAGTGCACAGGAGACCGCTGGAAGGTCCTCAGTGGCGTGCCATGGCCCGACTTCTATTTGAGAAGTTTTTCTCTGGCCACCCGTCTAAGGAAAGGTATCTGGGTGGGTGGTGCGGGTGAGAACAATGGTGGTGCGGTGCTTGGCGGAGAAGGTGAGTGTCCAGAGATGTTCAGGAAGAAGAACTGACAGCTCTGGATGACAGGAGGTGGAAGTGAGAAGGAAGCAGGTACAAGGCCGGCTCCTGGGTCTCTAGCCCGGTAGGTGCAGGGCCGTTCATGGAGACAGGGCTTCTGGAGGAGCAGCGGGTCTGGGGAGATGATAGTGAGCTCCAATTTGCATGGGACATCCAAAGGGCATTGAACGGTGGGCAGTTGGAGACGTGGGTCTGGAGCTTGGGACTTCAGCCTAGCTTGCAGAAAGTCACCACTGATATAGAAATGGAACCTATGGCCGGGTGCGGTGGCTCACACCTGTAATCCCAGCACTTTGGGAGGCCAAGGTGGGCGAATCAGATCAGGAGATCGAGACCATCCCGGCCAACATTATGAAACGCCGTCTCCACTAAATATACAAAAAATTAGCCGGGCGTGTTGGCGGGCGCCTGTAGTCCCAGCTATTCGGGAGGCTGAGGCAGGAGAATGGCCTGAACCCGGGAGGCAGAGCTTGCAGTGAGCCCAGATCACACCACTGGGGAACAGAGCGAGACTCTGTCTCAAAAAAAAAAAAAAAAAAAAAAAGAAATGGAGCCTATGGGGGTGGCTGTGATCAGGGGGATGTGCTGAGGAGAACCTGGCGTAAGTGTTTCATTAAGCCATAGCTCCCAAAGACTTTCTGAAAAGCTAAGTTACAGCCTGAAAGAAAAGATCTTCAGAGGCTATATTTGATAAAAGACTTGTATCCAGAATATAGAAAGAGCACTTAAAATCAATAGATAAAATCAAACAATTCAATTTTTTAAATGGACAAAATATTTAAACAGACACTTCACCAAAGAAGATATACAGATAGAAAATTGAAAGACATGAAAAGATGCTCAACATCATTAATAATTAAGGATATGCAAATTACAAGCACAGTGTGACACCGTCTCACACCTACTAGAATGGACAAAGAAGACTGATTATACCAAGTATTCGAAAGAATGTGGAGGACCTGGGATTCTTGTACACTGCTTATGGGATTATAAAATAGTATCACTACAATTGAAAATCATTTGGCAGTGTATGAAGAGAGTTAAACATACTCCTACCATATGACCTAGCCATTTCAATCCTAACTATTGACAGTATTGAGTTGCACCTTAGCCCTTTGCTCCTAGAAATAGTGAAGATTAAGGAATCCCTCCACTCCTTTGTTCCAGAAAACACCCTACTGGAAAGAACCAGTGACTTTCCATATAGCTTGGATAAGAATCCTGAATGTCCCCTCATGACCAGACCATACACAGACCCTCTAAATTCCCATTCTTGGCATCATAAATGATTAGCTGGACTGCTTGTTCCCACAGATCAATAAGAACAAAATGCCTGTAACCAAACCTTGGTTCAGATTCTCTCCTTCTCCAAGCCCCTGAGCTTTGGCCCACCCGCAGCTTGTGCCAACCCA
The DNA here is from genome assembly GCF_000001405.40 of Homo sapiens. NCBI lineage: Eukaryota > Metazoa > Chordata > Mammalia > Primates > Hominidae > Homo > Homo sapiens. The sequence continues at coordinate 97,097,207 of NC_000002.12, forward strand.
CCGCCCTCCTGAGGGTCCCTCCTGAGAACAGGCTATCTGCATGGTAAGACCTGCTCGATCATGACACTCTTGCTCAGCTCACTTTCCCATAACAGTTCTTTCTAGCCACGTTTACGCCTCCCTATACAAGGTCAGCCCTTTGCCTAACCTCTGAGACACTTGAGGATCACATCGTCAGACTGTCTCCTTATTGTAATAGTCCCCCCCCCAACCCCCACAACAATCCTTTTGAATAAATTCTCTTTTTATGGAATCCAGATTTATATTTTTGTTTGATAGTAATTACATGAGAAATAAGAAAAATATGCTCATGCAAAGATGTATTCAGAAGTGTTCACAGCAGGCTTTTTGTAAAATCCCCAAACTGGAAACCACCCAATTTTCCATTAACAGGTGAATGTGTAAACACTCTGTGTTTAGCCACACTAGGGAATACTACTTAGCAAGAAAAAGGGATGAATTGTTGATACAACATGGATATATATCAAGATAATTATTTGGAGTGAAAAAGGGTAGATTAAAAATGAGTACATATTGGATGATTTCATTTATATGGAGTATCCTTGGGGGATATCTTCAAAGACCCCTGGCGGATGCCTGAAACTGCAGATAGTACCAAACCCTACATCTGCCACATCTTTTCCTATACATTGATGCCAGTGAACAAATTTAATCCAGATGAAGTTAATCTGGTGCTACACGGTTGCTGTCAATCAGAATACGTTTCTGTTGACATCTTCCACTCACAAATCTAATGCTTTTTCTACCCTAAGCGCTTCTCACACACTGTAGCCATAAGTTTTGCACTTTGAGGTGTGACAGTAAAACTGGCACAAATTTCTTTTCCCTTCTTCACAATTTCATGGATAGAAGATTCATTCTTTCTGTAGATCTTAGCAACCTCATTATGTGATTTTTTTTTCCTGGAAGCTTGAGAGGGGCACATGTTAGCAAGAAGGAGCACAGCATCCCTGCCAGGTTATCTGTCCTACGTGTACCCTGGGCTAGACACACCCTCCTCTGGCTTGCTGTGGTCTGGCCTCACCCTGCGATGCAGGGGCTCCATCCACAGCCCTCTGTCCAGGAGCACCCAGGCTGTGCTTACATTTTTTCAGGGATAGGGAGCTCACTGCTGTGTGGGCAGCTGGGCCCAGTATTTTATGGGGAGGGGGAGAATGGAAGGCAACACTGTCTTCAAGTGTCATCACTGTCCTGGGCGCATGGAGCAGCCCAGGTAACAACGTGCCCTCGGTATTCCCTAATGCTGGGTAGTCCTTCCTGTCAGAATGTGCTTCCCATGATAACCTGAAGCCTGTGACTCCTAGCTGGTAGAAATGTCTTCAGCTTGCCCCTGGAGCTGTGCAGAACACATCTTGTCTTGCATTTTCTAATATGTTTGAATAAAACCAGCATGTCATTCCTCTGCCACCTCTCCCCTAGTTCCCTCACCTTTCTTAGACCTCACATCATTCTGATAATCTCCTTGGGGTAGATTCAATCACCGTTGGTCATCATCAGCTGTGCCTCCTCCTGCTGGAGCATGGGGTGTTCACATCTAGCTGAACTAAGGCCTGGCCATCAGACTTGTTTTGGCCGATGCTATGTGGGTAGGAGCATCATAGACCCCTTACAAGGCTTCTGTAAAAGCCGGCCTGTGTTTGCCATGTCTCTTTTCCCTCTGCTACTAGATAGAATGCTCTAAATAAAAACCACTCTGTCAGCTTGTGTTCCAGAGTAAAAACGCCATAGATGGAGCCACAGCCAACTCACATTGGATGTGGAATATGAGGGAGATGACACTGAGATTTGGGAGTCTTTTGTTATTGCAGCAAAACTCAGCCCATCCTGACTGATATGACTCATTTGCCAAAGTCTCTTAGAAAGTGGGATATCTCACCTTAAGAGGATGTGAATGGTCTGGAGTAGGATAGCATGCCCAATTCCTTGTCCAGAGATTATGGAAACATTTATGAATTCAGCATCTCTTACAGAAGCACATCATAATTACCTTGAGTGCAACCCATTCCTTATGTACATGAACAGCTGGCAGAAAATGACTTCCTCATTCTTCATCTAAGCAAAAGAGCATCTACACCTGAAGAGACCACTTGCCCTTCACTGACATTAAATTTCATCCTACTGACTCTGACCTATCTCCCTAGGCTGTTAGGCTTATTTTTTGAACATTGTATTATGAAATTTTCAAACATACAAAAAAGTTGGAAAAAAAAGTACAATGAAAACCTGTATACTCACCACCTAGACCTTACAATTTATGTTTTACTATAGTTGCTTTATCACATGTCTATCTATCCTTCCACCTATCTATCAATCCATCTTGTCTTTTGATGACTTTCAAAGTAAGTTATAGACATCAGTACACTTTCCCTGTCCCCCTCAAACATTTCAACATGCATACATTGGCTAAAGTTCAATATTTGTTTATGTTTTTTAGGTGTATACAGAGCTCTAACTGTCCTGTTCCATCCAAAGGGGGAAAACCAAGAAGCACTTGTGAAGTTAACATTTCAGAGACAGAGGATCACTAAAAGGCTGAGACCTAATCATAGGACTGTGATCACTCTTCTGTCCTTTGCCATCTTACTACGATATTACTGTAGGGCCTACTAACTGCAGTTCCTCTTACCCAGTACCTCATGTCTGATGTCAAGAAGAAAATTACAAGTCATACTAAAAGGCAAAACACAAAGTTTGAAGAAAAAGAGCAAGCATCAGACCCAGACTCAGATATGGCAGGAGTGTTAGACTTATCAGACCGGGAATTTAAAACAATTATAACTAATATACTAAGGGCTCTAATGAATAAAGTAGACAGCATGCAAGAACCTGTGAAGCAGAGAGATGGAAATCCTAAGAAAGAATAAAAAGAAAGGCTAGAGATGAGAAACACTGTTCTAGTGATGAGAAATGCCTTTGATAGGCCCATGAGTGTAATGGACATGGCTGAAGAAAGAATCTCTACGCTTGAGGATATATCAATAGAAACTTCCAGGACAGAAAAGCAAAGAACAAAGAGACTGAAAAAGTGAAACAGACTATTCAAGAACTGTGCGACAACTATGAAAAAAAATAACATACACATAATGGGGATGCAAGAAAGAGAAGAGAAACAAAGAGAAGAGAAAGAAACAGAAAAAATATTTAAAATAATAATAGCTTGAGCAACATAGGGAGACCCCATCTCTACAAGAAAATTAAAAAATTAGGGGTGCATGGTGCACACCTCTGGTCCCATCTACTCGGTGGGGTGAGGTGAAAGGATCATGTAAGCCCGGGAGGTCAAATCTGCAGTGAGCCATGATTGCACCACTGCACTCCAGCCTGGGTGACAGAGTGAGACCCTGTCTCAAAAAATAAATAGATGTGGTGGCACACACCTGTAGTCCCAGGTACTTGGGAGGCTGAGGCAGGAGGATCGCTTGAGTCTGTACAGGAGTTCTGGGCTGCAATGCACTATGCCGATTGGGTGTCTGCACTAAGTTTGGCATTAGTATGGTGACCTCTGGGGAAAGGCGGATAACCAGGTTGCCTAAGGAGGGGAGAACTGGCCCAGGTCAGAAACGGAGCAGGTCAAAATTTCCTTGCTGACCACACCTGTGAAAGGCCACTGCACTCCAGCCTGACCAACACAGCGAGACCCCACCTTTTAAATAAATAAACAAAAAAAGAATAATGACAGAGATTTTCACCAAATTAATATCAGGCACCAAACCATAGATCCAGGAAGCTCTGTGAACACCAACCAGAATAAATGCCAAAAAACTCCACCCAGGTATAGCATATTCAAAGTAGAAATCAAAGATAAATAAAACACTACTGGAGGCCAAGGCAGGTTGATCAGAGGTCAAGGTGGGTGTATCACTTGAGGTCAGGAGTTTGAGCCAGCCTGGCCAACATGGCAAAACCTCATCACTACCAAAAACACAAAAATTAGCTGGACATAAATGGTGGGCGCCTGTAATCCCAGCTACTTGGGAGGCTGAGACAGGAGATTCGCTTGAACCCAGGAGGTGAAGGTTGCAAGGTTGCAGTGAGCTGACATTGCACCACTGCACTGCAGCCTGGTGACAAAGTGAGACTCTTTTCCAAACAAACAAAGAAACAAACAAACAAAAACTATTGAAAGAAGCCAGAGGAAAAAGCCACCTTACCTATAGGGAGCAAAGATAAGGATAACATCTGTCTTCTCCTCGGAAACCATGCAAACAAGAAGAGTGTGAAGTGAAATATTTAACATCTTGAGTGAAAAAAATACACAACCTTGAATTCTGTACACTGTAAAATTATTCCTCAAAACTGAAGAATAAATACAGACTTTCTCAGACAAACAAAAATTGAGGGAATTTATTGTTAGTACATGTGCCTTGTAAGAAATACTGAAAGAAGTTCTTCCAAGGGAAAGAAAAACATACAAGTCAGAAACTTGGATCTATATAAAGAAAGAGAGCACTGAAGAAGGAATGAGTGAAGATAAAATAGTAACTTATTTTTTTATTCCAAATTGATCTAACAGATAACAGTTTGTTCAAAATAATAATAGCAAGAATGTATTCAATTATGTATTCATATATGTGTATATATATCTACAGAAACATATATACTTAAGTACATTTATGTATAAGTGAAATGAATGACAGTAGTGATATAAGAGATAGGAGGCAGGAATTGGGATTATTTTGTTATTATAAGGTACTTGGTACAACCCATGAGGTAGTATATGATATTTGAAAATGGATTTGCATTAGTTGTAGATGTATATTGCAAATCTAAGGAAAACACTAAAAGAAGTGAAAAAAATAAGAAGAAAAGTATTTTTTTTTTAAAGAAGTTGCCTTCTTCCACTTGGGCTGCTATAACAAAATAATTTTGACTGCATAATTTATAATTATGAGAAATTTATTTTTCATAGTTCTGGAGGCTGGGAGGTCCAAGATCAAGGCAAGAGCAGATTTGGTGTCTGATAAGGGCTCACTCTCTGCTTCCAAGATGGTACCTTCTTGCTGTGTCCTTGTGTGGTGGAAAAGGTGAATAGCCCCCTCTCACCTGTTTTATTACAGCACTAATCCACTAATGAGGGCTCCACCCTTATGACTTAATCACCTCCTAAGGGCCTCACTTCTTATATTGGTGATTAAATTTCAAGGGAACATATTGAGACCATAGCAGAAATATGTTGACAATGTATTTATTTTTTGGTCATATAAAATGTGGAACTAAAGTCACAAAAGGCAAAAAAAGAGTGGAAGACAAAAATATAGGAACAAATAAAAAGGCAACAAATAGAAAAACAGTAACAGATAAGGTAGATATTACTCTAACTATGTCAATAATCATTTTGAATGCAGTGGTCTAAATACACCAACTAAGACAGAGATTCTGCAAAGCAAAAAAACTATCGACAGGGTAAACACACAACCTATAGAATGAAAGCAAATGTTTACAACCTATGCATCTAACAAAAGTCTAATATCTAGAATCTATAAGGAACTTAAATCAACAAGGAAAAAACAAACAACCCCACTAAAAATGGGCAAAGGACATGAACACACACTTCTCAAAAGACACCTGCACAGCCAACAAACATATGAAAAAGTACTAAATATCAAAACCACAATGAGATACCATTTCACAACAGTCAGAATGGCTATTATAAAAGGTAAAAAAATAACAGATGCTGGAGAGGTTGTGGAGAAAAGAGAATGCTTATACACTGCTGGTCAGAACATAAATTAGTTCAGCCACTGTGAAAAGTAGTCTGGAGATTTATCAAAGAACTTAAAACAAAACTACCATTCAACCCAGCAATTCCATTTCTGAGTGTATACCCAAAGGGATATAAACCATTCTACCATAAAGACGCATACAGGCATATGTTCATCGCAGGACTATTCACAATAGCAAAGACATGGAATCAACCTAGATGCCCATCAATGATAGACTATATACACACTATGGAATACCACAGAGCCATAAAAAGGAATGCAATCAATGTCCTTTGCAGCAACATGGATAGAGCTGGAGGCCATCATCTTAAGTGAATTAACACAGGAACAGAAAACCAAGTAATGAATGTTCTCACTTATAAGTGGGAGCTAAACACTGAGTATACATGGACACATAGAAGGGAACATCAGACATCCGGGGCCTACTTAAGGGTGGAGGTTGGGAGGAGGGTGAGGATTGAAAAACTACCTATTGAGTACTCTGCTTATTACTTGTGGAACAAAATGGCCAGTACACCAAACTCCTATGACATACAGTTTACTGATGTAATAATAAACCTTCACATGTGAAAACGTTCCTGTCTGACAGCTTTGAAGAGAGTAGTGGTTCTCCCAGCACAGAGTTTGAGATCTGAGAATGAACAGACTGCCTCCTCACGTGGGTCCCTGACCCCAAGTAGCCTAACCAGGAGGCACCTCCCAGTAGGGGCCAACTGACACCTCATACGGCCAGGTGCCCCTCTGAGATGAAGCTTCCAGAGGAAGGACCAGGCAGCAACATTTGCCGATCTGCAATATTTGCTGTTCTGCAGCCTCCGCTGGTGATACCCAGGCAAACAGGGTCTGGAGTGGACCTCCAGCAAACTCCAACAGACCTGCAGCTGAGGGTCCTGACTGTTAGTAGGAAAACTAACAAACAGAAAGGACATCCACACCAAAACCCCATCTGTACGTCACCATCATCAAAGACCAAAGGTAGATAAAACCACAAAGATGGGGAGAAACCAGAGCAGAAAGCTGAAAATTCTAAAAATCAGAGCACCTCTTCTCCAAAGGAATGCAGCTCCTCGCCAGCAATGGAACAAAGCTGGATGGGGAATGAATTTGAGGAGTTGAGAGAAGAAGGCTTCAGATGATCGATAACAACACACTTCTCCACTGGGCGTGGTGGCTCATGCCTGTAATACCAGCACTTTGGGAGGCCAAGGCGGGTGGATCACAAGGTCAGGAGATCGAGACAATCCTGGCTAAGATGGTGAAACCCTGTCTCTATTAAAATTACAAAAAATTAGCTGGGCATGGTGGCAGGCACCTGTAGTCCCAGCTACTCAGGAGGCTGAGGCAGAAGAATGGCCAGAACCCGGGAGGTGGAACTTGCAGTGAGTCGAGATTGTGCCACTGCACTCCAGCCTGGGTGACAGAGTGAGATTCCCTCTCAAAAAAAAAAAAAAACAAAAAACAAAAAACTTCTCTGAGCTAAAGGAATATGTTCGAACCCATCGCAAAGAAGCTAAAAACCTTGAAAAAAGATTAGACAAATGGCTAACTAGAATAAGCAGTGTAGAGAAGACCTTAAATGACCTTATGGAGCTGAAAACCATGGCATGAGAACTACATGATGCATGCACAAGCTTCAGTAGCCTATTCGATCAAGTGGAAGAAAGGGTATCAGTGACTGAAGATCAAATGAATGAAATTAAGCGAGAAGTTTAGAGAAAAAGAGTGAAAAGAAATGAACAAAGCCTCCAAGAAATGTGGGACTATGTGAAAAGACCAAATCTACATGTGATTGGTATACCTGAAAGTGACGGGGAGAATGGAACCAAGTTGGAAAACACTCTTCAGGATATTATCCAGGAGAACTTCCCCAACCTAGCAAGGCAGGCCAACATTCAAATTCAGGAATACAGAGAACACCGCAAAGATACTCTTGAGAAGAGCAACTCCAAGACACATAATTGTCTTGGAGATTCACCAAAAGTTGAAATGAAGGAAAAAATGTTAAGGGCAGCCAGAGAGAAAGGTCGGGTTACCCACAAAGGGAAGCCCATCAGACTAACAGCAGATCTCTCGGCAGAAACTCTACAAGCCAGAAGAGAGTGGGGGCCAATATTCAACATTCTTAAAGAAAAGAATTTTCAACCCAGAATTTCATATCCAGCCAAACTAACCTTCATAAGTGAAGGAGAAATAAAATCCCTTACAGACAAGAAAATGCTGAGAGATTTTGTCATCACCCGGCCTGCCTTACAAGAGCTCCTGAAGGAAGCACTAAACATGTAAAGGAACAACCAGTACCAGCCACTGCAAAACCATGCCAAATTGTAAAGACCATCAATGCTAGGAAGAAACTGCATCCATTAACGAGCAAATTAACCACCTAACATTATAACAATGACAGGATCAAATTCACACATAACAATATTAACCTTAAATGTCATATTTAAGGTTAAACAATATTTAACCTTAAATAGCCAAATAGATGGCTATTAGGTCAGCTTGGTTTATAGGAATTAACCTGTTTGCAGATGACATGATTTTATATTTAGAAAACACCATTGTCTCAGCCCAAAATCTCCTTAAGCTGATAAGCAACTTCAGCAAAGTCTCAGGATACAAAATCAATGAGCAAAAACCACAAGCATTCCTATACACCAATAACAGACAAACAGAGAGCCAAATCATGAGTGACCTCCCATTCACAATTGCTTCAAAGAGAATAAAATACCTAGGAATCCAACTTACAAGGGATGTGAAGGACCTCTTCAAGGAGAACTACAAACCACTGCTCAACAAAATAAAAAAGGACACAAACAAATGGAAGAACATTCCATGCTCATGGATAGGAAGAATTAATATCATGAAAATGGCCATACTACCCAAGGTAATTTATAGATTCAATGCCATCCCCATCAAGCTACCAATGACTTTTTTCACAGGATTGGAAAAAACTACTTTAAAGTTCATATGGAACCAAAAAAGAGCCCGCATTGCCAAGACAATCCTAGGCCAAAAGAACAAAGCTGGAAGTGTCACACTACCTGACTTCAAACTATACTACAAGGCTACAGTAACCAAAACACCATAGTACTGGTATCAAAACAGAGATATAGACCAATGGAACAGAACAGAGCCCTCAGAAATAATATCACACATCTAAAACCATCTGATCTTTGACAAACCTGACAAAAACAAGAAATGGGGAAAGGATTCCCTATTTAATAAATGGTGCTGGGAAAACTGGCTAGCCATATGTAGAAAGCTGAAACTGGATCCCTTCCTTATACCTTATACAAAAATTAATTCAAGATGGATTAAAGATTTAAATGTCAGACCTGAAACCATAAAAACCCTAGAAGAAAACCTAGGCAATACCATTCAGGACATAGGCATGGGCAAGGACTTCATGACTAAAACACCAAAAGCAATGGCAACAAAAGCCAAAATTGACAAATGGGATCTAATTAAACTAGAGAGCTTCTGCACAGCAAAAGAAACTACCATCAGAGTCAACAGGCAACCTATAGAATGGGAGAAAATTTTTACAATCTACCCATCTGACAAAGGGCTAATATTCAGAATCTACAAAGAATTTAAACAATTTCACAAGAAAAAAATCAAACAACCCCACCAAAAAGTGGGCGAAGGATATGAACAGACACTTCTCAAAAGAAGACATTTACACAGCCAACAGACACATGAAAAAATGCTCATCATCACTGGCCATCAGAGAAATGCAAATCAAAACCACAATGAGATACCATCTCATGCCAGTTAGAATGGCGATCATTAAAAAAGTCAGGAAACAACAGGTGCTGGAGAGGATATGGAGAAATAGCAACACTTTTACACTGTTGCTGGGACTGTATACTAGTTCACCCATTGTGGAAGACAGTGTGGCAATTCCTCAAGGATCTAGAACTAGAAATACCATTTGACCCAGTGATCCCATTACTGGGTATATACCCAAAGGATTAGAAATCATGCTGCTATAAAGACACATGCTTTATATTTATGTTTATTGTGGCACTATTCACAATAGCAAAGACTTGGAACCAACCCAAATGTCCATTAATGATAGACTGGATTAAAGAAAGTGGCAAATATACACCGTGGAATACTATGCAGCCATAAAAAAGGATGAGTTCATGTCCTTTGTAGGGACATGGATGAAGCTGGAAACCATCATTCTGAGTAAACTATCACAAGGACAGAAAACCAAACACCGCATGTTCTCACTCATAGTTGGGAACTGAACAGTGAGAACACTTGGACACAGGATGGGGAACATCACACACCAGGACCTGTCAATGGGGTGAGGGGAGGGGGGAGGGATAGCATTAGGAGATATACCTAATGTAAATGACAAGTTAATGGGTGCAGCACACCATCATGGCACATGTATACATATGTAACGAACCTGCACGTTGTGCACAGGTACCCTAGAACTTAAAGTATAATAAAAAATCATATGAGAAAAAAAAACCTTCGCACGTACGTACCCTTTGAACCTAAAATAAAAGGTGGGAAGACAGAAATAAAATAAAAGAGATTGTCAGTGTAGATTAAAAAGTCGGACTCAACTATATGTAGTCTACAAGAAACACATTCTAAATATAAAGATGCACCTGCATAAATTAAAGGGATGCAGAAAGATATACCATACTAACACTTATCAAAAACACCCCCAACATATCTCTATTAATTTCAGGCAGAGCAGCCTTAAAGAGCAATAAAAGTTACCATAGATACAGAAGGACATTACCTAAGAAAAAGGAGTCAATTCTCCAAGAAGACATGACAATCCTGCATGTGTGTATGCACCTAACAACAGAGCATAGAAATATGTTTAATTTACACTTATCTTCTTATGAGCCATGTTGCGTAACTTTTCACATGTTTAAGATCAACTTCCAATTATTTTCCTATGAAATCTCTATGCGTATCTTTTTAATTTTTTCAATATATTGTTGGTCTATTTCCCCTAAATTTGTAAGAACTATTTGTATATGAGAGATAGCACCCCTTTGTCTATGATATAAGTTGCAAACCTATTTTCCTACTCTTTCATTTGTTTTCTGACTGTGGTGGTAGTCTTTTCTTGCCATGCAAAAAATTTTGTTTTGTTTGTCTTTGATGTAGTTGAATTGACCAGTCTTTTAAAATTGTGTCATTATTAGATGAGCGACTTTCTTTCCAGCTCACCTGAGAATGTGTTTTCCTGTTGAGCTACAGAATGAGCATTGGGTATTTTGTGTTCCTCTGAGAAAGAGAAGAGGTGTGTCTGGCAGCCAGGAGTTGACCTGGTCCTATCTGCCGGGAGTTGGCGATGCTGTGAGCTGCCTGGCACCCACAGATGGATGTTGATGTTCTCTTGTGAGCATAAACAATTCCATAGAACATCTGCTTCATACCATATCATTTTGTGCCAATACTTAAGACAAAAACAAGACCTCTTCATAATCATGTCTGAGCATGAGCAAAGCATGAGCATTGTTCATATCACACAAATGACCAATGTCTCTATTCTAGCTAAGAAGAGTAACTACTGTTTCTTCACCAACTACAGCTTTAACGTTCTTTACCAATTATAGCCTTAACCCATTAAGGCTTTAATACAGGTTTACATCTTTCTACATAAGATTTATTAAGATACCCTGCTATGCTAGAATTACCCCCACTTCCTGACAACACCCAATTCAGAACAAAGCCCCATTTCCTTAAACCCTTCTCCCAGATTATTGCCTAACACAACCCCAAATCCTCTAAGTCCTTTCTGATGTCCTCTTAGTGAGACACCCCACTGTTCCCTGTAGTTTGTATTCTCCCTCACTTAACCAGTAATAACTCACTTCTTCAACTACAGATGTGTTCATGGTGGCCTTTGATTGGAGCCCATTAACATCTCCACTTTTCCTGGTAGCCCAAGGGAATGAGGAGACAGTAGAGGGAAAGGGCGGCTGAGGGCTCTGAGCATTGGTTAGAATGCTTGGGCAACAGATGGCTCTTCCTGTTTCAGTACCATGAGGACTCCCCTGGGCATTGGTTTGCTTTCCTCATTCCATGTGTAGCCTTGACTTCTCTTAGAGGAAGTGCACCCTGATGTCCCTCCACCTTGTTTCTCCTGTTTCTCCCCAGCATCTGTTTCCACCAGTCACCAGCAAGTGAAGGATCGTATAAGGACACCCTTCAGTGTCAGTGTGCTTCACTATGCTCAAAATCACCGGATTTGGAGGTGGATGTGGAGGGTGGGGCTGGAGGATGGAAGAGGAACTTAGGAGCTAAATGCTGACCCTCTCTATTTTGCTCCAGAATGTTCTTTTCCTTTCTCTCTTTGAGTCACCAGTTTCTTTACTGTATTAGGCTATGCCCCTTTCCTTGTTTTATTGCTATCAGTTATTTCTTATTGGCCTTTATAATTTTGTTAGTACCGGGATGGAAAACTCTACAATATTGTTTTTTTCCAATACCGAAGGCATCTCCTCTCCTCATCCCTGCTCTCTCCCTCCAGTTAAAAAAGATAAACACTCCCTGTTGACAAATGTCTTTTCTCTTTTCTGTAGACTCTGCGAGTTCTCCTTTCAGTTTATGCTTTTGGAAACAAAAGTCCTTGTCTGTCCTTCAGGTGTGAGTCAGAGCCAGATTCCTGACTAAATGGAGGGAAGGTTAAGAAAAAATACAATGAGAAATTCATTATAAGAAATTATTTTGTTGTCATCTAGTCATGTAAGTTTTGTCTTTAGTGGTGGTAACGTGCTCATTCATCGTAGTTCGTTGCTCATGCCACGTGGTCATTGTCTCATGCTTATGGGCACCTCTCTTTAGTGACACCCACCTATTGGGGGGAGTCCCATTTGTAAAGAATTTTGTTGATGTGCTGAATACAAATTGATTTCCTACAGTCTTGTCTGTTTTGGGCTGCTATGAGAGAATACCATAGACTGAGTAATTTATAAACAACAGAAATTTGGTTTTTTCACAGTTCTGGAGGCTGGGAAGTCCAAAATCCAGGGGCCATTAGATTCATTGTCAGGTGAGTGTCTGGTCTCTGTTTCCAAGATGTCGCCTTGAAGGCTGCATCTTCCAGAGAGGAGGAGTGCTGTGTCCTCACATGGCAGGAGACTGAAGGGCAAAAGGAGTCTAACTTCCTCCATCATTCCTTTTTCTAAGCATATTTAATCCTATTCATGAAGGCAGAGCCCTCATAGCCTAATCACCTCCAAAAGTCCCCACCTCTTAATACTATCACATTTGTAATATTTGATTTCTGGAGGGGATACATTCAAACCATAGCAGATGCTCATGAAAGTAGAAACAGTGGCTAATGCCAGAGAAAGAAGCTGAGGATCTGGGAAGTCTTACTTGTGGATTTTACGTTGTATGTTCCATTCCCACATGTAAATAAATGAGTTAATTGAAATGGAAGAAAATGAGGAAAGATGGAGAATTGTGTCATGGAACAATGGACAGCAGTCATAACATAATGGGTGAAAACAAAGCTCAAATACATGAGGATGATTATATCTTTAATAGCATCTCGAAGCTGTAAGAGATCATCAAGTCTTGACTTCTATGTTAAAAAAGAAAGAAAACTGATGACCCATATTTAAACTGAGGCATGTGACATTTCTGCTCTACTCAGCACTCTTCACTCATCTAACAAAAATTCATTATGGCTTCTTATGTTCCAGGCACTGGGCTAGGTGTTTAAGGAAGACAGAGGGAGGAAATAAAAATTTTTATAAAACAGTCTTTGTCCTCAAGCAGCTCACAGGGCAGAGAGACCCTGACAGAGTAGAGACTTCATGAAGAGTGGGGATGGGAAGGGCATTCTCTCCACACGCATCCCTGTCCCACCTCGGAGATTTCCTCCTCAGAACGCTACCTCTTACTGCTTTCCTGTCTCACTCTTTCCAGCTCTCAGTTTAGAAGGTGTTTCCTCAGAGCACCCTTGCTGACCTCTCAAGTCTGGTGAATGGCCCTTCTCACTGGTGCCTGGATGCCCTGTGTGCTCCTGTCATGCACACAACACAGCATAGTAAAATGCCTGGTGTATGTGTTTGTCTTTTCAATACTCTGAGCTCTGCTCATTGGCAAATCTCAGGACATAGCACAAGATGTGGCCCCTAAACGTTAACTGAATGAACGAATGGAATCACTGGTATCTCTTTAGCTTGAAGAATAGAAAGCCCTTGTAGGACAAAGACGATTGGGAGAAATGTGAAGTCTGGCGTGGACTCTGTCAGAAGACAGAACTGAACCAATGGATGGACTTAGAAGAGAGAGACTTCGGTTTCACATCAGGAATGATATCATAGTCAGAACTCACCACACACATAATAGGTTAGATGAGGGAGGAGGGAGTCCTTCATTGCAGGAGTTTTAAAGGTAAATACAAGAAATGGGAGGCACTTGGCCTGGCGCGGTGGCTCAGGTCTGTTAATCCCAGCACTTTGGGAGGCCGAGGCCAGTGGATCACAAGGTCAGGAGTCGAGACCAGCCTGGTCAAGATGGTGAAACCCTGTTTCTACTAAAATAGAAAAATTAGCCGGGTGCGGTGGTGGGCACCTGTCATCCCAGCTAATTGGGAGGCTGAGGCAGAAGAATCACTTGAACCTGGGAGGCAGAGGTTGCAGCGAGCCAAGTTTGAGCCACTGAACTCTAGCCTGGGCGACAGAGCAAGACTCCGTCTAAAAAAAAAAAAAAAAAGAAAGAAATGGGAGGCACTGAGTTTCTGGCTCAGTTTGCTGATGCCAGAAATACAGAGATGACTGATCAGTAAAATCCACTAAAAAGTGTGTGACAGGTTTCTTTTTCCTTATATTTTTCTTTTTTAAATACAAAAGTAATACCAGCCCACTGAAAATTTGAAAAGTATATGGCATTAAAAAGAGAAAAATAACATCTGATAATCCAACAAGATAAACCCTCTAAAATTTTTCTCTTTTTAAATGAATATAGTTAAGCTTGAAATAGAATTTTAAATTTATCTTGATGTTTTACTCAACAACGTAGAAGCATCTTTTATGTCATTATTTTAAGTCACAAGCACTTTTAGTGATGATGATTAAAAGAACCATTTGTTTTTTCCTTACTGTTCCCTGTTTTTAGATTTTTGGCTAGTGTCTAATTTTTCCCTGTTATAAATAATGCTGAGATGAACAGAATATGTAGATTTCTAATAATTTGCAAATGAACAGCATATGAAAAACATGAGCAAAAATTTTGCAGTTATAATTACTCAACACGTTTTAAATAAATTACTTTTATTTTGAGCGTTCATTCTTAAATATGTTATAGGAAGTAAGTAAGAAGCATTCCTTACTCCTTAGAATTTTGTTTATAAATTAGTGATGAATTGGAAAGGGTAGCTTGCCCCTGGAATTCTCTGATAAGCACAGGTGATGAGGAAAATGGAAAAATCCAAGAATTCCTTTGTCTTTCCTTAATAGTCAGCTTTAAGTGCAGTGCAGGCGTGCCCTCTAGCGGCCAAATAAAAAATAAAGAAATACGGGAAACCTTCAGCATTGTAACAATCGCACGTCCCCATCTAGTGGCTAACGTGTGTAAATGCAGCTTTTCTAATCACAATAGCGAATGT